>NC_000023.11:154172575-154475606 GCF_000001405.40 Homo sapiens
ACCTTTGCCCTAGATAACACCCCTCCCTCCCTGTCATGTGATTGTTTGCGACATAGCCCACGTGGTCCTCGCCTCACTGACCCAAAACCCAACACATCCCACGGCTGCTGACCACGATAAGACCTAATGCTCAACACCAGAGTCATGTAAATCAGTTTCCTCCTCGTGCATGTTTTCTTTAAACCAGCCAATCCACAACCCCCGCAGGAAAGCCTGTGGGATCACTTCACACCCTGTGACCTTAATACAGGCACAGCCCCGGAAGCTTCCCCGCCCTTCCGTTCTGGGCTTCGCTGTTGCACAGCTGATGAGCTCAATCAGCTCCCTGCTGCCTCCAGACTTCCCCTCTGCCTCCCATCAGCACACCTAACATCTCTTCGATCTGAGTCATACATTTCTTTTTTTTTTTTTTTTTTTTTGACACAGGGTCTTGCTCTGTCACCCAGAATGGAGTGCAGTGGTGCAATCATGACTCACTGCAGCCTCAACCTCCCGGGCTCAAGGGATCCCCGCTCCCGCTCAGCCTCCTGAGTAGCTGTGACTACAGGCACGCGCCATCACGCCCAGCTAATTTTTTGATGTTTTTGTAGATACCGGGTCTCACTATGTTGCCCAGGCTGGTCTCAAACTCCTGAGCTCAAGCAGTCTGCCCACCTCAACCTCCCAAAGTGCTAGGATTACAGGCGTGAGCCCCCACGCCCAGCCCATTTCTGCTGTTTCATGCATTTTCGTCTGCCTCCTCACTGTGGCTCCCCTGACACACACATCCGAACCTAACTTTCCCACGGGTCAGGGATCTCCTAGAAACTGGGTATCTCGGCTATGGCCACTCTCAGTAGAGACATGCCGAGACCAAATTAAAAAGAAACCATAATGATAAAAACCACAACAGCCCTCCTGAAAGCAAACGGATTTAACTGTGATAAACAGCACAGGACTTGCAGTATGGATTCTCAGTTTGTGATGCACCAGAGGGGACGCAACAGTCACAGGGAGCCTGGCTGGTTGAAACACTTCTGTGTCCAGATCATGTAAAAGTTTTGAAGAAGATTTTACGGAAGTATATGTTTTTAAAATGCCATGAACTCCTGTGTCCCCTGCATCTAACTTAGCCACACAGCCAGGGTGTGGTGAAATGCTCTCAGGTCCGCACTTAGCAGCCACGTAGCCTGCTTGTGCCTCCGTGAGACTCTGCTTCCCCAACCATAAAGTAGGCGTCTGAGGGCCAAAGAACAAGGCTGCTTAACCTGGTGCCCCAGCTCAGTTACGAGCCCGTGACAACAGTGAAAAATCATCAGCAGCCCTTTCTCCTCCTGTAGACCTGCTTGGGCCCTGTAGACCTGCTTTTCTGCTCACGATGAACATTAGTAAGGGTAGGCTCGCTGCTGCAGCAAACAACCAGACATCCCATGTCACAGTCCAATGGGGGGTACCGGGTCAGAAGTGCAGGCTTCTAGAATTTGCAGCAAAAGTCTGAGAGGGGGAGAGACAGAGGTATTGCCCTGCTCCCCGGTAGTCACCGCTGTATCAAGAGCGGGCGAAAGACTCGGATTTGAGAGGGGTTAAGAGTTTACCTGAGCACAGCATTCTCATTGGCCCCTGTGGCTTGGAAACATACGGGGAAGTTTGTAACTGCCACCAAGTTCTGCTGTTGCTTAATAGAAAGCTGACCGGGTAAGTGTGATTTTCACAAAAGGGTCTTTGATGCTCCCAAGATTTTAGATTTGGTTGCCATGTCCTATGAAAATAATCTGCAAGAGACGCCTGTGACTCTGACTAGTCATCTCATTGACAGTGGTTGCCCTGTAATATTCTTTGATTGTCCTTTAACAGATTCTTAGGCCATGTAAACGCTGGCAAGATTTCCCTGGGGAAACTAAAGAGGATGATTCCCACACGCCGCTTCCCCTGCATCAGGCACTAAAAGGACTGCGGAGTTCTTCTTTTCATGCAAATGCTGAGAATCTTGGCTCACCTAAGGGAATCGCTGCCTCCCTAGCCAGGACGCTGGAGGGACTGGCGTTAATTAGCCACAGACTGCAGCGAGGGGGACAGAATGTGGCACCCCCTGAGGGCCCATGGAAACCCAGAGAACGGTCCCAATAGGAATGGAGAGAATCCGTTGAGAGATTGGGTTTGCCTTTTTTTTTTTTTTTTTTTTTTTCCTCCAATTGGTAGGCCCTAGCCTTATCTTAGAGGGAAAGAAAATCGAGCTAGGGCAGGGTGAGGTGGCTCACACCAGTAATCCCGGCACTCTGGGAGGCTGAGGCAGGCGGATCACGAGGTCAATAGATTGAGACCATCCTGGTCAACATGGTGAAACCCCGCCTGTACTAAAAATACAAAAAATAGCCGGATGTGCTGGTGCACGCCTGTATTCCCAGCTACTCGGGAGGCTGAGGCAGGAGAATCGCTTGAACCCGGGAGGTGGAGGTTGCAGTGGGCCGAGATCGTGCCACTGCACTCCAGTCTGGCGACAGAGTGAGACTCCATCTCAAAAGAAAAAAAAGAAAAAGAAAATCGAGCTACTGCACGGTGCGGAGAAAGCATTCACCAGAAGGCAGTCATTTTTGAAATAAGTATCTGAGACCCGGCCTGTGCCCCAGCTCAGCTAGGAGCACATGTGAAGAGACCAGAGCTGGCGAGGCGACTCCGGTCCTGACTCCCACCTTCCCAGCCGACTGGGACCAAAGGACGCCACCTCCCTAACTAGTGCCAGGTGTCTACCGGACTCTTGCCACCCCCATGTTGTCCCCTGCCACCACAGGGTCAGGGCCAGCCGCTATGCCGCTGCAACCACCCGGCAGGGGCTGCCAAGCTGGAGCATTTTCGCTAGCAAGGGTCAAGGCAGGTGTGGGACTGCAGGGAGAGGGCTGGCTCGCCCCACTGCAGGGCCCAGTCGCTAAAAGAAGCATGGACCTGCTCTTCCAACTGGCCCCTCACCCTGGCTCTCCAGGCTCCTGTCCTGGCTCCCTTTCACCCTCCCATAGGTGGCTCCTGGGAGCGGTTCCTCCTCTGCTTCCAGTCCCCAGAGCCAAGGCCTCACCTACACTTCTCCTCCTGAAGGGACTCCAGCAACAGCTGCAGGTCAGTCAGAGACCTCTCCTTTAGGCTGTGATAGGACTCCTGGAGGCTGATGTGGAACCTCTTGGCTTCTTCCAGCTCTGCCTTTACCTTCTGCAACAGCAGGTTTTGTTGCTGGGCCACATCCTCTGTCTCTAAGCACGTCCCCTGCTGTAAGCTCTGGAAGCGACTCTCCAAGATGAAGGGCCTGCTGGCATGAGGCAGGTTGACCGGCCCGTCTTCCCCACCTGGCTCGGGGGGCTCTGAAAGCAGGGCCTTCTCACTGGGTGGCTCGCAGTTGGCTGGGTCGCTTTCTGCCATCAGCAGTAAGCCCTCGGGCCTGCAGCCTTCCTCCAGCTCCTGGAGCTGCTGGTGACACTGGTGGAGCCTGTGCTCGATCTGGGCGATGGTGGCAGAGGCGCGCTGGTTCACCTTCTCAAAGGCCTGCTGGATGTGCGGCACCTGGTGCCGGTCTGCTTTGGATACCAGCTTGAGGTAGCTCACAGTGTTGCCATCCCGACTGGCCTTCTCCACTCTCAGCTGCTCTGAGAGGTAGAGGATGCGGTGCCTGACACTATCCTGTAAGTTGTGGGCTAGGCCTCCATCTGCGAGGCTGGAAGGGCCACTGGGGCCGTCTTCGCTGGATGACAGGGACCGGCATGAAGGCACATTGGAGGGGAGGGTTGCGCTGGGGCTCCTGGTGTGTTCCGCCTACGTTGGGAAACAAGAAATCACAATACGGTGCTCTGTGAGCCGCAAAGTGTGGGAGAATTGGACACGTTATGACTCCATAAAACACTTCCACATATGCATGGATACTTACACACGCAAGATTTGTGCATTCAAGATGGGCCCGACACAGACTGAGGAGGTGATGCTCATCTTCAGGGCCCCTCTCCCCTCCTTTTCAGCGTCTGACTCCTTGCTCTACATGTGTGCCTCACTAAGACCCACAGGTGGCCAGACTCCCTTCTACATCTGCCTGTTTTTGCACTGCACTCCTATTTTCTCTTCCAAAAATTACCAATTGTGGGTCTCATTTATAAAGAACTGTTCTTGTAAAGTATGGAATAAGCTTATTTCCGTCAACTCTTACAGCTTGCTGTATTGCTACTCCCAGGGAGACAGGAAGGGTTAGGCAGAGAGATTTGCCTCCTAACAGGTTCATTCATTCATCCAATCATTCATTCAACACATACTTTCTCTGAGTGCCTACCACGTGGTACAGAAGCCAGATACATTCCTTGATCTCATACAGCTGACAGTCTACGGCAGAAAATTCTACTGTAACACAAAAGAATGAGTCTCTCACATGGTGAGGGGATTAACATTGCCTTTGACGAAGAGCCCAGTTCAAATCCTGGCTCTACCACTCTGAGACCTTGAGCAAGTTAATAAACTGCTCTGAGGCTCAGTTTTCTTACCTCTAAAATAAAGATGGCAAGAGCAGCATAGCTGGAACCCAGCCCACCAGAGCAAGGAGCTAGGAGAGGGAGGTGGGGGGCAGCTCAGGTGCAGCCTCTGTTCCGTTTCTACTTTTTTGTTTTTTGAGACGGAGTCTCACTCTGTCACCCAGGCTGGAGTGCAGTGGTGCAATCTCGGCTCACTACAACCTTCGCCTCCCGGGTTTAAGCAATTCTCATGGCTCAGCCTCCCGAGTAGCTGGGATTACAGGTGTGCATCACCACACCCAGCTAATTCGTGTATTATTAGTAGAGACAGGGTTTCACCATGTTGACCAGGCTGGTTTCCAACTCCTGACCTCAAGTGATCCTCCCGCCTCGGCCTCCCAAAGAGTGCTGGGATTACCGGTGTGAGCCACTGCATCTGGCCTATACCTCAATTTTTAAAATGCAAAGTGATACCACTATGTACCCAGTAGATTGGTCAAACTCAGACAGACTAACAACAATAAGAGTTGGCAAGGATATAGCGCAACAGGAACTCTCAATCATTACTGGCGGGAAGCAAATTTGTACTACAGCCACCTTAGAAAACCACTTGACAGTATCACAAAGTTGAAGATATACCTACCAAATGATCCAGCAACTGCATTCATAGGCGATATTCCCAGGAGGCAAGTACACTGATGTTCTCAATATCCAACAACTAGCAACAAACCACCTGCCCAGAAAGTGTAAGTAAACTGTAATATATGCAACAACATACTACTGTACAGCAATGAGAATGAACTACAGCCTTGAAAAACATGAATGCATTTCACAAGCATAATGTTGAACAAAAGAAACCAGACAGAAAATCCATACTATATATGGTTCCATTTACATAAATTCCAAGAGCAGGCAAAACTAAACAATATTGTGTAGGGATGACTACACAGGCAGGAAAGCTAAAGAGCAGCATGGATGTTGGCAACAGAAACCCCAGGATGGTGGTTCCCACTAGAGCGGGAGAAGGGGATTATGACTGGGGTGACTGTGGAGGCTGGGGTGCCTGGCCTGAGTAGTGGTTAAATGTGTGTTCACCTTATCGTTACTTCTTAAAACATACATCAATGTTTTCTGCACCTTTATATACATATGCCAGATTTCACAGTTTTCAAACTATTTAAATGTTCAATATAGGCCAGGTGTGGTGGCTCATGCCTGTAATCCCAGCACTTTGGGAGGCCGAGGCGGGCGGAGGTCAGGAGGTCAAGACCAGTCTGGCCAACATGGTGAAACCCCGTCTATACAAAATACAAAAAAAAAAAAAAAAATGCCTGGCACAGTGGTTCACACCTGTACTTCCAGCACTTTGGGAGGCCGAGGCGGGCGGATCACCTGAGGTCGGGAGTTCAAGACCAGCCTGACCAACACAGAGAAACCCCATCTCTACTAGAAATACAAAATTAGCCAGGCGTGGTGGCACACGCCTGTAGTCCCAGCTACTCGGGAGGCTGAGGCAGGAGAACCGCTTGAACCCGGGGTGCAGAAGTTGCAGTGAGCTGAGATCGTGCCACTGCACTCCAGCCTGGGTGGTAGAGTGAGACTCCGTCTCAAAAAATAAATAAATAATAAATAATAATATGTTCAATTGATGGATTTAATGGCAGATTTGATATGGCTGGAGAGACTGTTGGTAAATTGTACAGAGGAGCTAAAGAAAGTATCCAGGCCGGGCGCGGTGGCTCACACGCCTGTAATCCCAGCATTTTGGGAGGCCAAGGCGGGTGGATCACCTGACGTCAGGAGTTTGAGGCTAACCTGACCAACATGGTGAAACCCTGTCTCTACTAAAAAATACAAAAAATTAACTGGGCATGGTGGTGGGCACCTGTAATCCCAGCTACTTGGGAGGCTGAGGCAGGAGAATGGCTTGAACCCAGGAGGCAGAGGTTGCAGTGAGCCGAGATCACGCCACTGCACTCCAACCTGGGCAACAAGAGCAAAACTCCATCCCAAGAAAGAAAGAGAGAGAGAGAGAGAGAGAGAGAGAGAGAAAGAGAAAAGAAAGAAAGAAAAAAAAGTATCCAGAATGCAGCACAGAGGCACAAAAAAATAGAAAACTTGAAAAATAGAAGACATGGAAGGTAGCATGAGTAGGTCTAACAAAAATCCAATTGTCACACCAGAGAGAGAAGACAGACAGAATGAAGCAGCAGCAATATATACATATTTTTCTTCTTTTTTTTTTAAATTGAAATGGAGTCACACTCTGTTGCCTAGGCGGAGTGCCGTGGCACAATCTCGGCTCACGGCCGACCTCTGCTGCCCGGGTTCAAGCACTTCTCGTGCCTCAGCCTCCCGAGTAGCTGGGACTACAGGCGCGTGCCATCACAGCTAGCTAATTCTTTTGTATTTTTAGTAGAGATGGGGTTTCATCATGTTGGCAAGACTGTTCTCGAACTCTCAACATCAGGTGACCCACCCACCTCGGCCTCCCAAAGTGCTGGGATTACAGGCATGAGCCACTACGACCGGCCACAGCAGCAACATTTTAAGAGATAACTCCCTAAGAACTTTCCAGAACTGAAGAAAGACACAAATTCACAAATTCAAGAAGCCCAATAAATCCTAAGCAGGGAAGACAGAAATAGGTCCACACCTAGACACGAGATTTTTTTTTTTTTTTTTTTTTTGAAACAGTGTTTCGCTCTTGTCGCCCAGGCTGGAGTACAGTGGCGTGATCTCGGCTCACTGCAACCTCTGCCTCCCGGGTTCAAGCGATTCTCCTGCGTCAGCCTCCCAAGTAGCTGGTACTACAGGCGCCCGCCACCATGCCCAGCTAATTTTTGTATTTTTAGTAGAGACAGTGTTTCACCATGTTGGCCAGGCTGGTCTGGAACTCCTGACCTCAAATGATCCGCCCACCTCGGCCTCCCAAAGTGCTGGGATTACAAGCATGAGCCACCGCCCGCGGCCGACACAAGATGTTAAAAGCAGCCAGAGGAAAAAAAGCTGATTACCTTTAAAACCATGACTTTTAGACTGCAGGCTGCCTTCTCAATAGCATCAATGCAATCCAGAAGATAGTTGACTGATATCTTCGATACACTGAGAGAATAACTGTCAGAGAGAAAAAAATAGGTCACATTCAAAGAATCAGAAGTCAGAATGGCTTCAGACTTCAGCAACAGCATGGGGAACTAGAAGACAATGAAGTGCTGGCCGGGCACGGTGGCTCACACCTGTAATCTCAGCACTCTGGGAAGCCCAGGCAGGCGGATCACTTGAAGTCAAGAGTTTGAGACCAGGCTGGCCAACATGAGGAAACTCTGTCTCTACTAAAAATACAAAAATTAGCCAGCATTGTGGTGGGCGCCTGTAATCCCAGCTACTCGGGAGGCTGAGGCAAGAGAATCGCTTGAACCCAAGAGGTTGCAGTGAGCCGAGGATCACTCCCCTGTACTCCAGCCTGGGCGACAGAGCAAGACTCTGTCCCAAAAAAAAAAAAAAAAAAAAAAAAAAAAGACAATGAAGTGCTGCTTTCGAAATTCTGAGGGAAAAATGATTTCCCAGCCTAAAATTCTACACCCCAACTGTCAACTGTGGGGTTAGACTAAAGACATTTTTAGACATGAAGGAGTTCAGTACACCACTGACAAATGTAAGAATTCAACAACTGTTTAAAAAGCAAGTCTTGCCAGGGCAGTGGTGTGCACCTGTGGTCCCAGCTACTCAGGATGCTGAGGCAGGAGGATTACTTGTGCCCAGCAAGTAGAGGCTGCAGTGACCTGTGACTGTGCTACTGCCCTCCAACCTGGGTGACAGAGTGAGACCTTGTCTCAAAAAAAAAAGAGCGGGGGGGGGGGGCCGGGCCGGGCGTGGTGGCTCACAGCTGTAATCCCAGCACTTTGGGAAGCCAAGGCGGGTGGATCACTTGAGGTCAGGAGTTTGAGACCATCATGGTCAACACTGCGAAACACTGTCCCTACTAAAAATACAAAAATTAGCCGGGCATGGTGGCACACACCTGTAATCCCAGCTACTGGGGAGGCTGAGGCAGGAGAATTGCTTGAGCCGGGGAGACGGAGGTTGCAGTGAGCCGAGACTGCGCCACTGCACTCCAGCCTGACTGACAAGAGTGAGATTGTCTCAAAAAAAAAAAAAAAGTAATCACTAGAAAAGAAGCTACATATGTACATAACATCCAAATAACCAAGAGGAGAAAAAAATGGGACTTGATTAATCAAAACAAAAACAAAAAAGAAAGAAAGAAAGGGGGAGAAAATAAAACAAGGGCTGGGTGTGCTGGCTCATGCCTGTAATCCCAGCACTTTGGAAGCCAAGGTGGGTGGATCTCTTGAGCTCAGGAGGTCAAGACCAGCCTGGGCAACATGGCGAAACCCCGTCTCTATTAAAAAAAAAATTAATACAACAATTATCCTGGAGTGGTGGTGCACACCTGTAGTCCCAGCTACCCAGGACGCTGAGACGGGAGGATCGCTTGATCCCGGGGATGTCGAGGCTGCCGTGATCGCACCACTGCCCTCCAGCCAGGGTGGCAGACTGAGACCCCATCTCAAAAAATAAATAAATAAAAGCAAACAAGAAAAAAAAAGGCTTGAAACATATCTGATAGATAAAGGGCTAATCAACACAATATATAAAGAACTGCAAATCAGTAAACTAAGAGCAAATAACCCAATATAAAGACATTAAAGGGTAGCCACGGACATCTCAGACGACGAAAAACAAAAGACAGTAAACGTATAATAAAACATGTAATTGCAAGGTGATCCGGGAATAGTAAGCGAAAAGCAACAATTAAATACTATTTTCTCATCCACCAGAACGCCAAAAATTAAAAAGCCTAACAATGTCCAGGGCTGGCGAGAATGTGGCAGAAGGTGATGTCACATACCCTGCAAGTGGGAATCTAAACAGATTCAGGGTTTTGGTTTTTTTTTAATCGCAATTAGGTGGCCTGTTAAATTTTTTTTCTTGAGACAGAGTTTTGCTCTTGTTGCCCAGGCTGGAGTGCAATGGCTCGATCTTGGCTCACCGCAACCTCGACCTCCCAGGTACAAGCGATTCTCCTGTCTCAGCCTCCCAAGTAGCTGGGAGTACAGGTATTTGCCACTAAGCCCAGCTAATTGTTTTTTATTTAGTAGAAACGGGGTTTCACCATGTTAGTCAGGCTGGTCGGGAACTCCTGACCTCAGGAGATCTACCCGCCTTGGCCTCCCAAAGTGCTGGGATTACAGGCGTGTGCCACTGTGCCCAGCCACTTTTTTTTAGACAGAGTCTTGGTCTGTTGCCCAGGCTAGAGTTCAGTGGCGCCATCTCAGCTCACTGCAACCTCCGCCTCCCAGATTCAAGCGATTCTCCTGCCTCGACCTCCCAGTAGCTGGGATTACAGGTTTCCAGCAAATCCCTCTGAGCCGCCCCCGGGGGCTCGCCTCAGGAGCAAGGAAGCAAGGGGTGGGAGGAGGAGGTCTAAGTCCCAGGCCCAATTAAGAGATCAGATGGTGTAGGATTTGGGAGCTTTTAAGGTGAAGAGGCCCGGGCTGATCCCACTGGCCGGTATAAAGCACCGTGACCCTCAGGTGACGCACCAGGGCCGGCTGCCGTCGGGGACAGGGCTTTCCATAGCCATGGCCCAGCAGTGGAGCCTCCAAAGGCTCGCAGGCCGCCATCCGCAGGACAGCTATGAGGACAGCACCCAGTCCAGCATCTTCACCTACACCAACAGCAACTCCACCAGAGGTGAGCCAGCAGGCCCGTGGAGGCTGGGTGGCTGCACTGGGGGCCACCGGCCACCCACCTGCCCCGCCCAAGGGAATCTCTCTTCTGCACGTCCCCACCAGCAGAGAAGGCTTTCTCCCATAGCTTTTCTGATGACATGAATTGGGGGGTCCTCTCCAAATCTAGAAGGACACCATAATATCGAATATGCATTCTCAAGCCACACAGGCTTCCCAGCCCCTTTGAGAATCCGAGGCCGGGGAAGAGTTTATGTGCTCTTTCTTTGTGGCCCGTAGATGAGTGTGTTCACTGCTAGCGAATGACCTCTCATTCCACGGAGTCCCTCAGCTTCCTGGGGAAGAGCTGGGTCTGTCTTTACATTTGAAGCCGAAAGGAGGCAACATACTGACACACCCAAGGGAGGCGGGAGGGTGGGGAAGACAGCAGCAGAGGGCAAGAAACTTCTAGAACTTCAGGGTCGGCAAAGCCTGTAGCAGTCATTTTGTCAAACTCCATGATGGGGCCACTTGGCTTTTGGCTGCACACCTCTGGGGGAAGAGGCTGCATTGGCGCCCAGGGCCATCTTTCCATTCGGAGCCGTCCTGGGAGAGAGGGCTCAGGCCCAACAGAAAGCTGAAAGCTCTCATCAGGGCAGCCCGAGTCCTGCCATTGGGAGTTGCCCAATCCGAAAGTTTTGCACGCAGGCCCTCAAAGAAGCTGAGGACACCAGTGACCGCCCCACTCCTGGCCCTCTCCCCAGGTCCCTCCTCCAAACCAAATTCCTTTGGTGCCTTCAAGAACATCGTGCAGGCCGGGCACAGTGGCTCACGCCTGTAATCCCAGCACTTTGGGAGGCAGAGGCGGGCAGATGACGAGGTCAACAGATAGAGATCATCCTGGCCAACATACTGAAACCTCATGTCTACTAAAAATGCAAAAATTAGCTGGGCTTGGTGGCGCATGCCTGTAGTCCCAGCTACTCAGGAGGCTGAGGCAGGAGAATCGCTTGAACCCGGGAGGTGGAGGTTGCAGTGAGCCGAGATCACGCCACTATGCTCCAGCCTGGCCACAGAGTGAGACTCTTGTCTCAAAACAAAACAAAACAAAAAACAACAACATCGTGCAGGCTGTGGTTTCCAGAAGCCACGCCAGCTCCTTGATTGCCAATAAACATCCCGCTGTGGGGTGGCCAGGACCGAGTGCCAATTAGTGACAGAGTGCCCAGACCAAACCGGATGAGGATCTTGCAGTTGACCTCAACATGACTGTGCCCAGAATTTCCTTGGTGGCAATGTCAACAGTCTCTTCCTAGATGCCCCCAGACTTCATCAATGCATGATGCTTCAGTGCACTCTTTTCAAATGTCGGGGTGGGTTTTTTTTTTTTTCCACAAAACTTCAAGCATCTACTAAAGTAGAGGGAGGAGTGTAATGAACTCCGGTACCCATCACTCAGCTTCCACGGTTTCATCTCATTTCATCTGTGACCCCTCCACTACCCTTTCTTCCTGATTCTTGGAAGCAAATCCAAGACATCACACCCTTCCCTCTGTAAATCTTTACTATGTTCCTCTAGGAGAAAAGGGCTCTTCTCAATACATAACCACAAGTCATCATCACACCGACAAGTGTAACAGTATTTCCTGAATAGCTTCAAATATCCTAGTAGTGTTCAAAAAATGTCATACGTATTTTCAGTCTGCTTGAATCAGGGCTCAAATAAGGTCCACACATTCAGATTGACTGATATGCCTTTTGACTACCTTTGAATCTAGAGGTTCCCTTTCTATCTCCCTGCAATTTATTTGTGGAAGCAAGCAAGTCGTTCATGACGTAGCCTAACAGGCCCCTCTGACGTTGTTCATTATGATTTTTCTGTAAATTGGTAGTTGATCTGAGGATCTGGCCAGAGGCAGGTTGGATTTGTTGGTGTGTTTTGGCAAGGAGAGTGTCTCTTTTCTGGGGTGTTGGCAGCTACTGAAACTCAATGCCCAGACCAATTAAACCACTGGGGATGGAAAATGACGGCATTCGGACACCTTACCCTGCCTTCACCTATTGGTGACCAAAACCTTAACATCTTCACAGGTCTTCTTACCCTGAGGGTATATGCCACTAGGTTGTGTAGTAAACCGGTGTGTTTCCAGTCCCTTAGAATAGTCCCTCTCTAAGTGATATGCCACTCAGTGGATATGCATTTAGCTTCATTTCTTTTGTTGCTGATTTTCAGAGATTGCTCTGTAAATTTAAACTTTTATTTTACTTTATTTTATTTTTTCGAGACAGTCTTACTCTGTCGCCCAGGCTGGAGTGCAGTGGCGCGATCTCAGCTCACTGCAACTTCCGCCTCCTCGGTTCGAGCGATTCTCCTGCCTCAGCCTCCCGAGGAGCTGGGACTACAGGTGCCCGCCACCACGCCCAGCTAATTTTTTTTATTTTTAGTAGAGACAGGGTTTCACCATGTTGGCCAGGCTGGTCTCCAACTGCTGACCTCAAGTCGTCCGCCCACCTCGGCTTCCCAAAGTGCTGGGATTACAGGTGTGAGCCACCGCCCCCGGCCACTTAAATTTTGTTTTATAATTATGTAATAAAACAGTTAAAAGTCTCAAATTAAAATCTAGAAAAGAAGGTGTATTTGAAGAAGTCTGGCTTCTCTGCGCCACCACCGACCGCCCCTTCCCTACCTGCCTGTATTTCCTCGAATCACTTTGCCTGGGAGCTGACTTTGATTCTCTTGCTCATTGCTTCATGAAATTCAGTTCCAGAACTTTCAGGAGGGAGGGGTAGGCCATGACACCAGCTCTAGTTACACTGGTGGCAGCTCCTGTCCCCTCCCCCACTGCTGCTGGGACCTGTTCTCTCCTTTGCCCCCTTGTCCCTGCACTGCCCAATTTGGACCGCAAGGGTTGCCAGGGAAGGGCACTGGCTGCCTTGTTTTCAGAGGTCGTAGCACCTAGATTGCTCCAGCCCCTTGCACTTGCCTGCAGGCCAGAGTGTCCCAAACCCTCCCAGTCTCAGCTGCTCTTCCCCAGTTCACCCAAGGTACTTCCCAGGGAAGAGCTGCCGACAGTTTGGGGGTTCTCTGTTCTTAGGTCCATCAGCAACCCCATTGCTCCCCTCTGCTTCCTTCTGCACGGAGACTGACGCCATGCAGGTCTTCAATTGTCAATGGTCTGTCCCTGCTGCTCATACTGGGGGTTCCTGGGGAGCCAGTGCCAGGTATCGGGATTGCAGACATTGTCTGTGGGTTTCCAGAAGCTCCTTGTGTTAGGAACATATGGGGCCCGTGCACAGAGGGCAGCAGAGGCCTTGTGGGATCCAGCTGTGCTAGGGGTGAGATTTATCTGTCTCTCCTGGCCATAGCCAGGAAATCCCCATTTTTCTTAAGCTAGCTTGAGTTGGGCTTTTCTAACACACAGCTAAAGAATCTCTTGATAAACCTTGGGACTCTCCATGAGGCCTTATATGGCAGCAGGTCTGTGGCTTGCAATCCCTTCAAGTAATCTGCCAAAAACAATGTTATGACGAAGGTCCTTCCAACACAAAAGGTGTAGAGCCCTAGCAAACTCCTACAGAAGAAAAAGGAGAAATAATTCGTTTGTAGTCCCAGCTACTTGGGAGGCCAAGGTGGGAGGATCACTTGAAGTCAGGAGTTCGAGACCAGCCTAGGCAAGATAGCCAGACCCCATCTCTACAGAAATAAAAAAAATTGCCATTGTGGTAATGCACGGCTTGTAGTCCCAGGTACTCGAGAGGCTGAGGCAGGAGGATCGCTTGAGCCCAGGAGGATCGCTTGAGCCCAGGAGTTCCACGTTGCAGTGAGCTATGATTGTGCCACTGTACTCCAGCCTGGGTGACAGAGCAAGACTTTGTCCCAAAAAAAAAAAAAAAAGAAAAGAAAGAAAGGAAAAGAATAAAAGAGAAATTACCATAGATTGGGTGGCTTTTAAATGATAAATTTATTTCTCACAGCTCTGGAGGCTGGAAGTCAGGGTGCTAGCGTGGTGGGCTCTGGCGAGGACCCTCTTCCTGACTGCAGATTGCCAACAACTCATTGTATCCTCACATGGAAGAAAGAGAGCTAGAGAGCACTCTAGGGACTCTTTTTCTTGTTTGTTTTAATTAAAAAAAAATTTTTTTTACATGGGCATGCCATGTTGCCCAGGTTGGATTTGAACTCCTGGGCTCAAGCAACCCTCCAGCCTCAGCCTCCCAAAGTGCTGGGATTACAGGCATGAGCCACCATTCCCAGCTAATTTGGGCTGTTCCCAAAGGCTCAAGTGATCCTCCCACGTTGGCCTCCTGAGTAGCTGGGGCTACAGGCGTGAGCCACCATGCCCAGCTTCTAGGACCTCTTTTATAAGGGCACTAATCCCATTCATGAGGGCCCCACTCACTCTGCACACATGACCTAAATGACCTGCCAAAGGCCCCACCTCCTAATACCATCACCTTGGGGGTTGGGATTTCAACACAGAAATTTATGGGGGGCACGTACATTCAGATCATCATGAACAGTAACTCCTATGTGTGACAGAAGGTGACAGAGGTGGGTAGTGGTCTTCCCCTCAAGGGGGTGAGTTGCCACTAGCTGGGGAATCTTCTGGAAGGCAAATGCATATGAGCTGGGCTTTACAGGAGGCAAGCGTTTCTCTATGGAAGGGCAGAGGACTGTGGGAGGTAGGAGGTGGGGCTGGGGCAAAGGGAAGAGGGGAGCAGGGAAGTGGGGTGACTGCACACTGGGAGTGGGGAATCAGATGGAGGAGACGATGAGGAGTTCTGTTAAGTTCAAGATGCCAGTGCCAGTGACCAGCGGGCGATGGTCTCTGGCTTGAGGGACAGGATGGAGGGGAGACTGTCTGAGGATGGACAAAGCTGGAGGGAAACAGCCAATTGCAAAGGCAGGAGGGCGGAAGGGGGAGGGGAGAGGTGGGATCAGCACTGGTATAGACAGGCGGTGCTGCAGCCCAGCTCCTCTCTCTCCTCTGCCTCCTGCCCTCAGGCCCCTTCGAAGGCCCGAATTACCACATCGCTCCCAGATGGGTGTACCACCTCACCAGTGTCTGGATGATCTTTGTGGTCATTGCATCCGTCTTCACAAATGGGCTTGTGCTGGCGGCCACCATGAAGTTCAAGAAGCTGCGCCACCCGCTGAACTGGATCCTGGTGAACCTGGCGGTCGCTGACCTGGCAGAGACCGTCATCGCCAGCACTATCAGCGTTGTGAACCAGGTCTATGGCTACTTCGTGCTGGGCCACCCTATGTGTGTCCTGGAGGGCTACACCGTCTCCCTGTGTGGTAAGCCAGTCGGGGCCCAGGCTCGGCGGAAACCACTCATTCACCCTGCAAGCCCCTCCGGCCACCTCATGATGATCGGGGCCCAGCTGCTCCTGTAGGCCTGTCTCCCTCCACATCTGCGCCTCACATCCATATACTGAAGGGTTCTGGAGGCTTCCATCTGAACACTCACATTAAATTCAGCTCCCTTGAGTCAAACATACCCTGAGTTCCTACTCTTGAGTCAGGCTCTGCCCGGGGACAGCCAGTTTGGAGCTGTGGGGCTGGTGTGGGAGGAGACAGATACAGAGCTAGACAACCCCAGAACAGTAGGGGGGCGGGGACTCTGGGCACCCTGGACAGAACTCCCCTGCAATTAGGGATGCCTGCTCTTTCAGCTCGCCAGCATCTGCTTTTCCCGGAGGAGACACAATTCCCAGATCCTCTCCCCATCCCCATCACTAATATCTCTGTGGGCCACTATTCCGCTCAGGTCAGGAGACAGTGGCGGAGAGGTACTAGCGTGCCAGGCTCTGTGCTAAGGAGGGGGCCCTATAGCCAGACGGCAACCACACAGTACCATCATCAGTCCTCTCAGACAAGAAGGGGCCTGGGGCAGGTGGTGGAGGAGCGGCTGGGAGCAGTTTGTGGTTCGAGTGGATAGAGTACCACCAAGCAGCCGTGGCTGCTGGACACGAGGTGGGCAGGCCCAGGTCTCAGAGGCCTCAGACGTCATGCCCAGGAGCTGGGACTTTCTTTCAGGAGGAGGAGACCCCACATCCAGCAGCAGCAGCTCCTGCTCTTGCCTCCCCACCACTCTTAGCAGCCTCCCCAACCCCACCCCGTTAACTGCCTCAAATTGTACCCACGATGGCCCAGACCAGAGAGGGTGCTTGTCCAAGTCCCGGCACTACCCCGATAGTGTAGAAGGGGAGCCAAGGGAAGGTCAGGCAGAGAAGGTCCATCCCCGGGTCCGAGTGCTCTCTGCAGCAGGCATGGCCTCGGTGGTCACACGACCCTTCCCGAGTGCCCCCCTGCATCTCCGCCCACGTCTGTCTCCGTTTCTGCCATGGTCTCCCGCTCACCCTTGCCTCTGCTCATGGTCTGTTCTTGGGTCAGTCAGGTGCCAAGCAGCCAGCACTTCCCCACCACTTTTGGTCCACGGATGCCCTTGGCCATCTGGGAAGCCTGTGGACCCCATCTCAGGAGAATTTTTGCAAACGCATAAAATGAGACCCATAGGATTACAAAGGCAGCAAATTATACTGAAATACAGTTATCAAAGTATTAAACATTCATCAGTAACATAGTCTTTAGTTAAAAGCATTTACTGGCCAGGCTCATACCTGTAATCCCAGCACTTTGGGAGGCTGAGGTGGGAGGACTGCTTGCCTCCAAGAGTTTGAGACCAGCCTGGGCAACATAGTGAGACCTCTTCTCTACAACAAATAAAAACAGCTGGGCGTGGTGGCACACCAGTAGTCCCAGCTACTCAGGAGGCTCAGGCGGGAGGATCGCTTGAGCTCTGGAGGTCAAGGCTGCAGTGAGCTATGATGGCACCACTGCACTCAGCCTGGGCAACAGAGTGAGATTCTGTCTCAAAAAGTAAATAAAAATAAAAGCATGTGTTAAACGTATTAGTGACACCACTCAGTATTAAGGTATTAAATAACAGGATCCCGCCTGACAACCACTGTTATTTCAGAGTAGTGATGAACATAAGTGGTATTCGAACTCTCTGCCACCTCTATGAATTGACAGGAAAACATCTGTGACCTCTCTTGCTGACCGAGTCACGGGTACTGCTAATACTGCCACGTTCATAATGGAAGGAAATGCCCAGTGTCTGTTCGAGGTTGGTGGAAAGAAAGATGTCGTTTTTTCCACCTCAGTCCGTGGAGCCCTGAATTCTGTGTGCAGACGTTTGGGGTCTAAGCAGGACAGTGGGAAGCTTTGCTTCCCACCTTTGCTTTGGCTCAAAGCCCTCATCTGTCTGCTCTCCCCATAGGGATCACAGGTCTCTGGTCTCTGGCCATCATTTCCTGGGAGAGATGGATGGTGGTCTGCAAGCCCTTTGGCAATGTGAGATTTGA
Organism: Homo sapiens; assembly: GCF_000001405.40. Lineage (NCBI taxonomy): Eukaryota > Metazoa > Chordata > Mammalia > Primates > Hominidae > Homo > Homo sapiens. The sequence continues at coordinate 154,190,139 of NC_000023.11, forward strand.
TGCCAAGCTGGCCATCGTGGGCATTGCCTTCTCCTGGATCTGGGCTGCTGTGTGGACAGCCCCGCCCATCTTTGGTTGGAGCAGGTAAGGGTGCGAGGACGCAAGATGGAGTGGGCAGGGTCAGACTCTGTGACCTTAAGGCAAATCACTTCCTTTCTCTGGGCCCCTCTGAGCGTGCAATGTCTATCAATGTATGAATGTGGCTGCAACATAGGAAAGGCTCTGTGGTCCCCGAACCTCTGGAAACATATTTATCCCAAGCACGATCAGGTCACAGGCGCACACGGAGCTCAGGCCATCAGCACAGCTGTCAGTGAACGCATAGCGTGTTTGCATTCCAGGTCTCTTTCTTGCACACGCTGCCGCACCACGCCCCCCACCTTTCAGAGGCTGCTTGGGTCATAGATCCACCTGGGCCTACAGAGCACATGTCCTGGCCAGGCCAAGCAAGTGGCTCAAATGTTTGATTGGAGTGGACTGGGTGGGACAGCATTTCACTGTTTTATCGACAAGCTCGTGAATAAGTTCTCGTGGTGTTTGGAGAGGGAATGTTCTTTCCTCGAGAACGTTCCACAATTCTAGGAAACAAACCTTGTGGAAGCCTGTCTCTGTCTCCCGCCCTCCTCATGCCGCCATGCCCCACACAGCTGCCCGTTATCAAACATGTGTGGTGAGCTGACCCTGGTGGAGGCTCTCCCGCGGGTTATCTCATTTAATCCTCCAGGCCACTAAGTGAGCAGGGCCCTTTATTTCAGTCATGGCCTAGCTGACCTCAGATAAAAGACTCAGCTCTTCATGGGTGTTCTCAGAAGGTCAGGGCAAGAAGGAACCTCACAATCCCTTTGTAAAGAAGGGGAGTGATTGGGAAGATGAAAATGTCCTGGAAGCAGATAGTGGAGATGGTTGCACAGCATTGTGAATGTACCAAAGGTCACAATGGTACTTTTTTCTTTTTTTGAGACAGGGTCTCACTCTGTCACTCAGGCTGGCACAGTGCAGTGGTGTAATTATGGCTCACTGCAGCCTCCACCTCCTGGGCTCAAGTGATCCTCCTACCTCAGCCTCCTGAGGAGCTGGGCCTACAGGTGCACCACTTCACCCAGCTAATTTTTTTTATTTTTTGTAGAGACAAGATCTCACTGTGTTCCAGGCTAGTCTTGAACTCCTGGGCTCGAGCAATCCTCCTACCTCTGCCTCCAAATGTGCTGGGACTATAGGCGTGAGCCATTGTGCCTGGCCTATAATGGTACATTTTATGTGATGTGTATTTTACCACAATTCAAAAAGAAGAAAGGCATGACATCTAAAAATGGACAAGGATTAACCAAAATCCTACCCAACGGTTTTGTTTTGGGTTGATGAAAATGTTCTGGAAGCAGAGGTGGTGACTGCCACAGAATTGATCACTTCAAATTGGGTAATCTCATGCAACATGAATTTCACCTCAATTTAAAAAAACAAACCCCACCCGAGTTAGCACCGTGCCTGGGCCGGGGGTCCTGGGTCACCCCACCCTGCATCAGGACTGGCTGCCGGCCCTTCTCTCCAGGTACTGGCCCCACGGCCTGAAGACTTCATGCGGCCCAGACGTGTTCAGCGGCAGCTCGTACCCCGGGGTGCAGTCTTACATGATTGTCCTCATGGTCACCTGCTGCATCACCCCACTCAGCATCATCGTGCTCTGCTACCTCCAAGTGTGGCTGGCCATCCGAGCGGTAAGCCCCCCGATTCCTCCTGGCCTCACCCGCCTCCTGCCCCTAAGCTGCTCTGCCCTCAAATGAGTCCACTGAGACTCCTAAACTATTTTTCCAAAAATCCTTAGAGAAGAGGATTTTACCCCTATAAGAAAATATTAAGATCCAGCGATGAGAATCAGGTGATTCCTTTGGGACTGTACCAGTGGCTGCAGGTTCAGCCCCAGCCCCGTTGTCCTCAGCTCTGTGAGACGGGAAAGCACTGCCACTCCCTCCCTGGAGGAGTCCACTAAGGGAACAGAGGTGTGCCTTGCCCCGACCCTGGACAGTTCTCCCCGGGGTGGAAAGGCTGCCTTTCCCACAGAGTAGAGTGGAGCAGCCACATCAGCAAATGACACCTGCAAATCAAGGCGTGTTTTTATGAGGCTGCCACCGGAGTACCCTTGTCCTTTTCATAGGCTGTGGGGCCGACCAAGGAGTGGACCCGAGAGTGCCATTTGCCCCCCTGACCCACTCTCCACCTCCATGTCTGGCCCTCTGCCCTGGGAAGCTGATCCTGTCCACAGCCGTCACCCCCCACCCCTAGACTAGGCTACCACTGGGAGCCCTTCAGGAAGTCAGAGCAAGGGAGGAGAGCCAGGCTGGTTCTTTTCTGTTAGCAGTGGGAGCCCTTTCAGGGTGCTGGCTTTCCTATATGAAGCTGCCTGTGCCCACAATTGGATGGGCATGCCTGCCAAGCTCTCTCTAGAGGAGTCTGTGAGCCTGTGAAAGGCCCCCTCACCCCGTCACCTTGGGGTGAAGGCTCCCACAGGTACCCAACCATGGCTTCGGCTGTATTAGTCTGGGATGGTAGAGCCCCAGCTCCACAATGTGGCCCCAGCTCTGCTGTCTCAGCCATCCCTGCATTCCAGCCCTCACACTCCCTCTCTCATCCCCACTCATCTGCCTGCCGCCAGTCCCTCATCCCTGGCAGGTGGTGGCTGGCCTCTGGCCTCCCCCACAGTGCCTCTGCCTGGAGGCCATTCGTCTCCTTCCTCCCAGCAGGCATGAAGGAGCCACCCCACCAAAGCTGCCCTCAGCTGCCTCACCGTGAGTCCAGGGCAGGATTTAGTCCACAGAGTGGCCAACCTGGCCTAGGAAGCCTGAGGGAAGTGTATGCATTGCTCTGACACTCCCATCGCGCACCCCGCCAGCCACTGCTTTTGCCTCCCCCGCCATCTCCACCTTGTTAACTCCTTCATTCTCCACGCCCAGTCATCAATCAAATCAGGCCTCCATGCTCAGGCCTGAGCGCAGGACAGGACAGTCTGTTAAGGGATCAGGTGAAGCAAAGGAGCTTGTTAGATCCAGCTCTGGGGTCATCTTAGGCCACACCTAGCTGCATGCCACCTCCAATTCTAGAACTCCCCCAGGGCCAGCCTGAGGCAGCCATGTCTGCCTGGGGCCGGCTGTGCTCCACTCAGGGCTGGAAGATGGCTGCTGGGCTCCTCTCCTCCTCCCCACAACTCCCTATGCCTGGGTCACCTGCCTCTTGCTGCCCTCCAACCCCCGACTCACTATCCCTGTCTCCCTTAGGTGGCAAAGCAGCAGAAAGAGTCTGAATCCACCCAGAAGGCAGAGAAGGAAGTGACGCGCATGGTGGTGGTGATGGTCCTGGCATTCTGCTTCTGCTGGGGACCATACGCCTTCTTCGCATGCTTTGCTGCTGCCAACCCTGGCTACCCCTTCCACCCTTTGATGGCTGCCCTGCCGGCCTTCTTTGCCAAAAGTGCCACTATCTACAACCCCGTTATCTATGTCTTTATGAACCGGCAGGTAAGCAACACCATCAGCAGATCCCACTCAAAATACCGTGTGCCCTAGAAGGGTGCAGTGATGGCCCCACCTGGAATCATGTCTCTGATAAGAAGCCCGCGGAGCATCTGGGGGACCCTCCAGGGAAATGACCGGGAAAGGCTCAGCGTGTGACCCAGCCCCAGCCAGAGCTCCGGCTGGCCCTTAGCAGAAGGCTTAGGTGTGCCCTCTGGAATCCTTTATAGTCTCGGCCTGAGGGTGGCATTTCCCAAAGCGTCTGTGTGCCGTGTGCTCTTCCCTTCCGGTGGCCCTAGAACTATGGCTGCCGAGCTTCAGGGGCTCTCCTGGCGTTCAGACGCTCTAGGAGTTGGTGAGCCCTAGGTACATCCACCCTAGGTGTGCCCCTCTTCTGTTCAGACTCGACCCTTCTCAACCTTCATCTCTCCATTTTCAAACCGTAACCTCTGGAATTTGTCTTCCTATAAGAACAAAAGCCGGCCCTCCTTGGCTACACTGACCAAGAGTTCAAGAGCTTTCACGAGTTCGTGGGTTAGTTCAGGGGGGACGTGCTGTGGTCCTGCCCAGAGGCAGCCTCCTTAGCTGGCATATTGGGCCTCAGCAGCAAGCTGCTCACACACCTAAATCCCCCCACCTCCTGCAGGTTACAGGCTTCATTAAAGCGCAGCTGTGATGTGACTTGATGGTGGCCAGAAAGGTGTGCAGAGGCCTCCCATTTCACCAGGCCCAGTCCATCCCTTCCACTGGGCTCTTCCTTGCTTCTCCATCTTAGAGCCACTCAATGGCTCCAGCCCCTTTGGCTCAGCTTTGACTCACACAAGCCAAGTCTGCAGAGTTCATTAAGGGTTCATTCTCTCTGGTAACTTTTAAACAGTAAGTAGGACCAGGCCTGCAGTGGATTTCCGGGAACTCGCTGTAGCACACTGATGCCCAGAGTGTAGTTCTATCCCTGACCCCTGTTTCCTGACTTTCATGAGGATCTTTTTTAGGTTTCTGGAATCCTAAACTATCTTGCCAAGTACTGTCTTTACTGGATTATTTCCATTCTCCTTTCCAGAACTCCCCCTGGACAGGGGGAGACAGATGTCTGCACTTCTGGACCTCACCAGGCCTCGAACTTTGCTTTTACCCTTTCCACATAATTATCCTGTCCTGCCACATTCTGAGAGAATTTTCTGGAACGCAGTTCCATGAAGACAGCAAATTTTGCTCAGGACAGAGTCTGGCACACAGTGGGTGCTCAAGCAGCAGCTGCTGAATGGATTCCTCAGCCCTATCTCCCAGCTCTTCAGCCGAGCTGATTCTGCTGTTTGTCCCGTTTCTTATGTTATTAATTTCAACCATTATATTTTTTATTTTTGAGAGTTTTGATGATAGAGGGAGTTAGAGCTAGTCAAGAGTAGGCCTGAAATATTTAGAAAATGCCTTTGGTCTGGGTCCTCAAAGCATTGTGGTTACTTCAGGGATGACACAGGACATGATTTGAGACATTCATATGGCCCAGATCTCTTTGGGGTGAAGCAGCAAAGACAGACCCCTCCTGGTACCGGAAGACGCTTGGCTGGAGAGATGAGGTAGGGGCTAGATTGTCATTACCTAGGCCTCACCTTGCCCCAGATCCATGGACTGGAAAAAACATGACAACCACATGCCTTTTCATTAATATTCCTCCGAGCCGCTCACCAGACAGTCTGGGGACAGGTCACCACTGCCCCTTAGCTGTCACTGTGGATGAGTGTCATGGGGCTGCCGTCACAAACTACCACAAACTCAGTGGCTTCAAACCACAGAAATGGATTCTCTCAGGGTTCTGGAAATCTTGAGTCTGAAATCAGGGTGTTGGCAAATGGAAAGGTTCCCTATGGAGGCCGGGAGGGAGAAGCAGCTGCAGGGCTGCCGGCAGTCTTTGGCGTTCCTTGACTCCAAGGTGTGTCACCCCAGTCTCTGCCTTCATCTTCACGTGGCCTTCTTCCCTCTGTCTGCGTGTCCGTGTCCAAGCGTTCCTTTTCTTATCAGGACACCAGTCATTCGATTAGGGCCCACCCTGCTCCAGTGTGACCTCATCTTAACCTGAACACATCTTTTGGGGGACCCACTTCAACCCAGTGTAGTCACCATCAACTGCTAAGTCAGATGACATCCCCGCGTGTGAGGGAGAAATAATCCAAGCCTTCCTCCATCCCCCATGGGATTCGGAATGGGTGAAGGGAAGGCTCGGGCACGTACATTCAGCACAGTGCTCCACCCTTCCCTGCTCTGCTCAATAACGCTTTCTGTCCTTCCAGTTTCGAAACTGCATCTTGCAGCTTTTCGGGAAGAAGGTTGACGATGGCTCTGAACTCTCCAGCGCCTCCAAAACGGAGGTCTCATCTGTGTCCTCGGTATCGCCTGCATGAGGTCTGCCTCCTACCCATCCCGCCCACCGGGGCTTTGGCCACCTCTCCTTTCCCCCTCCTTCTCCATCCCTGTAAAATAAATGTAATTTATCTTTGCCAAAACCAACAAAGTCACAGAGGCTTTCACTGCAGTGTGGGACCACCTGAGCCTCTGCGTGTGCAGGCACTGGGTCTCGAGAGGGTGCAAGGGGGATAAAGAGGAGAGAGCGCTTCATAGACTTTAAGTTTTCCCGAGCCTCATGTCTACCGATGGCGTGAAAGGATCCTGGCAAAACAGAAGTGTGAGGCAGGTGGGCGTCTATATCCATTTCACCAGGCTGGTGGTTACATAATCGGCAAGCAAGAGCTGTGGAGGGGCTTGCTGGATGCCCTCAGCACCCAGGAGGAGGGAGGGAGCTAGCAAGCTAAGGCAGGTGGCCCTCCTGGCCCCTTAAGGTCCATCTGCTGGAGGCCCAGAGTCCTTGGAGTACAGTCTACACCTGGAGGGGACCCATTCCTGCCAGTCTGTGGCAGGGATGGCGCGCCACCTCTGCCAGGCCAGGACCCCAAGCCCGATCAGCATCAGCATGGTGCAGGTGCACAGGCGTGAGCTGATCAGTGACGAGGGGCAGGCACACAAGGTGGAGACAAAGACCAAGAGGACGGTTGCCAGTGAGAGGCGCGGACTCAGGAACTTGAACAACATCTGCGGGGGACGGCTTTGGAGGTGCTCCGCTGCCTCCAGTTGGGTGACTTGCTGTAGCATCTCCAGCTTGGATATTCGGCTCTTGAAGGTCTCCGTGATCTCCTGCAGGAGACGAAAATGCACGCACCAGAAGTCAGCACAGAGTTGTGGTCGTTTATTGAGTTCTTAGGGGTGAGCAGAAAGCACTGTGGAGTGGGTATTCGAGGAGGGAAGCAGAGAGCCTAGAGCACATTCAGGGCAGAGGGGAGGGCGCAGGCTCTCCAGCAACAGGGAAAGCTTCATCTGACCCGGCTGCACTCCCCCATCCACTGTCTCCCGAAGCTGAGGACCTGGTCAAGACACAGCTACCCAGGGACGGGGGTGGGCGCTATGGGAATGGAAAAGTGAGGAGAGGGAAGCCAGGTCTAAGGAGGGGTTCTGAGAGGGCGCTCCCTACACCTGCAGCCGCAGCAGAAGCAGCTCCACCCCAGATCTCCCGAGTCAGAGGCTCACGGGTGAGCACTGCAGCACCAGAGTGGCAAAAGCAGCTAAGCCAGATGGTGGGAAGCGGAGCGTGAGTGTAAAGATCAGATGCTGCTAGCTCTGAAACAAATGTGTGTGGCCATCGAACCCTCAGGAGGGGGCAGCTCGAGGACCCGTGTCTTGCTTTGGTTTGGGGGTATCAGAATAGATTCGCTCATCCCTCCAGTCTTCTTGCAAGGCTCCCCCAGGAGGTTCTCACCCATATTTCCTTGGCTCTCTCATAGGATAGATAGGCCATTCTCTCTTCGCTGCAGGCCAGATTGTGTTTGAGGTTGTAAATCTCATTCAGCTGTCCCTGCAGGCGACCATTCACCTGTTCTTCCATCAATGCTTGCCTTGGGAGCAAAAGAGAAAGTGAGATTCCTTCAGTACCTCATCCAGAGCTCATGCCAACAGCGAGCGGTCCTGACCTAGACTAGATTCGGGTTCAGCTTCTGCCTTCCTCCCCGCTCCCCAGGCTCTAGGGAAAGCCTGCCTCCCACTCCAGGTCTGCCTGGGAACACCCCAAACACACACCAGCCACACGCACACCAATATTCATATATATTTTATATGTAGTTACTCTTTTGTAACAGCTTTACAAAAATAGCCACAGACTAGAAGTTGTAGAAATGACAGTGTGAACTATCTGTGTGTGCTCTTCAGTTCCGCAAATCCCCCAGGACCAGTGTTGAGCACGAAGTCTAGCCTGCAGTTTAGCCTGCAGTTACTCTATAGAAACATGGTGACTATAAGGATTGAAAAGCCACAAAAGACCACAGATTCCAGTACAATTCCATTAGTTACGAAATGTCCAGAATAGGCAAATCCATAGAGACAGAAAGCAGATTAGTGGGTGCCAGGGGCTGGGGGTGGGGGATGGGCAGTGGCTGCTAATGAGTACAGGGTTGCTTTGGGGCTGGTGAAAATATTGTAGGACCGGGCACGGTGGCTCACGCCTGTAATCCCAGCACTTTGGGAGGCCAAGGCGGGCGGATCATGAGGTCAGGAGATCGAGACCATCCTGGCTGACACGGTGAAACCCCGTCTGTACTAAAAATACAAAAAAAATTAGCCGGGCGTGGTGGCGGACGCCTGTAGTCCCAGCTACTCGGGAGGCGGAGGCAGGAGAATGGCGTGAACCCGGGAGGCGGAGCTTGCGGTGAGCAGAGTTCACACCACTGCACTCCAGCCTGGGCGACAGAGCGAGACTCCGTCTCAAAAAAAAAAAAAAGAGAATATTGTGGAATTAGATAGTGGTGATGGTTGAACAACTCTGTGACTATACGAAAAACCAGTGAATTGTACACTTTAAATTGGTGAATTTTATGGGATGTGAATTATATCTCAATAGAGCCGTTATTTAAACAAAAAGAGAAAAGTGAATCATGGCAATAGTTGCGCAACTCAGTAAATTTACTAAAAACCATTGAAATGTAGTTAAAATGGTGCATTTTATAATATGTAAATTATATCTCAATAGAGCTGTTAAAAAACCACAAGCAGGCCAGGCGCAGTGGTTCACAGTTGCAATCCCAGCGCTTTGGGAGGCCAAGGCAAGGGGATTGTTTGAGGCCAGGAGGAATTCAACACCAGCCTGGGCAACACAGTGAGACCCTGTCTCTACAAAAAAAATTTTTAATTATCTGGGTGTGGTGGCACGCGCCTGTAGTCTCAGCTACTCTGGAGGCTGAGGCAGGAGGACCTCTTGAGTCCGGGAGTTCGAGGCTGCAGTGAGCTGCCATCACGCCACTGCACTCCAGCCTGGGCAGCAGAGTGAGACCCTATCTCTAAAAGAAAACAATCACTACCTGTTGTGTATATAATTATATAAGTAGTAAAAGTATAAAACCATGCATGGAAAAGATAAGCACCCAAATGAGAATGGTGAGGCCAGTATAGCAAGGCCAGAATAGCAAGGAAGGGAGATGGTGCTGGAAAGGGGTAATGAGGGCTTCAACAGAATATTTTAAAGTTTTATTTCCTAAAAAAATAAGATTTGAAGTGAATATGGCAAATGTTAAGATTTCAGAAAGCTGGGGCTGTTAATTATGTTATCCTTACATTTTCCCTTTGCTTGAAATACTTCATAATTTAAAAACTTCTATGAAGTTCCCCTTTTGGCACCACAAAGAACGGGCCAGAAGGACAGAGGCCAGGGGGCCAGTGAGGGGGCTCTGGCACCACCGCTTACGTAGAAGAGAGAAGGCACCAGAGCGTGATGGAACCCATAGACTGGCAGGGCTGCCGCCCCAGGAGGCCCAGGAGGGTGGCGGCAGGCCTCAGGTGCAGGAGGTCTAAACGGTGGTGCTGACAGAGACGGGGAAAACAGTGACGACTTCTATTCGGTCCCACTCCAAGGACTTGACCAACACCCACACGGAGAAATCCCCCGGGCACTGAATAAGCTGACAGCTCATTTGTTGAAAGCCAATTTGTCAAAAGCTGGTTCCTCGCAGCATTTCAAGGAATATTCCATTTGTCTCTGCCCCAGGTCCCTGTTAAGAAGAGAGTCGGTGGACAACATGGACTAGGCCACTGCTCACAGAGAGGGGGAGTGGGTCGGCAGGATGGTCACCCCGAAAATAGATTCCTCATTACTGTCTTTCCATTTACATGAATGATCTAGCTGTGAGAACATTCAAGATTTTAACTGTCCTCAGGAATATGAAGTCAATCTTCATCAATGTATTGGTAAAGATACATGAAGATATTCTTCAGTGCATTCTTGAAGAGTCTCTTCAGATGTCAGTAAACAATATTTTCATAAGGATATTCTCTCAGTCTCCCCTTCTCTCTGGCCCCCATCTCCTGGCCCTCTGGCAGCCGCGCTCCCTTCTCTTCCTTGGTCAAGGACCCCCCTCTCTCCACCTCCTACAGTCACAGAAGCAAATGGACAACTCTGGAGAATGCTCTTATGAACACAAAACGATGACCAGTCAACCCAGACACCCTCAAGACAGACCGAAGGTGTTAAGACCACCCTCTCCAACACAAAGTGTTCTAAACTTTATTGTTTTTTTCAAAATAGTGTTGTTGTTTTTTTTTTTTGAGACGGATCTCCTTCTATTTGCCCAGGCTGGAGTGCAGTGGCACGATCTTGGCTTGCTGCAACCTCCGCCTCCCGGGTTCAAGTGATTTTCCTGCCTCGGCCTCCTGAGTAGCTGGGACTACAGGTATGCGCCATCATGCCGGGCTAATTTTTTGTATTTTTAGTAGAGACAGGGTTTCACCATGTTGGCCAGGCTGGTCTCCAACTCCTGACCTCAGGTGACCCGCCTGCCTCGGCCTCCCAAAGTGCTGGGATTACAGGTGTGAGCCATTGGGCCCAGCCAGAAAGAGTATATTCTTGGTCATTTCTGAGAATTTGCTTTTGGCAAATTGAGCTAGAGCCTAATCATGGCCCACAACTTGGAGGAAAAGTCTGAGACGGAGAAACAGCTGTAGGAGGGGTCAATAGCCCAGGTGCAATCGGTGCATGTGGCCAGGATGGATGAGCTCACTCTGAGCAAATGTGCCAAAGCAAGGGGCCCTGGGGAGCTGGGGGAAGAGCCAACAAAACAGAAGCGAAAGCAGGAGGAAATTCGCCAGGACGGCTCACACAGGAACCCAGAGGATGTAGGGATACAGTGGAAAGGTTGAACATACATGTAACTGGGGCCTTAGAAGGGGAAAAATGAGAGACTAGGGCAGAGTCACTATTTGAAAATATAATGGCTGAAAACGTCCAAAACTGACAAAAGACATCAAGCCATAAACCCAAGTAGCAATGCGAAGCCCAAGCAGGATGAATGCAAAGAAAATCACACCAAGGGGAGAGTCAGCGGCACAAAAAAGAAGAGAGAAAGAAAATCACGCCAAACATCATCATAGCAAAACCACTAAACAACAAAGAAAAACAAAAGATCTTAAAAGGAGCCTGAGGAAAACAAAACTGTGATCCGAGGAGCAACAAGAAGACTGGCAGCTGCCTTTTCAACAGAAACCATGGAAGTCAGAAGGGAATGATTTGTTCAAAATGCTTATTATTTCCAAAAATTAAGTGCCAACTTAGAATTCTATGTCCAGCAAAAAATATCCTTCAGGGCCGGGTGTGGTGGCTCACGCCTGTAATCCCAGCACTTTGGGAGGCCGAGGCAGGCAGATCACGAGGTCAGGAGTTCAAGACCAGCCTGGCCAACATGGTGAAACCCCGTCTCTACTAAAAATACAAAAACTAGCCGGGCGTGGTGGCACATGCCTGTAATCCCAGCTACTGAGGAGGCTGAGGCAGGGGAATCGCTTGAACCTGGGAGGCAGAGGTTGCAGCGAGCCGAGATCTCACCATTGCACTCCAACCTGGGTGACAGGGTGAGGCTCTGTCTCACAAAAAAAAAAAAAAGAATTCCTTCAGAAATAAAAAGGAATGATGGCATGTGTGAGGCAATAAGGTGACAGTGACTGCATATTTAACATTGTGGACTTGTTTTAAAACATTTTTGGTATGGTATTTAGGCTATGTTAACAAAATGATCCATATTTCAGGTTCACACTGAAATATTTACAGATGAACTGATATAATGTCTGTGCTTTGCTTCAACGCAATAGGGATGAGAGGAACCAGTTCAGAGAGCAGATCAGACCTTAGGTCAGACCTCCTCAGAGATCCCAAGATGCAGGATGCTGTGACATGGAGGAGAAGTCGGGGAAAAAATGGAAGTTAACACGACCCCAGCCTGCAACAAAGCCCTAAGCAGATACCTTGAGGAAAGTCAGCCCGAGGCTGGATCCCTGGGGCTGAGAGGTCACAGAGCAACACTGAAGCCTCTAGGAACCATAGCCTGTTATCTCCAAGCCTCGTCTGAAAGCGAAACATACCAGAACAGTCTTGGGACAGAGGAGCTAGGGTCTGGATGCCCCCAAGGACCTCGTGTCCAGGAGGGAAAGAAAAACATGGAGACCTGGCATATTCACTTCCGGGCGTTTTCAATATGACAGGAGGCTATAAGAAAATTTCACGACTGCCCACTTGTGGATACAGCCAGAAATACAAAGCAAGAGTGAAAGTTTTGCCTACTCGGCACCTGAGTAGCTTCTTTTTTATTCAATTTTTATTGAGGTAAATTTCATGTAACATAAAATGAATTATTTTAAGGTGAACAATTCAGCGGCATTTAGCACATGTGGTGTTGTGCAACCACCATGGCTATTAATAGTTCCAAGACATTGGCCGGCTGCAGTCATGCCTGTAATCCCAGCACTTTGGGAGGCCGAGGCGGGCGGATCACGAGGTCAGGAGATCGAGACCATCCTGGCCAACATGGTGAAACCCCGTCTCTACTAAAATATGCAAAAATTAGCTGGGCGTGGTGGTGCATGCCTGTAATCTCAGCTACTCAGGAGGCTGAGACAGGAGAATCACTTGAATCCGGGACGCAGAGGTTGCAGTGAGCTGAGATCAAGCCACTGCACTCCCTCCAGCCTGGGCAGCAGAGCAAGACACCACCTCAAAAAAAAAAAAAAGCCATTAACAACTTTCTTTCTTTCTTTCTTTCTTTCTTTCTTTCTTTCTTTCTTTCTCTTTTTCTTTCTCTCTCTCTCTCTCTCTCTCTCTCTCTCTCTCTCTCTCTCTCTCTCCCTCTCTCTCTCTCTCTCTCTCTCTCTCTCCTCTCTCTCTCTCTCCTCTCTCTCTCTCTCTCTTTCTGTTTTTTTTTTTGAGACAAGTTCTCACTCTGTCCTCTATCACCCAGGCTGGAGCACAGTGGCACAATCATAGTTCACTGCAACATAAAACTCTCGGGCTCAAGCGATCCTCCTGTCTCAGCCTCCCATGTAGCAGGGACTACAGGCATGTGCCACCAAGTCCGGTTAACACTTTTAAAATTTTTTGCAGAGATATGGTCTCACTTTGTTACCCAAGCTGGTCTCAGACTCCTGGGCTGAAGCAATCCTCCTGCCTCGACCTCCCAAAGCACTGGGATTACAGCCATAAGCCACCACATCTGGCCCCATTTTTCTTTACGATCTTTCAAGGACTTAGTTTGCACATAGGAAGCAGAAAGGAATTGTAAATTCAGTTCCATCAGCATCTACTTGGGGCTTACACACAAGTATTAATTAATTCTCACAACAGTTCCAACAATAGTGGGATCATTTTTACCTCCATGTTACAGATGTGGAAACTGAGGATTGCAAACTTGAAGCACCTCGTCCAAGGTCATTCAGTAAATACCTTGCAGAGAGGAGGCTGGGCCAGGCCTAAATCCAGAATCAGCCCTCCTGGCCCTGCCCTGATGTTCCCAAGACACAGCAGATAGAGTTCTGACATACATGGAGGAGGGAGGCAGCCCAGAGGGCGAGCTGGGTCCCTTCAGGAAGGGAGGAAAAGCAGCATCCAGACTGATCCATGAAACAGGTACTCACAGAACAGCCATCATGTGCCAACATGTCTTTGGGCAGTCACTCAGACACAGTGGCCGACCTGAATGTGCTGATATTTTGACGAGAACAATACAACACAAATGAATACCTACACAAGGGAGAGCAGTTTAGGCGGTGAGTGCTGCGAGAAAGGAAAAAGTAGGGGAGTGACAAAGACTGGTCCGGAGTATATAAAGAGCTCTGACAACTCAACAATAAAAAGACAATCCAAGTTGAAAACAAGCCAAAGACTTATTGGCTGATAAGCACATGAAAAGGGGTTCAGCATCATTAATCGTCAGAGGCAGGGTCACACACCCACTAGTCTCATGGGCTAGGATACTGGTTCTCAACCAGGGGCAATTTGCCGGCCCCCCCCTCCCCAAACAAGGGACATTTGGCAATCTCTGGACAGACATTTCTGGTTGTTACAAATAGGTGGGGCACGGTAGGCTAAAATTGCCCCCCTAGGCTGGGCACGGTGGCTCACATCTGTAACCCCAGCACTTTGTGAGGCTGTGGTGGGCAGATTACCTGGGCTCAGGAGTTCAAGAACACCCTGAGCAACAGGGTGAAACCCCGTCTCTATGAAAAATACAAAAAAATTAGCTGGGTGTGGTGGCACGCGCTTGTAGTCCCAGCTACTTGGGAGGCTGAGGCAGGAGAATTGCTTGAACCCAGGAGGCGGAGGTTGCAGTGAGCCAAGATCGTGCCACTGCACTCCAGCCTGGGTGACAGAGAGAGACTCTGTCTAAAAAAGAAAAAAACAAAAAGCCCCTCCGCAAAAGATATCTGTGTCATAATCCTTGGAAACTGTGAATGTTACCTTCTATGACCAAAAAAGGGGGCTTTCCAGAAGTGGTGAGTTTAAGGGTATTGAGATGCAAAGATTATCCTAGATTATCCTGGTGGCCCTAAATGCAATCACATGTATGAGAGAGAGGCAGAAGGACATTAGACACACACAGACGAGAATGTCATGTGAAGACAGAACACAGGTTTGAAGATGCTGGCCTTCAGGACAGGAATGATGTGGCCACAAAATTAAGGAATTTGGCAGCCACCAGAAACTGGAAGAGGCAAAGATCAGTTTGTCCCCTAGAGCCTCCAATGAGTGTGTGTCCTCCTCGCCTGATTTCAGCCCAGTGAAACGGATTTCGGCCTTCTAGCCTCCAGGACTGCGAGAGAATAACTTTCTATTATTTTAAGCCATGAAGTTGGGGGCAATTTGTCACGGCAGCATCAATTAATTCACGGCACCACTGGCATCAAGTAAGTGGAGACCAGGGATGCTGCTCATCATCCTAGAATGTACAGGACAGCCCCGCACAACAGAGAATCATTTGGTCCAAAATGTCGACAGTGCCAAGGTCGAGAGAACATGGGCTAGGGTGATGAAATTTTGGAGTCTAATTTCACCAAGTTGTGGCTGAACTTAAGAGGCTGACATTTAAAAGACTGATCTTGCCAAACGTTGGCAACTGGAACTCTTATACACTCCTAGCGGGACTGTAAAATGGTATAGCCATGTCGGAAAACAGTTCCTCTTTTTTTTTTTTTTGAGATGGAGTTTCACTCGTTGCCCAGGCTGGAGTGCAATGGCACGATCTCGGCTCACCGCAACCTCCGCCTCCTGAGTTCAAGCGATTCTCCTGCGTCAGCCTCCCGAGTAGCTGGGATTACAGGCATGTGCCACCACGCCGGGCTAATTTTGTATTTTTAGTAGAGACAGGGTTTACTCCATGTTGTTCAGGCTGGTCTCGAACTCCCGACCTCAGGTGATCCGCCTGCCTCAGCCTCCCAAAGTGCTGGGATTACAGGGGTGAGCCACCGCGCCCGGCCTTCCTCTTTCTTAAAAAGTTAAGCATACTGCTATGGGGTACATGTCCCCCCCAAAACTCGTGTTGAAATTTAATGGCCATGTGATGGTGTTAAGGGGTGGGACTGGTAAGAGGCGATTAATATTAATATTGTTATCATGAAAGTTTGGCCCCCGCTCGCTCTCTCACGCCCTCTTGCCCTTCTGCCTTCCGCCATAGGATGATGCCGTACAAAGGTCCTCACCAGCTGCCAGCGCCTTGACATTGAACTTCCTTTCTTTATAAACCACCCAGCCTGCGGTACTCTGTTACAGCAACAGAAAGTGGGACTAAGACACATAACACTTCCCTGTTATCTAGCAATTCCATATATGAAAGCATATGTTCACAGAAAGACTTGTGCGAGAACGTTCATAGCAGCTTTATTCAGTCGCCCCAACTGGCAGCGGACCAGGGCATAAGCAACCTGCGGCGTCTCCATGCAATGGAAGGCTGCCAAGCAATACGAAGCCATGAGCTACTCACTTCACACAGCTTGGGTGGATCTCAAAACAATTCCACGGAGCGAAAGCCGCCAGACACAAAGCACTGCGTGCCGTGCGATTCCACTTACGTGAAGTTCAAAAGGAGATGAAGCTAGAGTGACAGAAACCGGAACAGTGGCCAATTATGGGAGACGGGCATTCACTGGAAGAGGGTATGAGGGTACTTTCTGGGGTGGTGGCAAAGCTCTTTATTGGGATTTTAGCTGCCCAGGTGTAAACCTTTGTCAAAACTCGTTAAACTGTATGCCTAAACTTAAATGCAATTTCACTGCATAAAATTTACCTCAAAAAGGCCAGGCGCGGTGGCTCACTCCTGTAATCCCAGCACTTTGGGAGGCCGAGGCAGGTGGATCGCCTGAGGACAGGAGTTCGAGACCAGCCTGACCAACATGGAGAAACCCCATCTCTACTAAAATTACAAAATTAGCCAGGCGTGGTGGTGCCTGCCTGTAATCCCAGCTACTCGGGAGGCTGACGCAGGAGAATCGCTTGAACTCAGGAGGCGGAGGTTGCAGTGAGCCGAGATTGCGCCATTGCACTCCGGTCTGGGCAACAAGAGCAAAACTCCATCTAAAAAAAACAAAAAAACAAAAACTTTACTTCAAAAAACCCCGCTTCCAAAAGAATAAAAGAAGAGGCCATTTGAACGTGGTAGCCTGGGAAGTCCCTTTGAGGAGAGGACATCAGAGCAGAGCCTAAAGGACAAGCTGAGTGTGGGAGTTTCCTCTGGCTGCCATCACAAAGCGTTACAAACTTTGAGTGGCTTTCCCAGCAGAGATGGCCTCTCTCCTGGCTGGGGGTCCAGCAGTCCGAGAGGAAGGCCCAGGCTGGGCGGGCTCCTGCCGAGGACCGAGAAGGCGCCTCCACTCGGGGCCTCTGTCCCAGCTTCTGCTCTGCTGCCCACCTGCGGGCTTCCTTGGCTTCTGCCACGGCAGGTCGGCCTCAGCCTCTGTCTCCACACGGCGCTCTCCCTCTGGGTGTGTCCGTGTCTCCGTCTCCCCTTTCTGTCAGGACACAGGTCACACTGCATTAGGGCCCACCCCTCTGCAGAATGACCTCATCCAGATCTAACTCATCACGTCCGCAACGACCCTGTTTCCAAATAAGCCGGTTCCTTGTCACCAAGTGGAGCCTTCAATGAGTTGATGCCAAGGCAGGTCTAGGGAACTAGAAATGGGGCAAGAAGCAATGTCCTCCAGCCAGGTGTGGTGGCTCACACCTGTAACTCCAGCACTTTGGGAGGCCGAGGTGGGTGGATCGCTTCAGGTCAGGAGTTCGAGACCCCTGGTCAACATGGCGAAACCCCATCTCTACTGAAAAATACAAAAAGTAGCCAGGCATGCTGGCGTGTGCCTGTAATCCCAGCTACTCGGGAGGCTGAGGCAGGAGAATCGCTTGAACCGGGGAGGTGGAGGTTGCAGTGGGCCGAGATCGTGCCACTGCACTCCAGCCTGGGGGACAGAGTGAGACTCCATCTCATAAAAAAGACAAAAAAAAGAAGCAATGTGCTCCTCACAGTCGGGTTTTCTCCCAGGACCATTTTACTCATCCAACAAAGAACAAAGATGTCCCAGCAACCCATCTACCCCAGGCATTGACCACTCGGGCTACAAAGGTGAAGGAGGAGGGTGGGGCTGGGCAGGCTGGGACTGGCTATGGACCCCAGAGAGTAAAGATGGTTTTGCTGGCACCATACCCCCAACTCCAGGACTTGTCCATGCCCTGTCTACGGGGCCAAGACTGAAACCTGACTGCCTTTCACCATCAAGCAGAAGTCAGCTGCGCATCCTGTAAGAGATGGGGAAGGACCCCCAAGACCCTCCCAGAGCCCCCTGGCTCATTAGGAGGCTAGAGGGGGCCTCCTGCAACTCTGCATGCAAGGTGCCCAGATGAGACCTGGCCAGTCGAGACTTTTACTTGAAGGCTCCCCATGCCTTCCTTGGGTGCCATCTCTTCTACCAATGAACGTTTTCTGAGTTTCTCAAGCCTTCTTTCCTCCTGACCCACGAAGAAACTGAGGGACCGGGGCCTTCTGGTCCCCCAGGAGACTGGCTTGTGCTGAGGAGGTCGGCCGCTCACTGTGCATCTTCTCGGAGATCTGAAGCTCCTCCTATTTCCACAAGAAAGAAAGGGAAGCTTGGCAAAGACCCTTCCATCCAGAATCATCAAGTTCGCGACGCCCGTGCTTCTCCTCAGCACACAGAGAGGAGAGTTACCAGGGGCCTCAAGCAACTCCAGCGGAAGCAGTCACAGTCCTTCCAGGACCCAGGAACGTCCTCTGCAAGGACCTACAAACCCAGACCTCATGAAGGAGGAGACCCCAGGGCCAGCCCCAAGCCTCCTGAGTCTAATTGTTGCTGTGATAGAGACCCTGCACTTCGCAGAATCAAAAAGAATATATTGTGGGTTTTTTGTTTTTACCACAATCAATTAAAAAATGCATTAAAAAGTAAGAACTGTCCAGGCACAGTGGCTCACATCTGTAACCCCAGTACTTGGGGAGGCCGTGGCCAGGTGTTCAAGACCAGCCTGGGCAACATAGCAAGATCCCATCTCTACAAATAATAATAATTTTTAAAAAGTTAGCCAGGCATGGTGGCACATGCTTTGTACTCCCAGCTACTCGGGAGGCTGAGGCAGGAAGATCGCTTGAGCCCAGGAGTTCAAGGCTGTAGTGAACTATGACTGCATGCAGCCTGGGCAACAGAGACCCTGAAGAAAAAGAAAGAAAGAAAGAGAGATAGAGAGAGAGAGAGAGAGACAGAGAGAAAGGAAGAAAGAGAAAGAGAGAAAGAAAAAGAAAGAAAGAGAGAGAGAGAGATGGAAAGAAAGAGAGAAAAAGAAAAAGAAGAAAGAAAGAAAGAAAGAAAGAAAGAACTTTTGCCTATCCAAAGACTCAGGAAAAATAAAAAAGAAAGCCAGCCCTCATAATGAGATACCACTTCACAGTTACATCTGTTGGAAAAAAAAAAAAAGGATAACAACAAATGTTGGCAAGGATGTGAGGCAACTGGAAGCCTTCTGCATTGCTGGTGGGAAGATGGAGCTGCGCGGCTGCTGTGGGAAGACTCCTCTAAACGCTACACCTGGAGTCACCACGGGGTCCAGCAATTCTACTCCTGATTATAGACCCCAAAGAATTGAAAACTGGTGTTCAAACAACTGGCATGTATCTGAGTGTTCAGCGCAGGGCTTCTCACAATAGCCAAAAGGTGGAAACAACTCAAATCTCCATCCGCTGATGGACAGATAAACAAAATGTGGTCTACCCATGCACTGGAATATTAGTCAGCCGTCAAGAGAATGAAGTACTGATACGTGCTACAACATTAGTGAACCTTGAAAACAGTGAAAGGAGCTAGACACAAAAGCCCACATATCGTATGGTCCCATTTATATGAAAAGTCCAGAAGAGGCAAACCCACGGAGACAGAAAGCAGATTAGGGAACGCCTGGAGCCGAGGCTAGGAGTGACCGTGTAGTGAGTCTGGAGGTCTCCTTCTGGGGTGATGAGAATGTTAGACAACCGGACAGAGGTGATGGTTGAACCACACTGCAGATGTACTTAATGCACTGAATTACATGCTTCCAAATGGTTAATTTCACATTACGTGAAATTATGTGAATTCTACATCAATTTTTTTAAGTAAGCCCTTGTCATAAATGCGTTTAATACAGTTGCTGCCTCAGCATCCAACTTTAGCAGTTGTACCCTGTCACCTTTGCCCTAGATAACACCCCTCCCTCCCTGTCATGTGATTGTTTGCGACATAGCCCACGTGGTCCTCGCCTCACTGACCCAAAACCCAACACATCCCACGGCTGCTGACCACGATAAGACCTAATGCTCAACACCAGAGTCATGTAAATCAGTTTCCTCCTCGTGCATGTTTTCTTTAAACCAGCCAATCCACAACCCCCGCAGGAAAGCCTGTGGGATCACTTCACACCCTGTGACCTTAATACAGGCACAGCCCCGGAAGCTTCCCCGCCCTTCCGTTCTGGGCTTCGCTGTTGCACAGCTGATGAGCTCAATCAGCTCCCTGCTGCCTCCAGACTTCCCCTCTGCCTCCCATCAGCACACCTAACATCTCTTCGATCTGAGTCATACATTTCTTTTTTTTTTTTTTTTTTTTTTTTTTGACACAGGGTCTTGCTCTGTCACCCAGAATGGAGTGCAGTGGTGCAATCATGACTCACTGCAGCCTCAACCTCCCGGGCTCAAGGGATCCCCGCTCCCGCTCAGCCTCCTGAGTAGCTGTGACTACAGGCACGCGCCATCACGCCCAGCTAATTTTTTGATGTTTTTGTAGATACCGGGTCTCACTATGTTGCCCAGGCTGGTCTCAAACTCCTGAGCTCAAGCAGTCTGCCCACCTCAACCTCCCAAAGTGCTAGGATTACAGGCGTGAGCCCCCACGCCCAGCCCATTTCTGCTGTTTCATGCATTTTCGTCTGCCTCCTCACTGTGGCTCCCCTGACACACACATCCGAACCTAACTTTCCCACGGGTCAGGGATCTCCTAGAAACTGGGTATCTCGGCTATGGCCACTCTCAGTAGAGACATGCCGAGACCAAATTAAAAAGAAACCATAATGATAAAAACCACAACAGCCCTCCTGAAAGCAAACGGATTTAACTGTGATAAACAGCACAGGACTTGCAGTATGGATTCTCAGTTTGTGATGCACCAGAGGGGACGCAACAGTCACAGGGAGCCTGGCTGGTTGAAACACTTCTGTGTCCAGATCATGTAAAAGTTTTGAAGAAGATTTTACGGAAGTATATGTTTTTAAAATGCCATGAACTCCTGTGTCCCCTGCATCTAACTTAGCCACACAGCCAGGGTGTGGTGAAATGCTCTCAGGTCCGCACTTAGCAGCCACGTAGCCTGCTTGTGCCTCTGTGAGACTCTGCTTCCCCAACCATAAAGTAGGCGTCTGAGGGCCAAAGAACAAGGCTGCTTAACCTGGTGCCCCAGCTCAGTTACGAGCCCGTGACAACAGTGAAAAATCATCAGCAGCCCTTTCTCCTCCTGTAGACCTGCTTGGGCCCTGTAGACCTGCTTTTCTGCTCACGATGAACATTAGTAAGGGTAGGCTCGCTGCTGCAGCAAACAACCAGACATCCCATGTCACAGTCCAATGGGGGGTACCGGGTCAGAAGTGCAGGCTTCTAGAATTTGCAGCAAAAGTCTGAGAGGGGGAGAGACAGAGGTATTGCCCTGCTCCCCGGTAGTCACCGCTGTATCAAGAGGGGGCGAAAGACTCGGATTTGACAGGGGTTAAGAGTTTACCTGAGCACAGCATTCTCATTGGCCCCTGTGGCTTGGAAACATACGGGGAAGTTTGTAACTGCCACCAAGTTCTGCTGTTGCTTAATAGAAAGCTGACCGGGTAAGTGTGATTTTCACAAAAGGGTCTTTGATGCTCCCAAGATTTTAGATTTGGTTGCCATGTCCTATGAAAATAATCTGCAAGAGACGCCTGTGACTCTGACTAGTCATCTCATTGACAGTGGTTGCCCTGTAATATTCTTTGATTGTCCTTTAACAGATTCTTAGGCCATGTAAACGCTGGCAAGATTTCCCTGGGGAAACTAAAGAGGATGATTCCCACACGCCGCTTCCCCTGCATCAGGCACTAAAAGGACTGCGGAGTTCTTCTTTTCATGCAAATGCTGAGAATCTTGGCTCACCTAAGGGAATCGCTGCCTCCCTAGCCAGGACGCTGGAGGGACTGGCGTTAATTAGCCACAGACTGCAGCGAGGGGGACAGAATGTGGCACCCCCTGAGGGCCCATGGAAACCCAGAGAACGGTCCCAATAGGAATGGAGAGAATCCGTTGAGAGATTGGGTTTGCCTTTTTTTTTTTTTTTTTTTTTTTCCTCCAATTGGTAGGCCCTAGCCTTATCTTAGAGGGAAAGAAAATCGAGCTAGGGCAGGGTGAGGTGGCTCACACCAGTAATCCCGGCACTCTGGGAGGCTGAGGCAGGCGGATCACGAGGTCAATAGATTGAGACCATCCTGGTCAACATGGTGAAACCCCGCCTGTACTAAAAATACAAAAAATAGCCGGATGTGCTGGTGCACGCCTGTATTCCCAGCTACTCGGGAGGCTGAGGCAGGAGAATCGCTTGAACCCGGGAGGTGGAGGTTGCAGTGGGCCGAGATCGTGCCACTGCACTCCAGTCTGGCGACAGAGTGAGACTCCATCTCAAAAGAAAAAAAAGAAAAAGAAAATCGAGCTACTGCACGGTGCGGAGAAAGCATTCACCAGAAGGCAGTCATTTTTGAAATAAGTATCTGAGACCCGGCCTGTGCCCCAGCTCAGCTAGGAGCACATGTGAAGAGACCAGAGCTGGCGAGGCGACTCCGGTCCTGACTCCCACCTTCCCAGCCGACTGGGACCAAAGGACGCCACCTCCCTAACTAGTGCCAGGTGTCTACCGGACTCTTGCCACCCCCATGTTGTCCCCTGCCACCACAGGGTCAGGGCCAGCCGCTATGCCGCTGCAACCACCCGGCAGGGGCTGCCAAGCTGGAGCATTTTCGCTAGCAAGGGTCAAGGCAGGTGTGGGACTGCAGGGAGAGGGCTGGCTCGCCCCACTGCAGGGCCCAGTCGCTAAAAGAAGCATGGACCTGCTCTTCCAACTGGCCCCTCACCCTGGCTCTCCAGGCTCCTGTCCTGGCTCCCTTTCACCCTCCCATAGGTGGCTCCTGGGAGCGGTTCCTCCTCTGCTTCCAGTCCCCAGAGCCAAGGCCTCACCTACACTTCTCCTCCTGAAGGGACTCCAGCAACAGCTGCAGGTCAGTCAGAGACCTCTCCTTTAGGCTGTGATAGGACTCCTGGAGGCTGATGTGGAACCTCTTGGCTTCTTCCAGCTCTGCCTTTACCTTCTGCAACAGCAGGTTTTGTTGCTGGGCCACATCCTCTGTCTCTAAGCACGTCCCCTGCTGTAAGCTCTGGAAGCGACTCTCCAAGATGAAGGGCCTGCTGGCATGAGGCAGGTTGACCGGCCCGTCTTCCCCACCTGGCTCGGGGGGCTCTGAAAGCAGGGCCTTCTCACTGGGTGGCTCGCAGTTGGCTGGGTCGCTTTCTGCCATCAGCAGTAAGCCCTCGGGCCTGCAGCCTTCCTCCAGCTCCTGGAGCTGCTGGTGACACTGGTGGAGCCTGTGCTCGATCTGGGCGATGGTGGCAGAGGCGCGCTGGTTCACCTTCTCAAAGGCCTGCTGGATGTGCGGCACCTGGTGCCGGTCTGCTTTGGATACCAGCTTGAGGTAGCTCACAGTGTTGCCATCCCGACTGGCCTTCTCCACTCTCAGCTGCTCTGAGAGGTAGAGGATGCGGTGCCTGACACTATCCTGTAAGTTGTGGGCTAGGCCTCCATCTGCGAGGCTGGAAGGGCCACTGGGGCCGTCTTCGCTGGATGACAGGGACCGGCATGAAGGCACATTGGAGGGGAGGGTTGCGCTGGGGCTCCTGGTGTGTTCCGCCTACGTTGGGAAACAAGAAATCACAATACGGTGCTCTGTGAGCCGCAAAGTGTGGGAGAATTGGACACGTTATGACTCCATAAAACACTTCCACATATGCATGGATACTTACACACGCAAGATTTGTGCATTCAAGATGGGCCCGACACAGACTGAGGAGGTGATGCTCATCTTCAGGGCCCCTCTCCCCTCCTTTTCAGCGTCTGACTCCTTGCTCTACATGTGTGCCTCACTAAGACCCACAGGTGGCCAGACTCCCTTCTACATCTGCCTGTTTTTGCACTGCACTCCTATTTTCTCTTCCAAAAATTACCAATTGTGGGTCTCATTTATAAAGAACTGTTCTTGTAAAGTATGGAATAAGCTTATTTCCGTCAACTCTTACAGCTTGCTGTATTGCTACTCCCAGGGAGACAGGAAGGGTTAGGCAGAGAGATTTGCCTCCTAACAGGTTCATTCATTCATCCAATCATTCATTCAACACATACTTTCTCTGAGTGCCTACCACGTGGTACAGAAGCCAGATACATTCCTTGATCTCATACAGCTGACAGTCTACGGCAGAAAATTCTACTGTAACACAAAAGAATGAGTCTCTCACATGGTGAGGGGATTAACATTGCCTTTGACGAAGAGCCCAGTTCAAATCCTGGCTCTACCACTCTGAGACCTTGAGCAAGTTAATAAACTGCTCTGAGGCTCAGTTTTCTTACCTCTAAAATAAAGATGGCAAGAGCAGCATAGCTGGAACCCAGCCCACCAGAGCAAGGAGCTAGGAGAGGGAGGTGGGGGGCAGCTCAGGTGCAGCCTCTGTTCCGTTTCTACTTTTTTGTTTTTTGAGACGGAGTCTCACTCTGTCACCCAGGCTGGAGTGCAGTGGTGCAATCTCGGCTCACTACAACCTTCGCCTCCCGGGTTTAAGCAATTCTCATGGCTCAGCCTCCCGAGTAGCTGGGATTACAGGTGTGCATCACCACACCCAGCTAATTCGTGTATTATTAGTAGAGACAGGGTTTCACCATGTTGACCAGGCTGGTTTCCAACTCCTGACCTCAAGTGATCCTCCCGCCTCGGCCTCCCAAAGAGTGCTGGGATTACCGGTGTGAGCCACTGCATCTGGCCTATACCTCAATTTTTAAAATGCAAAGTGATACCACTATGTACCCAGTAGATTGGTCAAACTCAGACAGACTAACAACAATAAGAGTTGGCAAGGATATAGCGCAACAGGAACTCTCAATCATTACTGGCGGGAAGCAAATTTGTACTACAGCCACCTTAGAAAACCACTTGACAGTATCACAAAGTTGAAGATATACCTACCAAATGATCCAGCAACTGCATTCATAGGCGATATTCCCAGGAGGCAAGTACACTGATGTTCTCAATATCCAACAACTAGCAACAAACCACCTGCCCAGAAAGTGTAAGTAAACTGTAATATATGCAACAACATACTACTGTACAGCAATGAGAATGAACTACAGCCTTGAAAAACATGAATGCATTTCACAAGCATAATGTTGAACAAAAGAAACCAGACAGAAAATCCATACTATATATGGTTCCATTTACATAAATTCCAAGAGCAGGCAAAACTAAACAATATTGTGTAGGGATGACTACACAGGCAGGAAAGCTAAAGAGCAGCATGGATGTTGGCAACAGAAACCCCAGGATGGTGGTTCCCACTAGAGCGGGAGAAGGGGATTATGACTGGGGTGACTGTGGAGGCTGGGGTGCCTGGCCTGAGTAGTGGTTAAATGTGTGTTCACCTTATCGTTACTTCTTAAAACATACATCAATGTTTTCTGCACCTTTATATACATATGCCAGATTTCACAGTTTTCAAACTATTTAAATGTTCAATATAGGCCAGGTGTGGTGGCTCATGCCTGTAATCCCAGCACTTTGGGAGGCCGAGGCGGGCGGAGGTCAGGAGGTCAAGACCAGTCTGGCCAACATGGTGAAACCCCGTCTATACAAAATACAAAAAAAAAAAAAAAAATGCCTGGCACAGTGGTTCACACCTGTACTTCCAGCACTTTGGGAGGCCGAGGCGGGCGGATCACCTGAGGTCGGGAGTTCAAGACCAGCCTGACCAACACAGAGAAACCCCATCTCTACTAGAAATACAAAATTAGCCAGGCGTGGTGGCACACGCCTGTAGTCCCAGCTACTCGGGAGGCTGAGGCAGGAGAACCGCTTGAACCCGGGGTGCAGAAGTTGCAGTGAGCTGAGATCGTGCCACTGCACTCCAGCCTGGGTGGTAGAGTGAGACTCCGTCTCAAAAAATAAATAAATAATAAATAATAATATGTTCAATTGATGGATTTAATGGCAGATTTGATATGGCTGGAGAGACTGTTGGTAAATTGTACAGAGGAGCTAAAGAAAGTATCCAGGCCGGGCGCGGTGGCTCACACGCCTGTAATCCCAGCATTTTGGGAGGCCAAGGCGGGTGGATCACCTGACGTCAGGAGTTTGAGGCTAACCTGACCAACATGGTGAAACCCTGTCTCTACTAAAAAATACAAAAAATTAACTGGGCATGGTGGTGGGCACCTGTAATCCCAGCTACTTGGGAGGCTGAGGCAGGAGAATGGCTTGAACCCAGGAGGCAGAGGTTGCAGTGAGCCGAGATCACGCCACTGCACTCCAACCTGGGCAACAAGAGCAAAACTCCATCCCAAGAAAGAAAGAGAGAGAGAGAGAGAGAGAGAGAGAGAGAAAGAGAAAAGAAAGAAAGAAAAAAAAGTATCCAGAATGCAGCACAGAGGCACAAAAAAATAGAAAACTTGAAAAATAGAAGACATGGAAGGTAGCATGAGTAGGTCTAACAAAAATCCAATTGTCACACCAGAGAGAGAAGACAGACAGAATGAAGCAGCAGCAATATATACATATTTTTCTTCTTTTTTTTTTAAATTGAAATGGAGTCACACTCTGTTGCCTAGGCGGAGTGCCGTGGCACAATCTCGGCTCACGGCCGACCTCTGCTGCCCGGGTTCAAGCACTTCTCGTGCCTCAGCCTCCCGAGTAGCTGGGACTACAGGCGCGTGCCATCACAGCTAGCTAATTCTTTTGTATTTTTAGTAGAGATGGGGTTTCATCATGTTGGCAAGACTGTTCTCGAACTCTCAACATCAGGTGACCCACCCACCTCGGCCTCCCAAAGTGCTGGGATTACAGGCATGAGCCACTACGACCGGCCACAGCAGCAACATTTTAAGAGATAACTCCCTAAGAACTTTCCAGAACTGAAGAAAGACACAAATTCACAAATTCAAGAAGCCCAATAAATCCTAAGCAGGGAAGACAGAAATAGGTCCACACCTAGACACGAGATTTTTTTTTTTTTTTTTTTTTTTTGAAACAGTGTTTCGCTCTTGTCGCCCAGGCTGGAGTACAGTGGCGTGATCTCGGCTCACTGCAACCTCTGCCTCCCGGGTTCAAGCGATTCTCCTGCGTCAGCCTCCCAAGTAGCTGGTACTACAGGCGCCCGCCACCATGCCCAGCTAATTTTTGTATTTTTAGTAGAGACAGTGTTTCACCATGTTGGCCAGGCTGGTCTGGAACTCCTGACCTCAAATGATCCGCCCACCTGGGCCTCCCAAAGTGCTGGGATTACAAGCATGAGCCACCGCCCGCGGCCGACACAAGATGTTAAAAGCAGCCAGAGGAAAAAAAGCTGATTACCTTTAAAACCATGACTTTTAGACTGCAGGCTGCCTTCTCAATAGCATCAATGCAATCCAGAAGATAGTTGACTGATATCTTCGATACACTGAGAGAATAACTGTCAGAGAGAAAAAAATAGGTCACATTCAAAGAATCAGAAGTCAGAATGGCTTCAGACTTCAGCAACAGCATGGGGAACTAGAAGACAATGAAGTGCTGGCCGGGCACGGTGGCTCACACCTGTAATCTCAGCACTCTGGGAAGCCCAGGCAGGCGGATCACTTGAAGTCAAGAGTTTGAGACCAGGCTGGCCAACATGAGGAAACTCTGTCTCTACTAAAAATACAAAAATTAGCCAGCATTGTGGTGGGCGCCTGTAATCCCAGCTACTCGGGAGGCTGAGGCAAGAGAATCGCTTGAACCCAAGAGGTTGCAGTGAGCCGAGGATCACTCCCCTGTACTCCAGCCTGGGCGACAGAGCAAGACTCTGTCCCAAAAAAAAAAAAAAAAAAAAAAAAAAAGACAATGAAGTGCTGCTTTCGAAATTCTGAGGGAAAAATGATTTCCCAGCCTAAAATTCTACACCCCAACTGTCAACTGTGGGGTTAGACTAAAGACATTTTTAGACATGAAGGAGTTCAGTACACCACTGACAAATGTAAGAATTCAACAACTGTTTAAAAAGCAAGTCTTGCCAGGGCAGTGGTGTGCACCTGTGGTCCCAGCTACTCAGGATGCTGAGGCAGGAGGATTACTTGTGCCCAGCAAGTAGAGGCTGCAGTGACCTGTGACTGTGCTACTGCCCTCCAACCTGGGTGACAGAGTGAGACCTTGTCTCAAAAAAAAAAGAGCGGGGGGTGGGGGGGCCGGGCGTGGTGGCTCACAGCTGTAATCCCAGCACTTTGGGAAGCCAAGGCGGGTGGATCACTTGAGGTCAGGAGTTTGAGACCATCATGGTCAACACTGCGAAACACTGTCCCTACTAAAAATACAAAAATTAGCCGGGCATGGTGGCACACACCTGTAATCCCAGCTACTGGGGAGGCTGAGGCAGGAGAATTGCTTGAGCCGGGGAGACGGAGGTTGCAGTGAGCCGAGACTGCGCCACTGCACTCCAGCCTGACTGACAAGAGTGAGATTGTCTCAAAAAAAAAAAAAAAAGTAATCACTAGAAAAGAAGCTACATATGTACATAACATCCAAATAACCAAGAGGAGAAAAAAATGGGACTTGATTAATCAAAACAAAAACAAAAAAGAAAGAAAGAAAGGGGGAGAAAAAAAAAAAAACAAGGGCTGGGTGTGCTGGCTCATGCCTGTAATCCCAGCACTTTGGAAGCCAAGGTGGGTGGATCTCTTGAGCCCAGGAGGTCAAGACCAGCCTGGGCAACATGGCGAAACCCCGTCTCTATTAAAAAAAAATTAATACAACAATTATCCTGGAGTGGTGGTGCACACCTGTAGTCCCAGCTACCCAGGACGCTGAGACGGGAGGATCGCTTGATCCCGGGGATGTCGAGGCTGCCGTGATCGCACCACTGCCCTCCAGCCAGGGTGGCAGACTGAGACCCCATCTCAAAAAATAAATAAATAAAAGCAAACAAGAAAAAAAAAGGCTTGAAACATATCTGATAGATAAAGGGCTAATCAACACAATATATAAAGAACTGCAAATCAGTAAACTAAGAGCAAATAACCCAATATAAAGACATTAAAGGGTAGCCACGGACATCTCAGACGACTAAAAACAAAAGACAGTAACGTATAATAAAACATGTAATTGCAAGGTGATCCGGGAATAGTAAGCGAAAAGCAACAATTAAATACTATTTTCTCATCCACCAGAACGCCAAAAATTAAAAAGCCTAACAATGTCCAGGGCTGGCGAGAATGTGGCAGAAGGTGATGTCACATACCCTGCAAGTGGGAATCTAAACAGATTCAGGGTTTTGTTTTTTTTTAATCGCAATTAGGTGGCCTGTTAAATTTTTTTTCTTGAGACAGAGTTTTGCTCTTGTTGCCCAGGCTGGAGTGCAATGGCTCGATCTTGGCTCACCGCAACCTCGACCTCCCAGGTACAAGCGATTCTCCTGTCTCAGCCTCCCAAGTAGCTGGGAGTACAGGTATTTGCCACTAAGCCCAGCTAATTGTTTTTTATTTAGTAGAAACGGGGTTTCACCATGTTAGTCAGGCTGGTCGGGAACTCCTGACCTCAGGAGATCTACCCGCCTTGGCCTCCCAAAGTGCTGGGATTACAGGCGTGTGCCACTGTGCCCAGCCACTTTTTTTTAGACAGAGTCTTGGTCTGTTGCCCAGGCTAGAGTTCAGTGGCGCCATCTCAGCTCACTGCAACCTCCGCCTCCCAGATTCAAGCGATTCTCCTGCCTCGACCTCCCAGTAGCTGGGATTACAGGTTTCCAGCAAATCCCTCTGAGCCGCCCCCGGGGGCTCGCCTCAGGAGCAAGGAAGCAAGGGGTGGGAGGAGGAGGTCTAAGTCCCAGGCCCAATTAAGAGATCAGATGGTGTAGGATTTGGGAGCTTTTAAGGTGAAGAGGCCCGGGCTGATCCCACTGGCCGGTATAAAGCACCGTGACCCTCAGGTGACGCACCAGGGCCGGCTGCCGTCGGGGACAGGGCTTTCCATAGCCATGGCCCAGCAGTGGAGCCTCCAAAGGCTCGCAGGCCGCCATCCGCAGGACAGCTATGAGGACAGCACCCAGTCCAGCATCTTCACCTACACCAACAGCAACTCCACCAGAGGTGAGCCAGCAGGCCCGTGGAGGCTGGGTGGCTGCACTGGGGGCCACCGGCCACCCACCTGCCCCGCCCAAGGGAATCTCTCTTCTGCACGTCCCCACCAGCAGAGAAGGCTTTCTCCCATAGCTTTTCTGATGACATGAATTGGGGGGTCCTCTCCAAATCTAGAAGGACACCATAATATCGAATATGCATTCTCAAGCCACACAGGCTTCCCAGCCCCTTTGAGAATCCGAGGCCGGGGAAGAGTTTATGTGCTCTTTCTTTGTGGCCCGTAGATGAGTGTGTTCACTGCTAGCGAATGACCTCTCATTCCACGGAGTCCCTCAGCTTCCTGGGGAAGAGCTGGGTCTGTCTTTACATTTGAAGCCGAAAGGAGGCAACATACTGACACACCCAAGGGAGGCGGGAGGGTGGGGAAGACAGCAGCAGAGGGCAAGAAACTTCTAGAACTTCAGGGTCGGCAAAGCCTGTAGCAGTCATTTTGTCAAACTCCATGATGGGGCCACTTGGCTTTTGGCTGCACACCTCTGGGGGAAGAGGCTGCATTGGCGCCCAGGGCCATCTTTCCATTCGGAGCCGTCCTGGGAGAGAGGGCTCAGGCCCAACAGAAAGCTGAAAGCTCTCATCAGGGCAGCCCGAGTCCTGCCATTGGGAGTTGCCCAATCCGAAAGTTTTGCACGCAGGCCCTCAAAGAAGCTGAGGACACCAGTGACCGCCCCACTCCTGGCCCTCTCCCCAGGTCCCTCCTCCAAACCAAATTCCTTTGGTGCCTTCAAGAACATCGTGCAGGCCGGGCACAGTGGCTCACGCCTGTAATCCCAGCACTTTGGGAGGCAGAGGCGGGCAGATGACGAGGTCAACAGATAGAGATCATCCTGGCCAACATACTGAAACCTCATGTCTACTAAAAATGCAAAAATTAGCTGGGCTTGGTGGCGCATGCCTGTAGTCCCAGCTACTCAGGAGGCTGAGGCAGGAGAATCGCTTGAACCCGGGAGGTGGAGGTTGCAGTGAGCCGAGATCACGCCACTATGCTCCAGCCTGGCCACAGAGTGAGACTCTTGTCTCAAAACAAAACAAAACAAAAAACAACAACATCGTGCAGGCTGTGGTTTCCAGAAGCCACGCCAGCTCCTTGATTGCCAATAAACATCCCGCTGTGGGGTGGCCAGGACCGAGTGCCAATTAGTGACAGAGTGCCCAGACCAAACCGGATGAGGATCTTGCAGTTGACCTCAACATGACTGTGCCCAGAATTTCCTTGGTGGCAATGTCAACAGTCTCTTCCTAGATGCCCCCAGACTTCATCAATGCATGATGCTTCAGTGCACTCTTTTCAAATGTCGGGGTGGGTTTTTTTTTTTTTCCACAAAACTTCAAGCATCTACTAAAGTAGAGGGAGGAGTGTAATGAACTCCGGTACCCATCACTCAGCTTCCACGGTTTCATCTCATTTCATCTGTGACCCCTCCACTACCCTTTCTTCCTGATTCTTGGAAGCAAATCCAAGACATCACACCCTTCCCTCTGTAAATCTTTACTATGTTCCTCTAGGAGAAAAGGGCTCTTCTCAATACATAACCACAAGTCATCATCACACCGACAAGTGTAACAATATTTCCTGAATAGCTTCAAATATCCTAGTAGTGTTCAAAAAATGTCATACGTATTTTCAGTCTGCTTGAATCAGGGCTCAAATAAGGTCCACACATTCAGATTGACTGATATGCCTTTTGACTACCTTTGAATCTAGAGGTTCCCTTTCTATCTCCCTGCAATTTATTTGTGGAAGCAAGCAAGTCGTTCATGACGTAGCCTAACAGGCCCCTCTGACGTTGTTCATTATGATTTTTCTGTAAATTGGTAGTTGATCTGAGGATCTGGCCAGAGGCAGGTTGGATTTGTTGGTGTGTTTTGGCAAGGAGAGTGTCTCTTTTCTGGGGTGTTGGCAGCTACTGAAACTCAATGCCCAGACCAATTAAACCACTGGGGATGGAAAATGACGGCATTCGGACACCTTACCCTGCCTTCACCTATTGGTGACCAAAACCTTAACATCTTCACAGGTCTTCTTACCCTGAGGGTATATGCCACTAGGTTGTGTAGTAAACCGGTGTGTTTCCAGTCCCTTAGAATAGTCCCTCTCTAAGTGATATGCCACTCAGTGGATATGCATTTAGCTTCATTTCTTTTGTTGCTGATTTTCAGAGATTGCTCTGTAAATTTAAACTTTTATTTTACTTTATTTTATTTTTTCGAGACAGTCTTACTCTGTCGCCCAGGCTGGAGTGCAGTGGCGCGATCTCAGCTCACTGCAACTTCCGCCTCCTCGGTTCGAGCGATTCTCCTGCCTCAGCCTCCCGAGGAGCTGGGACTACAGGTGCCCGCCACCACGCCCAGCTAATTTTTTTTATTTTTAGTAGAGACAGGGTTTCACCATGTTGGCCAGGCTGGTCTCCAACTGCTGACCTCAAGTCGTCCGCCCACCTCGGCTTCCCAAAGTGCTGGGATTACAGGTGTGAGCCACCGCCCCCGGCCACTTAAATTTTGTTTTATAATTATGTAATAAAACAGTTAAAAGTCTCAAATTAAAATCTAGAAAAGAAGGTGTATTTGAAGAAGTCTGGCTTCTCTGCGCCACCACCGACCGCCCCTTCCCTACCTGCCTGTATTTCCTCGAATCACTTTGCCTGGGAGCTGACTTTGATTCTCTTGCTCATTGCTTCATGAAATTCAGTTCCAGAACTTTCAGGAGGGAGGGGTAGGCCATGACACCAGCTCTAGTTACACTGGTGGCAGCTCCTGTCCCCTCCCCCACTGCTGCTGGGACCTGTTCTCTCCTTTGCCCCCTTGTCCCTGCACTGCCCAATTTGGACCGCAAGGGTTGCCAGGGAAGGGCACTGGCTGCCTTGTTTTCAGAGGTCGTAGCACCTAGATTGCTCCAGCCCCTTGCACTTGCCTGCAGGCCAGAGTGTCCCAAACCCTCCCAGTCTCAGCTGCTCTTCCCCAGTTCACCCAAGGTACTTCCCAGGGAAGAGCTGCCGACAGTTTGGGGGTTCTCTGTTCTTAGGTCCATCAGCAACCCCATTGCTCCCCTCTGCTTCCTTCTGCACGGAGACTGACGCCATGCAGGTCTTCAATTGTCAATGGTCTGTCCCTGCTGCTCATACTGGGGGTTCCTGGGGAGCCAGTGCCAGGTATCGGGATTGCAGACATTGTCTGTGGGTTTCCAGAAGCTCCTTGTGTTAGGAACATATGGGGCCCGTGCACAGAGGGCAGCAGAGGCCTTGTGGGATCCAGCTGTGCTAGGGGTGAGATTTATCTGTCTCTCCTGGCCATAGCCAGGAAATCCCCATTTTTCTTAAGCTAGCTTGAGTTGGGCTTTTCTAACACACAGCTAAAGAATCTCTTGATAAACCTTGGGACTCTCCATGAGGCCTTATATGGCAGCAGGTCTGTGGCTTGCAATCCCTTCAAGTAATCTGCCAAAAACAATGTTATGACGAAGGTCCTTCCAACACAAAAGGTGTAGAGCCCTAGCAAACTCCTACAGAAGAAAAAGGAGAAATAATTCGTTTGTAGTCCCAGCTACTTGGGAGGCCAAGGTGGGAGGATCACTTGAAGTCAGGAGTTCGAGACCAGCCTAGGCAACATAGCCAGACCCCATCTCTACAGAAATAAAAAAAATTGCCATTGTGGTAATGCACGGCTTGTAGTCCCAGGTACTCGAGAGGCTGAGGCAGGAGGATCGCTTGAGCCCAGGAGGATCGCTTGAGCCCAGGAGTTCCACGTTGCAGTGAGCTATGATTGTGCCACTATACTCCAGCCTGGGTGACAGAGCAAGACTTTGTCCCAAAAAAAAAAAAAAAAGAAAAGAAAGAAAGGAAAAGAATAAAAGAGAAATTACCATAGATTGGGTGGCTTTTAAATGATAAATGTATTTCTCACAGCTCTGGAGGCTGGAAGTCAGGGTGCTAGCGTGGTGGGCTCTGGCGAGGACCCTCTTCCTGACTGCAGATTGCCAACAACTCATTGTATCCTCACATGGAAGAAAGAGAGCTAGAGAGCACTCTAGGGACTCTTTTTCTTGTTTGTTTTAATTAAAAAAAAATTTTTTTTACATGGGCATGCCATGTTGCCCAGGTTGGATTTGAACTCCTGGGCTCAAGCAACCCTCCAGCCTCAGCCTCCCAAAGTGCTGGGATTACAGGCATGAGCCACCATTCCCAGCTAATTTGGGCTGTTCCCAAAGGCTCAAGTGATCCTCCCACGTTGGCCTCCTGAGTAGCTGGGGCTACAGGCGTGAGCCACCATGCCCAGCTTCTAGGACCTCTTTTATAAGGGCACTAATCCCATTCATGAGGGCCCCACTCACTCTGCACACATGACCTAAATGACCTGCCAAAGGCCCCACCTCCTAATACCATCACCTTGGGGGTTGGGATTTCAACACAGAAATTTATGGGGGGCACGTACATTCAGATCATCATGAACAGTAACTCCTATGTGTGACAGAAGGTGACAGAGGTGGGTAGTGGTCTTCCCCTCAAGGGGGTGAGTTGCCACTAGCTGGGGAATCTTCTGGAAGGCAAATGCATATGAGCTGGGCTTTACAGGAGGCAAGCGTTTCTCTATGGAAGGGCAGAGGACTGTGGGAGGTAGGAGGTGGGGCTGGGGCAAAGGGAAGAGGGGAGCAGGGAAGTGGGGTGACTGCACACTGGGAGTGGGGAATCAGATGGAGGAGACGATGAGGAGTTCTGTTAAGTTCAAGATGCCAGTGCCAGTGACCAGCGGGCGATGGTCTCTGGCTTGAGGGACAGGATGGAGGGGAGACTGTCTGAGGATGGACAAAGCTGGAGGGAAACAGCCAATTGCAAAGGCAGGAGGGCGGAAGGGGGAGGGGAGAGGTGGGATCAGCACTGGTATAGACAGGCGGTGCTGCAGCCCAGCTCCTCTCTCTCCTCTGCCTCCTGCCCTCAGGCCCCTTCGAAGGCCCGAATTACCACATCGCTCCCAGATGGGTGTACCACCTCACCAGTGTCTGGATGATCTTTGTGGTCATTGCATCCGTCTTCACAAATGGGCTTGTGCTGGCGGCCACCATGAAGTTCAAGAAGCTGCGCCACCCGCTGAACTGGATCCTGGTGAACCTGGCGGTCGCTGACCTGGCAGAGACCGTCATCGCCAGCACTATCAGCGTTGTGAACCAGGTCTATGGCTACTTCGTGCTGGGCCACCCTATGTGTGTCCTGGAGGGCTACACCGTCTCCCTGTGTGGTAAGCCAGTCGGGGCCCAGGCTCAGCGGAAACCACTCATTCACCCTGCAAGCCCCTCCGGCCACCTCATGATGATCGGGGCCCAGCTGCTCCTGTAGGCCTGTCTCCCTCCACATCTGCGCCTCACATCCATATACTGAAGGGTTCTGGAGGCTTCCATCTGAACACTCACATTAAATTCAGCTCCCTTGAGTCAAACATACCCTGAGTTCCTACTCTTGAGTCAGGCTCTGCCCGGGGACAGCCAGTTTGGAGCTGTGGGGCTGGTGTGGGAGGAGACAGATACAGAGCTAGACAACCCCAGAACAGTAGGGGGGCGGGGACTCTGGGCACCCTGGACAGAACTCCCCTGCAATTAGGGATGCCTGCTCTTTCAGCTCGCCAGCATCTGCTTTTCCCGGAGGAGACACAATTCCCAGATCCTCTCCCCATCCCCATCACTAATATCTCTGTGGGCCACTATTCCGCTCAGGTCAGGAGACAGTGGCCGAGAGGTACTAGCGTGCCAGGCTCTGTGCTAAGGAGGGGGCCCTATAGCCAGACGGCAACCACACAGTACCATCATCAGTCCTCTCAGACAAGAAGGGGCCTGGGGCAGGTGGTGGAGGAGCGGCTGGGAGCAGTTTGTGGTTCGAGTGGATAGAGTACCACCAAGCAGCCGTGGCTGCTGGACACGAGGTGGGCAGGCCCAGGTCTCAGAGGCCTCAGACGTCATGCCCAGGAGCTGGGACTTTCTTTCAGGAGGAGGAGACCCCACATCCAGCAGCAGCAGCTCCTGCTCTTGCCTCCCCACCACTCTTAGCAGCCTCCCCAACCCCACCCCGTTAACTGCCTCAAATTGTACCCACGATGGCCCAGACCAGAGAGGGTGCTTGTCCAAGTCCCGGCACTACCCCGATAGTGTAGAAGGGGAGCCAAGGGAAGGTCAGGCAGAGAAGGTCCATCCCCAGGTCCGAGTGCTCTCTGCAGCAGGCATGGCCTCGGTGGTCACACGACCCTTCCCGAGTGCCCCCCTGCATCTCCGCCCACGTCTGTCTCCGTTTCTGCCATGGTCTCCCGCTCACCCTTGCCTCTGCTCATGGTCTGTTCTTGGGTCAGTCAGGTGCCAAGCAGCCAGCACTTCCCCACCACTTTTGGTCCACGGATGCCCTTGGCCATCTGGGAAGCCTGTGGACCCCATCTCAGGAGAATTTTTGCAAACGCATAAAATGAGACCCATAGGATTACAAAGGCAGCAAATTATACTGAAATACAGTTATCAAAGTATTAAACATTCATCAGTAACATAGTCTTTAGTTAAAAGCATTTACTGGCCAGGCTCATACCTGTAATCCCAGCACTTTGGGAGGCTGAGGTGGGAGGACTGCTTGCCTCCAAGAGTTTGAGACCAGCCTGGGCAACATAGTGAGACCTCTTCTCTACAACAAATAAAAACAGCTGGGCGTGGTGGCACACCAGTAGTCCCAGCTACTCAGGAGGCTCAGGCGGGAGGATCGCTTGAGCTCTGGAGGTCAAGGCTGCAGTGAGCTATGATGGCACCACTGCACTCAGCCTGGGCAACAGAGTGAGATTCTGTCTCAAAAAGTAAATAAAAATAAAAGCATGTGTTAAACGTATTAGTGACACCACTCAGTATTAAGGTATTAAGTAACAGGATCCCGCCTGACAACCACTGTTATTTCAGAGTAGTGATGAACATAAGTGGTATTCGAACTCTCTGCCACCTCTATGAATTGACAGGAAAACATCTGTGACCTCTCTTGCTGACCGAGTCACGGGTACTGCTAATACTGCCACGTTCATAATGGAAGGAAATTTCCAGTGTCTGTTCGAGGTTGGTGGAAAGAAAGATGTCGTTTTTTCCACCTCAGTCCGTGGAGCCCTGAATTCTGTGTGCAGACGTTTGGGGTCTAAGCAGGACAGTGGGAAGCTTTGCTTCCCACCTTTGCTTTGGCTCAAAGCCCTCATCTGTCTGCTCTCCCCATAGGGATCACAGGTCTCTGGTCTCTGGCCATCATTTCCTGGGAGAGATGGATGGTGGTCTGCAAGCCCTTTGGCAATGTGAGATTTGATGCCAAGCTGGCCATCGTGGGCATTGCCTTCTCCTGGATCTGGGCTGCTGTGTGGACAGCCCCGCCCATCTTTGGTTGGAGCAGGTAAGGGTGCGAGGACGCAAGATGGAGTGGGCAGGGTCAGACTCTGTGACCTTAAGGCAAATCACTTCCTTTCTCTGGGCCCCTCTGAGCGTGCAATGTCTATCAATGTATGAATGTGGCTGCAACATAGGAAAGGCTCTGTGGTCCCCGAACCTCTGGAAACATATTTATCCCAAGCACGATCAGGTCACAGGCGCACACGGAGCTCAGGCCATCAGCACAGCTGTCAGTGAACGCATAGCGTGTTTGCATTCCAGGTCTCTTTCTTGCACACGCTGCCGCACCACGCCCCCCACCTTTCAGAGGCTGCTTGGGTCATAGATCCACCTGGGCCTACAGAGCACATGTCCTGGCCAGGCCAAGCAAGTGGCTCAAATGTTTGATTGGAGTGGACTGGGTGGGACAGCATTTCACTGTTTTATCGACAAGCTCGTGAATAAGTTCTCGTGGTGTTTGGAGAGGGAATGTTCTTTCCTCGAGAACGTTCCACAATTCTAGGAAACAAACCTTGTGGAAGCCTGTCTCTGTCTCCCGCCCTCCTCATGCCGCCATGCCCCACACAGCTGCCCGTTATCAAACATGTGTGGTGAGCTGACCCTGGTGGAGGCTCTCCCGCGGGTTATCTCATTTAATCCTCCAGGCCACTAAGTGAGCAGGGCCCTTTATTTCAGTCATGGCCTAGCTGACCTCAGATAAAAGACTCAGCTCTTCATGGGTGTTCTCAGAAGGTCAGGGCAAGAAGGAACCTCACAATCCCTTTGTAAAGAAGGGGAGTGATTGGGAAGATGAAAATGTCCTGGAAGCAGATAGTGGAGATGGTTGCACAGCATTGTGAATGTACCAAAGGTCACAATGGTACTTTTTTCTTTTTTTGAGACAGGGTCTCACTCTGTCACTCAGGCTGGCACAGTGCAGTGGTGTAATTATGGCTCACTGCAGCCTCCACCTCCTGGGCTCAAGTGATCCTCCTACCTCAGCCTCCTGAGGAGCTGGGCCTACAGGTGCACCACTTCACCCAGCTAATTTTTTTTATTTTTTGTAGAGACAAGATCTCACTATGTGATCCAGGCTAGTCTTGAACTCCTGGGCTCGAGCAATCCTCCTACCTCTGCCTCCAAATGTGCTGGGACTATAGGCGTGAGCCATTGTGCCTGGCCTATAATGGTACATTTTATGTGATGTGTATTTTACCACAATTCAAAAAGAAGAAAGGCATGACATCTAAAAATGGACAAGGATTAACCAAAATCCTACCCAACGGTTTTGTTTTGGGTTGATGAAAATGTTCTGGAAGCAGAGGTGGTGACTGCCACAGAATTGATCACTTCAAATTGGGTAATCTCATGCAACATGAATTTCACCTCAATTTAAAAAAACAAACCCCACCCGAGTTAGCACCGTGCCTGGGCCGGGGGTCCTGGGTCACCCCACCCTGCATCAGGACTGGCTGCCGGCCCTTCTCTCCAGGTACTGGCCCCACGGCCTGAAGACTTCATGCGGCCCAGACGTGTTCAGCGGCAGCTCGTACCCCGGGGTGCAGTCTTACATGATTGTCCTCATGGTCACCTGCTGCATCACCCCACTCAGCATCATCGTGCTCTGCTACCTCCAAGTGTGGCTGGCCATCCGAGCGGTAAGCCCCCCGATTCCTCCTGGCCTCACCCGCCTCCTGCCCCTAAGCTGCTCTGCCCTCAAATGAGTCCACTGAGACTCCTAAACTATTTTTCCAAAAATCCTTAGAGAAGAGGATTTTACCCCTATAAGAAAATATTAAGATCCAGCGATGAGAATCAGGTGATTCCTTTGGGACTGTACCAGTGGCTGCAGGTTCAGCCCCAGCCCCGTTGTCCTCAGCTCTGTGAGACGGGAAAGCACTGCCACTCCCTCCCTGGAGGAGTCCACTAAGGGAACAGAGGTGTGCCTTGCCCCGACCCTGGACAGTTCTCCCCGGGGTGGAAAGGCTGCCTTTCCCACAGAGTAGAGTGGAGCAGCCACATCAGCAAATGACACCTGCAAATCAAGGCGTGTTTTT
This sequence comes from Homo sapiens, assembly GCF_000001405.40. Classification (NCBI taxonomy): domain Eukaryota; kingdom Metazoa; phylum Chordata; class Mammalia; order Primates; family Hominidae; genus Homo; species Homo sapiens. The sequence continues at coordinate 154,229,393 of NC_000023.11, forward strand.
ATGAGGCTGCCACCGGAGTACCCTTGTCCTTTTCATAGGCTGTGGGGCCGACCAAGGAGTGGACCCGAGAGTGCCATTTGCCCCCCTGACCCACTCTCCACCTCCATGTCTGGCCCTCTGCCCTGGGAAGCTGATCCTGTCCACAGCCGTCACCCCCCACCCCTAGACTAGGCTACCACTGGGAGCCCTTCAGGAAGTCAGAGCAAGGGAGGAGAGCCAGGCTGGTTCTTTTCTGTTAGCAGTGGGAGCCCTTTCAGGGTGCTGGCTTTCCTATATGAAGCTGCCTGTGCCCACAATTGGATGGGCATGCCTGCCAAGCTCTCTCTAGAGGAGTCTGTGAGCCTGTGAAAGGCCCCCTCACCCCGTCACCTTGGGGTGAAGGCTCCCACAGGTACCCAACCATGGCTTCGGCTGTATTAGTCTGGGATGGTAGAGCCCCAGCTCCACAATGTGGCCCCGGCTCTGCTGTCTCAGCCATCCCTGCATTCCAGCCCTCACACTCCCTCTCTCATCCCCACTCATCTGCCTGCCGCCAGTCCCTCATCCCTGGCAGGTGGTGGCTGGCCTCTGGCCTCCCCCACAGTGCCTCTGCCTGGAGGCCATTCGTCTCCTTCCTCCCAGCAGGCATGAAGGAGCCACCCCACCAAAGCTGCCCTCAGCTGCCTCACCGTGAGTCCAGGGCAGGATTTAGTCCACAGAGTGGCCAACCTAGCCTAGGAAGCCTGAGGGAAGTGTATGCATTGCTCTGACACTCCCATCGCGCACCCCGCCAGCCACTGCTTTTGCCTCCCCCGCCATCTCCACCTTGTTAACTCCTTCATTCTCCACGCCCAGTCATCAATCAAATCAGGCCTCCATGCTCAGGCCTGAGCGCAGGACAGGACAGTCTGTTAAGGGATCAGGTGAAGCAAAGGAGCTTGTTAGATCCAGCTCTGGGGTCATCTTAGGCCACACCTAGCTGCATGCCACCTCCAATTCTAGAACTCCCCCAGGGCCAGCCTGAGGCAGCCATGTCTGCCTGGGGCCGGCTGTGCTCCACTCAGGGCTGGAAGATGGCTGCTGGGCTCCTCTCCTCCTCCCCACAACTCCCTATGCCTGGGTCACCTGCCTCTTGCTGCCCTCCAACCCCCGACTCACTATCCCTGTCTCCCTTAGGTGGCAAAGCAGCAGAAAGAGTCTGAATCCACCCAGAAGGCAGAGAAGGAAGTGACGCGCATGGTGGTGGTGATGGTCCTGGCATTCTGCTTCTGCTGGGGACCCTACGCCTTCTTCGCATGCTTTGCTGCTGCCAACCCTGGCTACCCCTTCCACCCTTTGATGGCTGCCCTGCCGGCCTTCTTTGCCAAAAGTGCCACTATCTACAACCCCGTTATCTATGTCTTTATGAACCGGCAGGTAAGCAACACCATCAGCAGATCCCACTCAAAATACCGTGTGCCCTAGAAGGGTGCAGCGATGGCCCCACCTGGAATCATGTCTCTGATAAGAAGCCCGCGGAGCATCTGGGGGACCCTCCAGGGAAATGACCGGGAAAGGCTCAGCGTGTGACCCAGCCCCAGCCAGAGCTCCGGCTGGCCCTTAGCAGAAGGCTTAGGTGTGCCCTCTGGAATCCTTTATAGTCTCGGCCTGAGGGTGGCATTTCCCAAAGCGTCTGTGTGCCGTGCGCTCTTCCCTTCCGGTGGCCCTAGAACTATGGCTGCCGAGCTTCAGGGGCTCTCCTGGCGTTCAGACGCTCTAGGAGTTGGTGAGCCCTAGGTACATCCACCCTAGGTGTGCCCCTCTTCTGTTCAGACTCGACCCTTCTCAACCTTCATCTCTCCATTTTCAAACCGTAACCTCTGGAATTTGTCTTCCTATAAGAACAAAAGCCGGCCCTCCTTGGCTACACTGACCAAGAGTTCAAGAGCTTTCACGAGTTTGTGGGTTAGTTCAGGGGGGACGTGCTGTGGTCCTGCCCAGAGGCAGCCTCCTTAGCTGGCATATTGGGCCTCAGCAGCAAGCTGCTCACACACCTAAATCCCCCCACCTCCTGCAGGTTACAGGCTTCATTAAAGCGCAGCTGTGATGTGACTTGATGGTGGCCAGAAAGGTGTGCAGAGGCCTCCCATTTCACCAGGCCCAGTCCATCCCTTCCACTGGGCTCTTCCTTGCTTCTCCATCTTAGAGCCACTCAATGGCTCCAGCCCCTTTGGCTCAGCTTTGACTCACACAAGCCAAGTCTGCAGAGTTCATTAAGGGTTCATTCTCTCTGGTAACTTTTAAATAGTAAGTAGGACCAGGCCTGCAGTGGATTTCCGGGAACTCGCTGTAGCACACTGATGCCCAGAGTGTAGTTCTATCCCTGACCCCTGTTTCCTGACTTTCATGAGGATCTTTTTTAGGTTTCTGGAATCCTAAACTATCTTGCCAAGTACTGTCTTTACTGGATTATTTCCATTCTCCTTTCCAGAACTCCCCCTGGACAGGGGGAGACAGATGTCTGCACTTCTGGACCTCACCAGGCCTCGAACTTTGCTTTTACCCTTTCCACATAATTATCCTGTCCTGCCACATTCTGAGAGAATTTTCTGGAACGCAGTTCCATGAAGACAGCAAATTTTGCTCAGGACAGAGTCTGGCACACAGTGGGTGCTCAAGCAGCAGCTGCTGAATGGATTCCTCAGCCCTATCTCCCAGCTCTTCAGCCGAGCTGATTCTGCTGTTTGTCCCGTTTCTTATGTTATTAATTTCAACCATTATATTTTTTATTTTTGAGAGTTTTGATGATAGAGGGAGTTAGAGCTAGTCAAGAGTAGGCCTGAAATATTTAGAAAATGCCTTTGGTCTGGGTCCTCAAAGCATTGTGGTTACTTCAGGGATGACACAGGACATGATTTGAGACATTCATATGGCCCAGATCTCTTTGGGGTGAAGCAGCAAAGACAGACCCCTCCTGGTACCGGAAGACGCTTGGCTGGAGAGATGAGGTAGGGGCTAGATTGTCATTACCTAGGCCTCACCTTGCCCCAGATCCATGGACTGGAAAAAACATGACAACCACATGCCTTTTCATTAATATTCCTCCGAGCCGCTCACCAGACAGTCTGGGGACAGGTCACCACTGCCCCTTAGCTGTCACTGTGGATGAGTGTCATGGGGCTGCCGTCACAAACTACCACAAACTCAGTGGCTTCAAACCACAGAAATGGATTCTCTCAGGGTTCTGGAAATCTTGAGTCTGAAATCAGGGTGTTGGCAAATGGAAAGGTTCCCTATGGAGGCCGGGAGGGAGAAGCAGCTGCAGGGCTGCCGGCAGTCTTTGGCGTTCCTTGACTCCAAGGTGTGTCACCCCAGTCTCTGCCTTCATCTTCACGTGGCCTTCTTCCCTCTGTCTGCGTGTCCGTGTCCAAGCGTTCCTTTTCTTATCAGGACACCAGTCATTCGATTAGGGCCCACCCTGCTCCAGTGTGACCTCATCTTAACCTGAACACATCTTTTGGGGGACCCACTTCAACCCAGTGTAGTCACCATCAACTGCTAAGTCAGATGACATCCCCGCGTGTGAGGGAGAAATAATCCAAGCCTTCCTCCATCCCCCATGGGATTCGGAATGGGTGAAGGGAAGGCTCGGGCACGTACATTCAGCACAGTGCTCCACCCTTCCCTGCTCTGCTCAATAACGCTTTCTGTCCTTCCAGTTTCGAAACTGCATCTTGCAGCTTTTCGGGAAGAAGGTTGACGATGGCTCTGAACTCTCCAGCGCCTCCAAAACGGAGGTCTCATCTGTGTCCTCGGTATCGCCTGCATGAGGTCTGCCTCCTACCCATCCCGCCCACCGGGGCTTTGGCCACCTCTCCTTTCCCCCTCCTTCTCCATCCCTGTAAAATAAATGTAATTTATCTTTGCCAAAACCAACAAAGTCACAGAGGCTTTCACTGCAGTGTGGGACCACCTGAGCCTCTGCGTGTGCAGGCACTGGGTCTCGAGAGGGTGCAAGGGGGATAAAGAGGAGAGAGCGCTTCATAGACTTTAAGTTTTCCCGAGCCTCATGTCTACCGATGGCGTGAAAGGATCCTGGCAAAACAGAAGTGTGAGGCAGGTGGGCGTCTATATCCATTTCACCAGGCTGGTGGTTACATAATCGGCAAGCAAGAGCTGTGGAGGGGCTTGCTGGATGCCCTCAGCACCCAGGAGGAGGGAGGGAGCTAGCAAGCTAAGGCAGGTGGCCCTCCTGGCCCCTTAAGGTCCATCTGCTGGAGGCCCAGAGTCCTTGGAGTACAGTCTACACCTGGAGGGGACCCATTCCTGCCAGTCTGTGGCAGGGATGGCGCGCCACCTCTGCCAGGCCAGGACCCCAAGCCCGATCAGCATCAGCATGGTGCAGGTGCACAGGCGTGAGCTGATCAGTGACGAGGGGCAGGCACACAAGGTGGAGACAAAGACCAAGAGGACGGTTGCCAGTGAGAGGCGCGGACTCAGGAACTTGAACAACATCTGCGGGGGACGGCTTTGGAGGTGCTCCGCTGCCTCCAGTTGGGTGACTTGCTGTAGCATCTCCAGCTTGGATATTCGGCTCTTGAAGGTCTCCGTGATCTCCTGCAGGAGACGAAAATGCACGCACCAGAAGTCAGCACAGAGTTGTGGTCGTTTATTGAGTTCTTAGGGGTGAGCAGAAAGCACTGTGGAGTGGGTATTCGAGGAGGGAAGCAGAGAGCCTAGAGCACATTCAGGGCAGAGGGGAGGGCGCAGGCTCTCCAGCAACAGGGAAAGCTTCATCTGACCCGGCTGCACTCCCCCATCCACTGTCTCCCGAAGCTGAGGACCTGGTCAAGACACAGCTACCCAGGGACGGGGGTGGGCGCTATGGGAATGGAAAAGTGAGGAGAGGGAAGCCAGGTCTAAGGAGGGGTTCTGAGAGGGCGCTCCCTACACCTGCAGCCGCAGCAGAAGCAGCTCCACCCCAGATCTCCCGAGTCAGAGGCTCACGGGTGAGCACTGCAGCACCAGAGTGGCAAAAGCAGCTAAGCCAGATGGTGGGAAGCGGAGCGTGAGTGTAAAGATCAGATGCTGCTAGCTCTGAAACAAATGTGTGTGGCCATCGAACCCTCAGGAGGGGGCAGCTCGAGGACCCGTGTCTTGCTTTGGTTTGGGGGTATCAGAATAGATTCGCTCATCCCTCCAGTCTTCTTGCAAGGCTCCCCCAGGAGGTTCTCACCCATATTTCCTTGGCTCTCTCATAGGATAGATAGGCCATTCTCTCTTCGCTGCAGGCCAGATTGTGTTTGAGGTTGTAAATCTCATTCAGCTGTCCCTGCAGGCGACCATTCACCTGTTCTTCCATCAATGCTTGCCTTGGGAGCAAAAGAGAAAGTGAGATTCCTTCAGTACCTCATCCAGAGCTCATGCCAACAGCGAGCGGTCCTGACCTAGACTAGATTCGGGTTCAGCTTCTGCCTTCCTCCCCGCTCCCCAGGCTCTAGGGAAAGCCTGCCTCCCACTCCAGGTCTGCCTGGGAACACCCCAAACACACACCAGCCACACGCACACCAATATTCATATATATTTTATATGTAGTTACTCTTTTGTAACAGCTTTACAAAAATAGCCACAGACTAGAAGTTGTAGAAATGACAGTGTGAACTATCTGTGTGTGCTCTTCAGTTCCGCAAATCCCCCAGGACCAGTGTTGAGCACGAAGTCTAGCCTGCAGTTTAGCCTGCAGTTACTCTATAGAAACATGGTGACTATAAGGATTGAAAAGCCACAAAAGACCACAGATTCCAGTACAATTCCATTAGTTACGAAATGTCCAGAATAGGCAAATCCATAGAGACAGAAAGCAGATTAGTGGGTGCCAGGGGCTGGGGGTGGGGGATGGGCAGTGGCTGCTAATGAGTACAGGGTTGCTTTGGGGCTGGTGAAAATATTGTAGGACCGGGCACGGTGGCTCACGCCTGTAATCCCAGCACTTTGGGAGGCCAAGGCGGGCGGATCATGAGGTCAGGAGATCGAGACCATCCTGGCTGACACGGTGAAACCCCGTCTGTACTAAAAATACAAAAAAAAATTAGCCGGGCGTGGTGGCGGACGCCTGTAGTCCCAGCTACTCGGGAGGCTGAGGCAGGAGAATGGCGTGAACCCGGGAGGCGGAGCTTGCGGTGAGCAGAGTTCACACCACTGCACTCCAGCCTGGGCGACAGAGCGAGACTCCGTCTCAAAAAAAAAAAAAAGAGAATATTGTGGAATTAGATAGTGGTGATGGTTGAACAACTCTGTGACTATACGAAAAACCAGTGAATTGTACACTTTAAATTGGTGAATTTTATGGGATGTGAATTATATCTCAATAGAGCCGTTATTTAAACAAAAAGAGAAAAGTGAATCATGGCAATAGTTGCGCAACTCAGTAAATTTACTAAAAACCATTGAAATGTAGTTAAAATGGTGCATTTTATAATATGTAAATTATATCTCAATAGAGCTGTTAAAAAACCACAAGCAGGCCAGGCGCAGTGGTTCACAGTTGCAATCCCAGCGCTTTGGGAGGCCAAGGCAAGGGGATTGTTTGAGGCCAGGAGGAATTCAACACCAGCCTGGGCAACACAGTGAGACCCTGTCTCTACAAAAAAAATTTTTAATTATCTGGGTGTGGTGGCACGCGCCTGTAGTCTCAGCTACTCTGGAGGCTGAGGCAGGAGGACCTCTTGAGTCCGGGAGTTCGAGGCTGCAGTGAGCTGCCATCACGCCACTGCACTCCAGCCTGGGCAGCAGAGTGAGACCCTATCTCTAAAAGAAAACAATCACTACCTGTTGTGTATATAATTATATAAGTAGTAAAAGTATAAAACCATGCATGGAAAAGATAAGCACCCAAATGAGAATGGTGAGGCCAGTATAGCAAGGCCAGAATAGCAAGGAAGGGAGATGGTGCTGGAAAGGGGTAATGAGGGCTTCAACAGAATATTTTAAAGTTTTATTTCCTAAAAAAATAAGATTTGAAGTGAATATGGCAAATGTTAAGATTTCAGAAAGCTGGGGCTGTTAATTATGTTATCCTTACATTTTCCCTTTGCTTGAAATACTTCATAATTTAAAAACTTCTATGAAGTTCCCCTTTTGGCACCACAAAGAACGGGCCAGAAGGACAGAGGCCAGGGGGCCAGTGAGGGGGCTCTGGCACCACCGCTTACGTAGAAGAGAGAAGGCACCAGAGCGTGATGGAACCCATAGACTGGCAGGGCTGCCGCCCCAGGAGGCCCAGGAGGGTGGCGGCAGGCCTCAGGTGCAGGAGGTCTAAACGGTGGTGCTGACAGAGACGGGGAAAACAGTGACGACTTCTATTCGGTCCCACTCCAAGGACTTGACCAACACCCACACGGAGAAATCCCCCGGGCACTGAATAAGCTGACAGCTCATTTGTTGAAAGCCAATTTGTCAAAAGCTGGTTCCTCGCAGCATTTCAAGGAATATTCCATTTGTCTCTGCCCCAGGTCCCTGTTAAGAAGAGAGTCGGTGGACAACATGGACTAGGCCACTGCTCACAGAGAGGGGGAGTGGGTCGGCAGGATGGTCACCCCGAAAATAGATTCCTCATTACTGTCTTTCCATTTACATGAATGATCTAGCTGTGAGAACATTCAAGATTTTAACTGTCCTCAGGAATATGAAGTCAATCTTCATCAATGTATTGGTAAAGATACATGAAGATATTCTTCAGTGCATTCTTGAAGAGTCTATTCAGATGTCAGTAAACAATATTTTCATAAGGATATTCTCTCAGTCTCCCCTTCTCTCTGGCCCCCATCTCCTGGCCCTCTGGCAGCCGCGCTCCCTTCTCTTCCTTGGTCAAGGACCCCCCTCTCTCCACCTCCTACAGTCACAAAAGCAAATGGACAACTCTGGAGAATGCTCTTATGAACACAAAACGATGACCAGTCAACCCAGACACCCTCAAGACAGACCGAAGGTGTTAAGACCACCCTCTCCAACACAAAGTGTTCTAAACTTTATTGTTTTTTTCAAAATAGTGTTGTTGTTTTTTTTTTTTGAGACGGATCTCCTTCTGTTTGCCCAGGCTGGAGTGCAGTGGCACGATCTTGGCTTGCTGCAACCTCCGCCTCCCGGGTTCAAGTGATTTTCCTGCCTCGGCCTCCTGAGTAGCTGGGACTACAGGTATGCGCCATCATGCCGGGCTAATTTTTTGTATTTTTAGTAGAGACAGGGTTTCACCATGTTGGCCAGGCTGGTCTCCAACTCCTGACCTCAGGTGACCCGCCTGCCTCGGCCTCCCAAAGTGCTGGGATTACAGGTGTGAGCCATTGGGCCCAGCCGGAAAGAGTATATTCTTGGTCATTTCTGAGAATTTGCTTTTGGCAAATTGAGCTAGAGCCTAATCATGGCCCACAACTTGGAGGAAAAGTCTGAGACGGAGAAACAGCTGTAGGAGGGGTCAATAGCCCAGGTGCAATCGGTGCATGTGGCCAGGATGGATGAGCTCACTCTGAGCAAATGTGCCAAAGCAAGGGGCCCTGGGGAGCTGGGGGAAGAGCCAACAAAACAGAAGCGAAAGCAGGAGGAAATTCGCCAGGACGGCTCACACAGGAACCCAGAGGATGTAGGGATACAGTGGAAAGGTTGAACATACATGTAACTGGGGCCTTAGAAGGGGAAAAATGAGAGACTAGGGCAGAGTCACTATTTGAAAATATAATGGCTGAAAACGTCCAAAACTGACAAAAGACATCAAGCCATAACCCCAAGTAGCAATGCGAAGCCCAAGCAGGATGAATGCAAAGAAAATCACACCAAGGGGAGAGTCAGCGGCACAAAAAAGAAGAGAGAAAGAAAATCACGCCAAACATCATCATAGCAAAACCACTAAACAACAAAGAAAAACAAAAGATCTTAAAAGGAGCCTGAGGAAAACAAAACTGTGATCCGAGGAGCAACAAGAAGACTGGCAGCTGCCTTTTCAACAGAAACCATGGAAGTCAGAAGGGAATGATTTGTTCAAAATGCTTATTATTTCCAAAAATTAAGTGCCAACTTAGAATTCTATGTCCAGCAAAAAATATCCTTCAGGGCCGGGTGTGGTGGCTCACGCCTGTAATCCCAGCACTTTGGGAGGCCGAGGCAGGCGGATCACGAGGTCAGGAGTTCAAGACCGGCCTGGCCAACATGGTGAAACCCCGTCTCTACTAAAAATACAAAAACTAGCCGGGCGTGGTGGCACATGCCTGTAATCCCAGCTACTGAGGAGGCTGAGGCAGGGGAATCGCTTGAACCTGGGAGGCAGAGGTTGCAGCGAGCCGAGATCTCACCATTGCACTCCAACCTGGGTGACAGGGTGAGGCTCTGTCTCACAAAAAAAAAAAAAAAAAAGAATTCCTTCAGAAATAAAAAGGAATGATGGCATGTGTGAGGCAATAAGGTGACAGTGACTGCATATTTAACATTGTGGACTTGTTTTAAAACATTTTTGGTATGGTATTTAGGCTATGTTAACAAAATGATCCATATTTCAGGTTCACACTGAAATATTTACAGATGAACTGATATAATGTCTGTGCTTTGCTTCAACGCAATAGGGATGAGAGGAACCAGTTCAGAGAGCAGATCAGACCTTAGGTCAGACCTCCTCAGAGATCCCAAGATGCAGGATGCTGTGACATGGAGGAGAAGTCGGGGAAAAAATGGAAGTTCTTGTGCCTTCAAGTTAACACGACCCCAGCCTGCAACAAAGCCCTAAGCAGATACCTTGAGGAAAGTCAGCCCGAGACTGGATCCCTGGGGCTGAGAGGTCACAGAGCAACACTGAAGCCTCTAGGAACCATAGCCTGTTATCTCCAAGCCTCGTCTGAAAGCGAAACATACCAGAACAGTCTTGGGACAGAGGAGCTAGGGTCTGGATGCCCCCAAGGACCTCGTGTCCAGAAGGGAAAGAAAAACATGGAGACCTGGCATATTCACTTCCGGGCGTTTTCAATATGACAGGAGGCTATAAGAAAATTTCACGACTGCCCACTTGTGGATACAGCCAGAAATACAAAGCAAGAGTGAAAGTTTTGCCTACTCGGCACCTGAGTAGCTTCTTTTTTATTCAATTTTTATTGAGGTAAATTTCATGTAACATAAAATGAATTATTTTAAGGTGAACAATTCAGTGGCATTTAGCACATGTGGTGTTGTGCAACCACCATGGCTATTAATAGTTCCAAGACATTGGCCGGCTGCAGTCATGCCTGTAATCCCAGCACTTTGGGAGGCCGAGGCGGGCGGATCACGAGGTCAGGAGATCGAGACCATCCTGGCCAACACGGTGAAACCCCGTCTCTACTAAAAATACAAAAATTAGCCGGGCGTGGTGGTGCGCGCCTGTAGTCCCAGCTACTCGGGAGGCTGAGGCAGGAGAATGGCGTGAACCCGGGAGGCGGAGCTTGCAGTGAGCCGAGATCACGCCACTGCACTCCAGCCTGGGTGACAGAACGAGACTCCGTCTCAAAAAAAAAAAAAAAATTGTTCCAAAACATTTTCATCACTGCCTCGAAAAAATACTATTTAGCAGTCACTCCCCATTCCCCATCACCCCAGTCCCTGGTAACCACCAATCTGCTTTCTGACTTGAGTAGCTTCTTATCTCTGAACCTCTACCAGCAATTTATGAATGAGAGATGGACAAGACCATCAGGTATGTGGAGACGGTCCTAGAGAAGCTGCTAGAAAGTGACAGACAACCAGAGTAAGGGGTAGTGGAGCACTGTAATGCTGTGGAGAGGAGAGGGCAGCAGGAATGACAAACCCAGGAGGCATTGACTCAGGGAAAGAAGAGGAAGGCAGGGTCAGGTCGAGATCTTGGCCAAATCCCTGAGCTCATCAACCTAGGGTGCTCCATTGATGAATTTATCAAGAGTCATTGGCCGGGAGTGGTGGCTCACGCCTGTAATCACAGCACTTTGGGAGGCCAAGGCAGGTGGATCATTTGAGATTAGGAGTTGGAGACCAGCCTGGCCAACATGATGAAACCCCGTCTCTACTAAAATATGCAAAAATTAGCTGGGCGTGGTGGTGCATGCCTGTAATCTCAGCTACTCAGGAGGCTGAGACAGGAGAATCACTTGAATCCGGGACGCAGAGGTTGCAGTGAGCTGAGATCAAGCCACTGCACTCCCTCCAGCCTGGGCAGCAGAGCAAGACACCACCTCAAAAAAAAAAAAAAGCCATTAACAACTTTCTTTCTTTCTTTCTTTCTTTCTTTCTCTTTCTTTCTCTCTCTCTCTCTCTCTCTCTCTCCCTCTCTCTCTCTCTCTCTCTCCTCTCTCTCTCTCTCCTCTCTCTCTCTCTCTCTTTCTGTTTTTTTTTTGAGACAAGTTCTCACTCTGTCCTCTATCACCCAGGCTGGAGCACAGTGGCACAATCATAGTTCACTGCAACATAAAACTCTCGGGCTCAAGCGATCCTCCTGTCTCAGCCTCCCATGTAGCAGGGACTACAGGCATGTGCCACCAAGTCCGGTTAATACTTTTAAAATTTTTTGCAGAGATATGGTCTCACTTTGTTACCCAAGCTGGTCTCAGACTCCTGGGCTGAAGCAATCCTCCTGCCTCGACCTCCCAAAGCACTGGGATTACAGCCATAAGCCACCACATCTGGCCCCATTTTTCTTTACGATCTTTCAAGGACTTAGTTTGCACATAGGAAGCAGAAAGGAATTGTAAATTCAGTTCCATCAGCATCTACTTGGGGCTTACACACAAGTATTAATTAATTCTCACAACAGTTCCAACAATAGTGGGATCATTTTTACCTCCATGTTACAGATGTGGAAACTGAGGATTGCAAACTTGAAGCACCTCGTCCAAGGTCATTCAGTAAATACCTTGCAGAGAGGAGGCTGGGCCAGGCCTAAATCCAGAATCAGCCCTCCTGGCCCTGCCCTGATGTTCCCAAGACACAGCAGATAGAGTTCTGACATACATGGAGGAGGGAGGCAGCCCAGAGGGCGAGCTGGGTCCCTTCAGGAAGGGAGGAAAAGCAGCATCCAGACTGATCCATGAAACAGGTACTCACAGAACAGCCATCATGTGCCAACATGTCTTTGGGCAGTCACTCAGACACAGTGGCCGACCTGAATGTGCTGATATTTTGACGAGAACAATACAACACAAATGAATACCTACACAAGGGAGAGCAGTTTAGGCGGTGAGTGCTGCGAGAAAGGAAAAAGTAGGGGAGTGACAAAGACTGGTCCGGAGTATATAAAGAGCTCTGACAACTCAACAATAAAAAGACAATCCAAGTTGAAAACAAGCCAAAGACTTATTGGCTGATAAGCACATGAAAAGGGGTTCAGCATCATTAATTGTCAGAGGCAGGGTCACACACCCACTAGTCTCATGGGCTAGGATACTGGTTCTCAACCAGGGGCAATTTGCCGGCCCCCCCCTCCCCAAACAAGGGACATTTGGCAATCTCTGGACAGACATTTCTGGTTGTTACAAATAGGTGGGGCACGGTAGGCTAAAATTGCCCCCCTAGGCTGGGCACGGTGGCTCACATCTGTAACCCCAGCACTTTGTGAGGCTGTGGTGGGCAGATTACCTGGGCTCAGGAGTTCAAGAACACCCTGAGCAACAGGGTGAAACCCCGTCTCTATGAAAAATACAAAAAAATTAGCTGGGTGTGGTGGCACGCGCTTGTAGTCCCAGCTACTTGGGAGGCTGAGGCAGGAGAATTGCTTGAACCCAGGAGGCGGAGGTTGCAGTGAGCCAAGATCGTGCCACTGCACTCCAGCCTGGGTGACAGAGAGAGACTCTGTCTAAAAAAGAAAAAAACAAAAAGCCCCTCCGCAAAAGATATCTGTGTCATAATCCTTGGAAACTGTGAATGTTACCTTCTATGACCAAAAAAGGGGGCTTTCCAGAAGTGGTGAGTTTAAGGGTATTGAGATGCAAAGATTATCCTAGATTATCCTGGTGGCCCTAAATGCAATCACATGTATGAGAGAGAGGCAGAAGGACATTAGACACACACAGACGAGAATGTCATGTGAAGACAGAACACAGGTTTGAAGATGCTGGCCTTCAGGACAGGAATGATGTGGCCACAAAATTAAGGAATTTGGCAGCCACCAGAAACTGGAAGAGGCAAAGATCAGTTTGTCCCCTAGAGCCTCCAATGAGTGTGTGTCCTCCTCGCCTGATTTCAGCCCAGTGAAACGGATTTCGGCCTTCTAGCCTCCAGGACTGCGAGAGAATAACTTTCTATTATTTTAAGCCATGAAGTTGGGGGCAATTTGTCACGGCAGCATCAATTAATTCACGGCACCACTGGCATCAAGTAAGTGGAGACCAGGGATGCTGCTCATCATCCTAGAATGTACAGGACAGCCCCGCACAACAGAGAATCATTTGGTCCAAAATGTCGACAGTGCCAAGGTCGAGAGAACATGGGCTAGGGTGATGAAATTTTGGAGTCTAATTTCACCAAGTTGTGGCTGAACTTAAGAGGCTGACATTTAAAAGACTGATCTTGCCAAACGTTGGCAACTGGAACTCTTATACACTCCTAGCGGGACTGTAAAATGGTATAGCCATGTCGGAAAACAGTTCCTCTTTTTTTTTTTTTTGAGATGGAGTTTCACTCGTTGCCCAGGCTGGAGTGCAATGGCACGATCTCGGCTCACCGCAACCTCCGCCTCCTGAGTTCAAGCGATTCTCCTGCGTCAGCCTCCCGAGTAGCTGGGATTACAGGCATGTGCCACCACGCCGGGCTAATTTTGTATTTTTAGTAGAGACAGGGTTTACTCCATGTTGTTCAGGCTGGTCTCGAACTCCCGACCTCAGGTGATCCGCCTGCCTCAGCCTCCCAAAGTGCTGGGATTACAGGGGTGAGCCACCGCGCCCGGCCTTCCTCTTTCTTAAAAAGTTAAGCATACTGCTATGGTGTACATGTCCCCCCCAAAACTCGTGTTGAAATTTAATGGCCATGTGATGGTGTTAAGGGGTGGGACTGGTAAGAGGCGATTAATATTAATATTGTTATCATGAAAGTTTGGCCCCCGCTCGCTCTCTCACGCCCTCTTGCCCTTCTGCCTTCCGCCATAGGATGATGCCGTACAAAGGTCCTCACCAGCTGCCAGCGCCTTGACATTGAACTTCCTTTCTTTATAAACCACCCAGCCTGCGGTACTCTGTTACAGCAACAGAAAGTGGGACTAAGACACATAACACTTCCCTGTTATCTAGCAATTCCATATATGAAAGCATATGTTCACAGAAAGACTTGTGCGAGAACGTTCATAGCAGCTTTATTCAGTCGCCCCAACTGGCAGCGGACCAGGGCATAAGCAACCTGCGGCGTCTCCATGCAATGGAAGGCTGCCAAGCAATACGAAGCCATGAGCTACTCACTTCACACAGCTTGGGTGGATCTCAAAACAATTCCACGGAGCGAAAGCCGCCAGACACAAAGCACTGCGTGCCGTGCGATTCCACTTACGTGAAGTTCAAAAGGAGATGAAGCTAGAGTGACAGAAACCGGAACAGTGGCCAATTATGGGAGACGGGCATTCACTGGAAGAGGGTATGAGGGTACTTTCTGGGGTGGTGGCAAAGCTCTTTATTGGGATTTTAGCTGCCCAGGTGTAAACCTTTGTCAAAACTCGTTAAACTGTATGCCTAAACTTAAATGCAATTTCACTGCATAAAATTTACCTCAAAAAGGCCAGGCGCGGTGGCTCACTCCTGTAATCCCAGCACTTTGGGAGGCCGAGGCAGGTGGATCGCCTGAGGACAGGAGTTCGAGACCAGCCTGACCAACATGGAGAAACCCCATCTCTACTAAAATTACAAAATTAGCCAGGCGTGGTGGTGCCTGCCTGTAATCCCAGCTACTCGGGAGGCTGACGCAGGAGAATCGCTTGAACTCAGGAGGCGGAGGTTGCAGTGAGCCGAGATTGCGCCATTGCACTCCGGTCTGGGCAACAAGAGCAAAACTCCATCTAAAAAAAACAAAAAAACAAAAACTTTACTTCAAAAAACCCCGCTTCCAAAAGAATAAAAGAAGAGGCCATTTGAACGTGGTAGCCTGGGAAGTCCCTTTGAGGAGAGGACATCAGAGCAGAGCCTAAAGGACAAGCTGAGTGTGGGAGTTTCCTCTGGCTGCCATCACAAAGCGTTACAAACTTTGAGTGGCTTTCCCAGCAGAGATGGCCTCTCTCCTGGCTGGGGGTCCAGCAGTCCGAGAGGAAGGCCCAGGCTGGGCGGGCTCCTGCCGAGGACCGAGAAGGCGCCTCCACTCGGGGCCTCTGTCCCAGCTTCTGCTCTGCTGCCCACCTGCGGGCTTCCTTGGCTTCTGCCACGGCAGGTCGGCCTCAGCCTCTGTCTCCACACGGCGCTCTCCCTCTGGGTGTGTCCGTGTCTCCGTCTCCCCTTTCTGTCAGGACACAGGTCACACTGCATTAGGGCCCACCCCTCTGCAGAATGACCTCATCCAGATCTAACTCATCACGTCCGCAACGACCCTGTTTCCAAATAAGCCGGTTCCTTGTCACCAAGTGGAGCCTTCAATGAGTTGATGCCAAGGCAGGTCTAGGGAACTAGAAATGGGGCAAGAAGCAATGTCCTCCAGCCAGGTGTGGTGGCTCACACCTGTAACTCCAGCACTTTGGGAGGCCGAGGCGGGTGGATCGCTTCAGGTCAGGAGTTCGAGACCCCTGGTCAACATGGCGAAACCCCATCTCTACTGAAAAATACAAAAAGTAGCCAGGCATGCTGGCGTGTGCCTGTAATCCCAGCTACTCGGGAGGCTGAGGCAGGAGAATCGCTTGAACCGGGGAGGTGGAGGTTGCAGTGGGCCGAGATCGTGCCACTGCACTCCAGCCTGGGGGACAGAGTGAGACTCCATCTCATAAAAAAGACAAAAAAAAGAAGCAATGTGCTCCTCACAGTCGGGTTTTCTCCCAGGACCATTTTACTCATCCAACAAAGAACAAAGATGTCCCAGCAACCCATCTACCCCAGGCATTGACCACTCGGGCTACAAAGGTGAAGGAGGAGGGTGGGGCTGGGCAGGCTGGGACTGGCTATGGACCCCAGAGAGTAAAGATGGTTTTGCTGGCACCATACCCCCAACTCCAGGACTTGTCCATGCCCTGTCTACGGGGCCAAGACTGAAACCTGACTGCCTTTCACCATCAAGCAGAAGTCAGCTGCGCATCCTGTAAGAGATGGGGAAGGACCCCCAAGACCCTCCCAGAGCCCCCTGGCTCATTAGGAGGCTAGAGGGGGCCTCCTGCAACTCTGCATGCAAGGTGCCCAGATGAGACCTGGCCAGTCGAGACTTTTACTTGAAGGCTCCCCATGCCTTCCTTGGGTGCCATCTCTTCTACCAATGAACGTTTTCTGAGTTTCTCAAGCCTTCTTTCCTCCTGACCCACGAAGAAACTGAGGGACCGGGGCCTTCTGGTCCCCCAGGAGACTGGCTTGTGCTGAGGAGGTCGGCCGCTCACTGTGCATCTTCTCGGAGATCTGAAGCTCCTCCTATTTCCACAAGAAAGAAAGGGAAGCTTGGCAAAGACCCTTCCATCCAGAATCATCAAGTTCGCGACGCCCGTGCTTCTCCTCAGCACACAGAGAGGAGAGTTACCAGGGGCCTCAAGCAACTCCAGCGGAAGCAGTCACAGTCCTTCCAGGACCCAGGAACGTCCTCTGCAAGGACCTACAAACCCAGACCTCATGAAGGAGGAGACCCCAGGGCCAGCCCCAAGCCTCCTGAGTCTAATTGTTGCTGTGATAGAGACCCTGCACTTCGCAGAATCAAAAAGAATATATTGTGGGTTTTTTGTTTTTACCACAATCAATTAAAAAATGCATTAAAAAGTAAGAACTGTCCAGGCACAGTGGCTCACATCTGTAACCCCAGTACTTGGGGAGGCCGTGGCCAGGTGTTCAAGACCAGCCTGGGCAACATAGCAAGATCCCATCTCTACAAATAATAATAATTTTTAAAAAGTTAGCCAGGCATGGTGGCACATGCTTTGTACTCCCAGCTACTCGGGAGGCTGAGGCAGGAAGATCGCTTGAGCCCAGGAGTTCAAGGCTGTAGTGAACTATGACTGCATGCAGCCTGGGCAACAGAGACCCTGAAGAAAAAGAAAGAAAGAAAGAGAGATAGAGAGAGAGAGAGAGAGACAGAGAGAAAGGAAGAAAGAGAAAGAGAGAAAGAAAAAGAAAGAAAGAGAGAGAGAGAGATGGAAAGAAAGAGAGAAAAAGAAAAAGAAGAAAGAAAGAAAGAAAGAAAGAAAGAACTTTTGCCTATCCAAAGACTCAGGAAAAATAAAAAAGAAAGCCAGCCCTCATAATGAGATACCACTTCACAGTTACATCTGTTGGAAAAAAAAAAAAAGGATAACAACAAATGTTGGCAAGGATGTGAGGCAACTGGAAGCCTTCTGCATTGCTGGTGGGAAGATGGAGCTGCGCGGCTGCTGTGGGAAGACTCCTCTAAACGCTACACCTGGAGTCACCACGGGGTCCAGCAATTCTACTCCTGATTATAGACCCCAAAGAATTGAAAACTGGTGTTCAAACAACTGGCATGTATCTGAGTGTTCAGCGCAGGGCTTCTCACAATAGCCAAAAGGTGGAAACAACTCAAATCTCCATCCACTGATGGACAGATAAACAAAATGTGGTCTACCCATGCACTGGAATATTAGTCAGCCGTCAAGAGAATGAAGTACTGATACGTGCTACAACATTAGTGAACCTTGAAAACAGTGAAAGGAGCTAGACACAAAAGCCCACATATCGTATGGTCCCATTTATATGAAAAGTCCAGAAGAGGCAAACCCACGGAGACAGAAAGCAGATTAGGGAACGCCTGGAGCCGAGGCTAGGAGTGACCGTGTAGTGAGTCTGGAGGTCTCCTTCTGGGGTGATGAGAATGTTAGACAACCGGACAGAGGTGATGGTTGAACCACACTGCAGATGTACTTAATGCACTGAATTACATGCTTCCAAATGGTTAATTTCACATTACGTGAAATTATGTGAATTCTACATCAATTTTTTTAAGTAAGCCCTTGTCATAAATGCGTTTAATACAGTTGCTGCCTCAGCATCCAACTTTAGCAGTTGTACCCTGTCACCTTTGCCCTAGATAACACCCCTCCCTCCCTGTCATGTGATTGTTTGCGACATAGCCCACGTGGTCCTCGCCTCACTGACCCAAAACCCAACACATCCCACGGCTGCTGACCACGATAAGACCTAATGCTCAACACCAGAGTCATGTAAATCAGTTTCCTCCTCGTGCATGTTTTCTTTAAACCAGCCAATCCACAACCCCCGCAGGAAAGCCTGTGGGATCACTTCACACCCTGTGACCTTAATACAGGCACAGCCCCGGAAGCTTCCCCGCCCTTCCGTTCTGGGCTTCGCTGTTGCACAGCTGATGAGCTCAATCAGCTCCCTGCTGCCTCCAGACTTCCCCTCTGCCTCCCATCAGCACACCTAACATCTCTTCGATCTGAGTCATACATTTCTTTTTTTTTTTTTTTTTTTGACACAGGGTCTTGCTCTGTCACCCAGAATGGAGTGCAGTGGTGCAATCATGACTCACTGCAGCCTCAACCTCCCGGGCTCAAGGGATCCCCGCTCCCGCTCAGCCTCCTGAGTAGCTGTGACTACAGGCACGCGCCATCACGCCCAGCTAATTTTTTGATGTTTTTGTAGATACCGGGTCTCACTATGTTGCCCAGGCTGGTCTCAAACTCCTGAGCTCAAGCAGTCTGCCCACCTCAACCTCCCAAAGTGCTAGGATTACAGGCGTGAGCCCCCACGCCCAGCCCATTTCTGCTGTTTCATGCATTTTCGTCTGCCTCCTCACTGTGGCTCCCCTGACACACACATCCGAACCTAACTTTCCCACGGGTCAGGGATCTCCTAGAAACTGGGTATCTCGGCTATGGCCACTCTCAGTAGAGACATGCCGAGACCAAATTAAAAAGAAACCATAATGATAAAAACCACAACAGCCCTCCTGAAAGCAAACGGATTTAACTGTGATAAACAGCACAGGACTTGCAGTATGGATTCTCAGTTTGTGATGCACCAGAGGGGACGCAACAGTCACAGGGAGCCTGGCTGGTTGAAACACTTCTGTGTCCAGATCATGTAAAAGTTTTGAAGAAGATTTTACGGAAGTATATGTTTTTAAAATGCCATGAACTCCTGTGTCCCCTGCATCTAACTTAGCCACACAGCCAGGGTGTGGTGAAATGCTCTCAGGTCCGCACTTAGCAGCCACGTAGCCTGCTTGTGCCTCTGTGAGACTCTGCTTCCCCAACCATAAAGTAGGCGTCTGAGGGCCAAAGAACAAGGCTGCTTAACCTGGTGCCCCAGCTCAGTTACGAGCCCGTGACAACAGTGAAAAATCATCAGCAGCCCTTTCTCCTCCTGTAGACCTGCTTGGGCCCTGTAGACCTGCTTTTCTGCTCACGATGAACATTAGTAAGGGTAGGCTCGCTGCTGCAGCAAACAACCAGACATCCCATGTCACAGTCCAATGGGGGGTACCGGGTCAGAAGTGCAGGCTTCTAGAATTTGCAGCAAAAGTCTGAGAGGGGGAGAGACAGAGGTATTGCCCTGCTCCCCGGTAGTCACCGCTGTATCAAGAGCGGGCGAAAGACTCGGATTTGAGAGGGGTTAAGAGTTTACCTGAGCACAGCATTCTCATTGGCCCCTGTGGCTTGGAAACATACGGGGAAGTTTGTAACTGCCACCAAGTTCTGCTGTTGCTTAATAGAAAGCTGACCGGGTAAGTGTGATTTTCACAAAAGGGTCTTTGATGCTCCCAAGATTTTAGATTTGGTTGCCATGTCCTATGAAAATAATCTGCAAGAGACGCCTGTGACTCTGACTAGTCATCTCATTGACAGTGGTTGCCCTGTAATATTCTTTGATTGTCCTTTAACAGATTCTTAGGCCATGTAAACGCTGGCAAGATTTCCCTGGGGAAACTAAAGAGGATGATTCCCACACGCCGCTTCCCCTGCATCAGGCACTAAAAGGACTGCGGAGTTCTTCTTTTCATGCAAATGCTGAGAATCTTGGCTCACCTAAGGGAATCGCTGCCTCCCTAGCCAGGACGCTGGAGGGACTGGCGTTAATTAGCCACAGACTGCAGCGAGGGGGACAGAATGTGGCACCCCCTGAGGGCCCATGGAAACCCAGAGAACGGTCCCAATAGGAATGGAGAGAATCCGTTGAGAGATTGGGTTTGCCTTTTTTTTTTTTTTTTTTTTTTTCCTCCAATTGGTAGGCCCTAGCCTTATCTTAGAGGGAAAGAAAATCGAGCTAGGGCAGGGTGAGGTGGCTCACACCAGTAATCCCGGCACTCTGGGAGGCTGAGGCAGGCGGATCACGAGGTCAATAGATTGAGACCATCCTGGTCAACATGGTGAAACCCCGCCTGTACTAAAAATACAAAAAATAGCCGGATGTGCTGGTGCACGCCTGTATTCCCAGCTACTCGGGAGGCTGAGGCAGGAGAATCGCTTGAACCCGGGAGGTGGAGGTTGCAGTGGGCCGAGATCGTGCCACTGCACTCCAGTCTGGCGACAGAGTGAGACTCCATCTCAAAAGAAAAAAAAGAAAAAGAAAATCGAGCTACTGCACGGTGCGGAGAAAGCATTCACCAGAAGGCAGTCATTTTTGAAATAAGTATCTGAGACCCGGCCTGTGCCCCAGCTCAGCTAGGAGCACATGTGAAGAGACCAGAGCTGGCGAGGCGACTCCGGTCCTGACTCCCACCTTCCCAGCCGACTGGGACCAAAGGACGCCACCTCCCTAACTAGTGCCAGGTGTCTACCGGACTCTTGCCACCCCCATGTTGTCCCCTGCCACCACAGGGTCAGGGCCAGCCGCTATGCCGCTGCAACCACCCGGCAGGGGCTGCCAAGCTGGAGCATTTTCGCTAGCAAGGGTCAAGGCAGGTGTGGGACTGCAGGGAGAGGGCTGGCTCGCCCCACTGCAGGGCCCAGTCGCTAAAAGAAGCATGGACCTGCTCTTCCAACTGGCCCCTCACCCTGGCTCTCCAGGCTCCTGTCCTGGCTCCCTTTCACCCTCCCATAGGTGGCTCCTGGGAGCGGTTCCTCCTCTGCTTCCAGTCCCCAGAGCCAAGGCCTCACCTACACTTCTCCTCCTGAAGGGACTCCAGCAACAGCTGCAGGTCAGTCAGAGACCTCTCCTTTAGGCTGTGATAGGACTCCTGGAGGCTGATGTGGAACCTCTTGGCTTCTTCCAGCTCTGCCTTTACCTTCTGCAACAGCAGGTTTTGTTGCTGGGCCACATCCTCTGTCTCTAAGCACGTCCCCTGCTGTAAGCTCTGGAAGCGACTCTCCAAGATGAAGGGCCTGCTGGCATGAGGCAGGTTGACCGGCCCGTCTTCCCCACCTGGCTCGGGGGGCTCTGAAAGCAGGGCCTTCTCACTGGGTGGCTCGCAGTTGGCTGGGTCGCTTTCTGCCATCAGCAGTAAGCCCTCGGGCCTGCAGCCTTCCTCCAGCTCCTGGAGCTGCTGGTGACACTGGTGGAGCCTGTGCTCGATCTGGGCGATGGTGGCAGAGGCGCGCTGGTTCACCTTCTCAAAGGCCTGCTGGATGTGCGGCACCTGGTGCCGGTCTGCTTTGGATACCAGCTTGAGGTAGCTCACAGTGTTGCCATCCCGACTGGCCTTCTCCACTCTCAGCTGCTCTGAGAGGTAGAGGATGCGGTGCCTGACACTATCCTGTAAGTTGTGGGCTAGGCCTCCATCTGCGAGGCTGGAAGGGCCACTGGGGCCGTCTTCGCTGGATGACAGGGACCGGCATGAAGGCACATTGGAGGGGAGGGTTGCGCTGGGGCTCCTGGTGTGTTCCGCCTACGTTGGGAAACAAGAAATCACAATACGGTGCTCTGTGAGCCGCAAAGTGTGGGAGAATTGGACACGTTATGACTCCATAAAACACTTCCACATATGCATGGATACTTACACACGCAAGATTTGTGCATTCAAGATGGGCCCGACACAGACTGAGGAGGTGATGCTCATCTTCAGGGCCCCTCTCCCCTCCTTTTCAGCGTCTGACTCCTTGCTCTACATGTGTGCCTCACTAAGACCCACAGGTGGCCAGACTCCCTTCTACATCTGCCTGTTTTTGCACTGCACTCCTATTTTCTCTTCCAAAAATTACCAATTGTGGGTCTCATTTATAAAGAACTGTTCTTGTAAAGTATGGAATAAGCTTATTTCCGTCAACTCTTACAGCTTGCTGTATTGCTACTCCCAGGGAGACAGGAAGGGTTAGGCAGAGAGATTTGCCTCCTAACAGGTTCATTCATTCATCCAATCATTCATTCAACACATACTTTCTCTGAGTGCCTACCACGTGGTACAGAAGCCAGATACATTCCTTGATCTCATACAGCTGACAGTCTACGGCAGAAAATTCTACTGTAACACAAAAGAATGAGTCTCTCACATGGTGAGGGGATTAACATTGCCTTTGACGAAGAGCCCAGTTCAAATCCTGGCTCTACCACTCTGAGACCTTGAGCAAGTTAATAAACTGCTCTGAGGCTCAGTTTTCTTACCTCTAAAATAAAGATGGCAAGAGCAGCATAGCTGGAACCCAGCCCACCAGAGCAAGGAGCTAGGAGAGGGAGGTGGGGGGCAGCTCAGGTGCAGCCTCTGTTCCGTTTCTACTTTTTTGTTTTTTGAGACGGAGTCTCACTCTGTCACCCAGGCTGGAGTGCAGTGGTGCAATCTCGGCTCACTACAACCTTCGCCTCCCGGGTTTAAGCAATTCTCATGGCTCAGCCTCCCGAGTAGCTGGGATTACAGGTGTGCATCACCACACCCAGCTAATTCGTGTATTATTAGTAGAGACAGGGTTTCACCATGTTGACCAGGCTGGTTTCCAACTCCTGACCTCAAGTGATCCTCCCGCCTCGGCCTCCCAAAGAGTGCTGGGATTACCGGTGTGAGCCACTGCATCTGGCCTATACCTCAATTTTTAAAATGCAAAGTGATACCACTATGTACCCAGTAGATTGGTCAAACTCAGACAGACTAACAACAATAAGAGTTGGCAAGGATATAGCGCAACAGGAACTCTCAATCATTACTGGCGGGAAGCAAATTTGTACTACAGCCACCTTAGAAAACCACTTGACAGTATCACAAAGTTGAAGATATACCTACCAAATGATCCAGCAACTGCATTCATAGGCGATATTCCCAGGAGGCAAGTACACTGATGTTCTCAATATCCAACAACTAGCAACAAACCACCTGCCCAGAAAGTGTAAGTAAACTGTAATATATGCAACAACATACTACTGTACAGCAATGAGAATGAACTACAGCCTTGAAAAACATGAATGCATTTCACAAGCATAATGTTGAACAAAAGAAACCAGACAGAAAATCCATACTATATATGGTTCCATTTACATAAATTCCAAGAGCAGGCAAAACTAAACAATATTGTGTAGGGATGACTACACAGGCAGGAAAGCTAAAGAGCAGCATGGATGTTGGCAACAGAAACCCCAGGATGGTGGTTCCCACTAGAGCGGGAGAAGGGGATTATGACTGGGGTGACTGTGGAGGCTGGGGTGCCTGGCCTGAGTAGTGGTTAAATGTGTGTTCACCTTATCGTTACTTCTTAAAACATACATCAATGTTTTCTGCACCTTTATATACATATGCCAGATTTCACAGTTTTCAAACTATTTAAATGTTCAATATAGGCCAGGTGTGGTGGCTCATGCCTGTAATCCCAGCACTTTGGGAGGCCGAGGCGGGCGGAGGTCAGGAGGTCAAGACCAGTCTGGCCAACATGGTGAAACCCCGTCTATACAAAATACAAAAAAAAAAAAAAAAATGCCTGGCACAGTGGTTCACACCTGTACTTCCAGCACTTTGGGAGGCCGAGGCGGGCGGATCACCTGAGGTCGGGAGTTCAAGACCAGCCTGACCAACACAGAGAAACCCCATCTCTACTAGAAATACAAAATTAGCCAGGCGTGGTGGCACACGCCTGTAGTCCCAGCTACTCGGGAGGCTGAGGCAGGAGAACCGCTTGAACCCGGGGTGCAGAAGTTGCAGTGAGCTGAGATCGTGCCACTGCACTCCAGCCTGGGTGGTAGAGTGAGACTCCGTCTCAAAAAATAAATAAATAATAAATAATAATATGTTCAATTGATGGATTTAATGGCAGATTTGATATGGCTGGAGAGACTGTTGGTAAATTGTACAGAGGAGCTAAAGAAAGTATCCAGGCCGGGCGCGGTGGCTCACACGCCTGTAATCCCAGCATTTTGGGAGGCCAAGGCGGGTGGATCACCTGACGTCAGGAGTTTGAGGCTAACCTGACCAACATGGTGAAACCCTGTCTCTACTAAAAAATACAAAAAATTAACTGGGCATGGTGGTGGGCACCTGTAATCCCAGCTACTTGGGAGGCTGAGGCAGGAGAATGGCTTGAACCCAGGAGGCAGAGGTTGCAGTGAGCCGAGATCACGCCACTGCACTCCAACCTGGGCAACAAGAGCAAAACTCCATCCCAAGAAAGAAAGAGAGAGAGAGAGAGAGAGAGAGAGAGAGAAAGAGAAAAGAAAGAAAGAAAAAAAAGTATCCAGAATGCAGCACAGAGGCACAAAAAAATAGAAAACTTGAAAAATAGAAGACATGGAAGGTAGCATGAGTAGGTCTAACAAAAATCCAATTGTCACACCAGAGAGAGAAGACAGACAGAATGAAGCAGCAGCAATATATACATATTTTTCTTCTTTTTTTTTTAAATTGAAATGGAGTCACACTCTGTTGCCTAGGCGGAGTGCCGTGGCACAATCTCGGCTCACGGCCGACCTCTGCTGCCCGGGTTCAAGCACTTCTCGTGCCTCAGCCTCCCGAGTAGCTGGGACTACAGGCGCGTGCCATCACAGCTAGCTAATTCTTTTGTATTTTTAGTAGAGATGGGGTTTCATCATGTTGGCAAGACTGTTCTCGAACTCTCAACATCAGGTGACCCACCCACCTCGGCCTCCCAAAGTGCTGGGATTACAGGCATGAGCCACTACGACCGGCCACAGCAGCAACATTTTAAGAGATAACTCCCTAAGAACTTTCCAGAACTGAAGAAAGACACAAATTCACAAATTCAAGAAGCCCAATAAATCCTAAGCAGGGAAGACAGAAATAGGTCCACACCTAGACACGAGATTTTTTTTTTTTTTTTTTTTTTTGAAACAGTGTTTCGCTCTTGTCGCCCAGGCTGGAGTACAGTGGCGTGATCTCGGCTCACTGCAACCTCTGCCTCCCGGGTTCAAGCGATTCTCCTGCGTCAGCCCCCCAAGTAGCTGGTACTACAGGCGCCCGCCACCAAGCCCAGCTAATTTTTGTATTTTTAGTAGAGACAGTGTTTCACCATGTTGGCCAGGCTGGTCTGGAACTCCTGACCTCAAATGATCCGCCCACCTGGGCCTCCCAAAGTGCTGGGATTACAAGCATGAGCCACCGCCCGCGGCCGACACAAGATGTTAAAAGCAGCCAGAGGAAAAAAAGCTGATTACCTTTAAAACCATGACTTTTAGACTGCAGGCTGCCTTCTCAATAGCATCAATGCAATCCAGAAGATAGTTGACTGATATTTTCGATACACTGAGAGAATAACTGTCAGAGAGAAAAAAATAGGTCACATTCAAAGAATCAGAAGTCAGAATGGCTTCAGACTTCAGCAACAGCATGGGGAACTAGAAGCCAATGAAGTGCTGCCCGGGCACGGTGGCTCACACCTGTAATCTCAGCACTCTGGGAAGCCCAGGCAGGCGGATCACTTGAAGTCAAGAGTTTGAGACCAGGCTGGCCAACATGAGGAAACTCTGTCTCTACTAAAAATACAAAAATTAGCCAGCATTGTGGTGGGCGCCTGTAATCCCAGCTACTCGGGAGGCTGAGGCAAGAGAATCGCTTGAACCCAAGAGGTTGCAGTGAGCCGAGGATCACTCCCCTGTACTCCAGCCTGGGGCGACAGAGCAAGACTCTGTCCCAAAAAAAAAAAAAAAAAAAAAAAAAAAAAGACAATGAAGTGCTGCTTTCGAAATTCTGAGGGAAAAATGATTTCCCAGCCTAAAATTCTACACCCCAACTGTCAACTGTGGGGTTAGACTAAAGACATTTTTAGACATGAAGGAGTTCAGTACACCACTGACAAATGTAAGAATTCAACAACTGTTTAAAAAGCAAGTCTTGCCAGGGCAGTGGTGTGCACCTGTGGTCCCAGCTACTCAGGATGCTGAGGCAGGAGGATTACTTGTGCCCAGCAAGTAGAGGCTGCAGTGACCTGTGACTGTGCTACTGCCCTCCAACCTGGGTGACAGAGTGAGACCTTGTCTCAAAAAAAAAAGAGCGGGGGGTGGGGGGGCCGGGCGTGGTGGCTCACAGCTGTAATCCCAGCACTTTGGGAAGCCAAGGCGGGTGGATCACTTGAGGTCAGGAGTTTGAGACCATCATGGTCAACACTGCGAAACACTGTCCCTACTAAAAATACAAAAATTAGCCGGGCATGGTGGCACACACCTGTAATCCCAGCTACTGGGGAGGCTGAGGCAGGAGAATTGCTTGAGCCGGGGAGACGGAGGTTGCAGTGAGCCGAGACTGCGCCACTGCACTCCAGCCTGACTGACAAGAGTGAGATTGTCTCAAAAAAAAAAAAAAAAGTAATCACTAGAAAAGAAGCTACATATGTACATAACATCCAAATAACCAAGAGGAGAAAAAAATGGGACTTGATTAATCAAAACAAAAACAAAAAAGAAAGAAAGAAAGGGGGAGAAAAAAAAAAAAACAAGGGCTGGGTGTGCTGGCTCATGCCTGTAATCCCAGCACTTTGGAAGCCAAGGTGGGTGGATCTCTTGAGCCCAGGAGGTCAAGACCAGCCTGGGCAACATGGCGAAACCCCGTCTCTATTAAAAAAAAATTAATACAACAATTATCCTGGAGTGGTGGTGCACACCTGTAGTCCCAGCTACCCAGGACGCTGAGACGGGAGGATCGCTTGATCCCGGGGATGTCGAGGCTGCCGTGATCGCACCACTGCCCTCCAGCCAGGGTGGCAGACTGAGACCCCATCTCAAAAAATAAATAAATAAAAGCAAACAAGAAAAAAAAAGGCTTGAAACATATCTGATAGATAAAGGGCTAATCAACACAATATATAAAGAACTGCAAATCAGTAAACTAAGAGCAAATAACCCAATATAAAGACATTAAAGGGTAGCCACGGACATCTCAGACGACTAAAAACAAAAGACAGTAACGTATAATAAAACATGTAATTGCAAGGTGATCCGGGAATAGTAAGCGAAAAGCAACAATTAAATACTATTTTCTCATCCACCAGAACGCCAAAAATTAAAAAGCCTAACAATGTCCAGGGCTGGCGAGAATGTGGCAGAAGGTGATGTCACATACCCTGCAAGTGGGAATCTAAACAGATTCAGGGTTTTGTTTTTTTTTAATCGCAATTAGGTGGCCTGTTAAATTTTTTTTCTTGAGACAGAGTTTTGCTCTTGTTGCCCAGGCTGGAGTGCAATGGCTCGATCTTGGCTCACCGCAACCTCGACCTCCCAGGTACAAGCGATTCTCCTGTCTCAGCCTCCCAAGTAGCTGGGAGTACAGGTATTTGCCACTAAGCCCAGCTAATTGTTTTTTATTTAGTAGAAACGGGGTTTCACCATGTTAGTCAGGCTGGTCGGGAACTCCTGACCTCAGGAGATCTACCCGCCTTGGCCTCCCAAAGTGCTGGGATTACAGGCGTGTGCCACTGTGCCCAGCCACTTTTTTTTAGACAGAGTCTTGGTCTGTTGCCCAGGCTAGAGTTCAGTGGCGCCATCTCAGCTCACTGCAACCTCCGCCTCCCAGATTCAAGCGATTCTCCTGCCTCGACCTCCCAGTAGCTGGGATTACAGGTTTCCAGCAAATCCCTCTGAGCCGCCCCCGGGGGCTCGCCTCAGGAGCAAGGAAGCAAGGGGTGGGAGGAGGAGGTCTAAGTCCCAGGCCCAATTAAGAGATCAGATGGTGTAGGATTTGGGAGCTTTTAAGGTGAAGAGGCCCGGGCTGATCCCACTGGCCGGTATAAAGCACCGTGACCCTCAGGTGACGCACCAGGGCCGGCTGCCGTCGGGGACAGGGCTTTCCATAGCCATGGCCCAGCAGTGGAGCCTCCAAAGGCTCGCAGGCCGCCATCCGCAGGACAGCTATGAGGACAGCACCCAGTCCAGCATCTTCACCTACACCAACAGCAACTCCACCAGAGGTGAGCCAGCAGGCCCGTGGAGGCTGGGTGGCTGCACTGGGGGCCACCGGCCACCCACCTGCCCCGCCCAAGGGAATCTCTCTTCTGCACGTCCCCACCAGCAGAGAAGGCTTTCTCCCATAGCTTTTCTGATGACATGAATTGGGGGGTCCTCTCCAAATCTAGAAGGACACCATAATATCGAATATGCATTCTCAAGCCACACAGGCTTCCCAGCCCCTTTGAGAATCCGAGGCCGGGGAAGAGTTTATGTGCTCTTTCTTTGTGGCCCGTAGATGAGTGTGTTCACTGCTAGCGAATGACCTCTCATTCCACGGAGTCCCTCAGCTTCCTGGGGAAGAGCTGGGTCTGTCTTTACATTTGAAGCCGAAAGGAGGCAACATACTGACACACCCAAGGGAGGCGGGAGGGTGGGGAAGACAGCAGCAGAGGGCAAGAAACTTCTAGAACTTCAGGGTCGGCAAAGCCTGTAGCAGTCATTTTGTCAAACTCCATGATGGGGCCACTTGGCTTTTGGCTGCACACCTCTGGGGGAAGAGGCTGCATTGGCGCCCAGGGCCATCTTTCCATTCGGAGCCGTCCTGGGAGAGAGGGCTCAGGCCCAACAGAAAGCTGAAAGCTCTCATCAGGGCAGCCCGAGTCCTGCCATTGGGAGTTGCCCAATCCGAAAGTTTTGCACGCAGGCCCTCAAAGAAGCTGAGGACACCAGTGACCGCCCCACTCCTGGCCCTCTCCCCAGGTCCCTCCTCCAAACCAAATTCCTTTGGTGCCTTCAAGAACATCGTGCAGGCCGGGCACAGTGGCTCACGCCTGTAATCCCAGCACTTTGGGAGGCAGAGGCGGGCAGATGACGAGGTCAACAGATAGAGATCATCCTGGCCAACATACTGAAACCTCATGTCTACTAAAAATGCAAAAATTAGCTGGGCTTGGTGGCGCATGCCTGTAGTCCCAGCTACTCAGGAGGCTGAGGCAGGAGAATCGCTTGAACCCGGGAGGTGGAGGTTGCAGTGAGCCGAGATCACGCCACTATGCTCCAGCCTGGCCACAGAGTGAGACTCTTGTCTCAAAACAAAACAAAACAAAAAACAACAACATCGTGCAGGCTGTGGTTTCCAGAAGCCACGCCAGCTCCTTGATTGCCAATAAACATCCCGCTGTGGGGTGGCCAGGACCGAGTGCCAATTAGTGACAGAGTGCCCAGACCAAACCGGATGAGGATCTTGCAGTTGACCTCAACATGACTGTGCCCAGAATTTCCTTGGTGGCAATGTCAACAGTCTCTTCCTAGATGCCCCCAGACTTCATCAATGCATGATGCTTCAGTGCACTCTTTTCAAATGTCGGGGTGGGTTTTTTTTTTTTTCCACAAAACTTCAAGCATCTACTAAAGTAGAGGGAGGAGTGTAATGAACTCCGGTACCCATCACTCAGCTTCCACGGTTTCATCTCATTTCATCTGTGACCCCTCCACTACCCTTTCTTCCTGATTCTTGGAAGCAAATCCAAGACATCACACCCTTCCCTCTGTAAATCTTTACTATGTTCCTCTAGGAGAAAAGGGCTCTTCTCAATACATAACCACAAGTCATCATCACACCGACAAGTGTAACAATATTTCCTGAATAGCTTCAAATATCCTAGTAGTGTTCAAAAAATGTCATACGTATTTTCAGTCTGCTTGAATCAGGGCTCAAATAAGGTCCACACATTCAGATTGACTGATATGCCTTTTGACTACCTTTGAATCTAGAGGTTCCCTTTCTATCTCCCTGCAATTTATTTGTGGAAGCAAGCAAGTCGTTCATGACGTAGCCTAACAGGCCCCTCTGACGTTGTTCATTATGATTTTTCTGTAAATTGGTAGTTGATCTGAGGATCTGGCCAGAGGCAGGTTGGATTTGTTGGTGTGTTTTGGCAAGGAGAGTGTCTCTTTTCTGGGGTGTTGGCAGCTACTGAAACTCAATGCCCAGACCAATTAAACCACTGGGGATGGAAAATGACGGCATTCGGACACCTTACCCTGCCTTCACCTATTGGTGACCAAAACCTTAACATCTTCACAGGTCTTCTTACCCTGAGGGTATAT
The DNA here is from genome assembly GCF_000001405.40 of Homo sapiens. Lineage (NCBI taxonomy): Eukaryota > Metazoa > Chordata > Mammalia > Primates > Hominidae > Homo > Homo sapiens. The sequence continues at coordinate 154,259,821 of NC_000023.11, forward strand.
GCCACTAGGTTGTGTAGTAAACCGGTGTGTTTCCAGTCCCTTAGAATAGTCCCTCTCTAAGTGATATGCCACTCAGTGGATATGCATTTAGCTTCATTTCTTTTGTTGCTGATTTTCAGAGATTGCTCTGTAAATTTAAACTTTTATTTTACTTTATTTTATTTTTTCGAGACAGTCTTACTCTGTCGCCCAGGCTGGAGTGCAGTGGCGCGATCTCAGCTCACTGCAACTTCCGCCTCCTCGGTTCGAGCGATTCTCCTGCCTCAGCCTCCCGAGGAGCTGGGACTACAGGTGCCCGCCACCACGCCCAGCTAATTTTTTTTATTTTTAGTAGAGACAGGGTTTCACCATGTTGGCCAGGCTGGTCTCCAACTGCTGACCTCAAGTCGTCCGCCCACCTCGGCTTCCCAAAGTGCTGGGATTACAGGTGTGAGCCACCGCCCCCGGCCACTTAAATTTTGTTTTATAATTATGTAATAAAACAGTTAAAAGTCTCAAATTAAAATCTAGAAAAGAAGGTGTATTTGAAGAAGTCTGGCTTCTCTGCGCCACCACCGACCGCCCCTTCCCTACCTGCCTGTATTTCCTCGAATCACTTTGCCTGGGAGCTGACTTTGATTCTCTTGCTCATTGCTTCATGAAATTCAGTTCCAGAACTTTCAGGAGGGAGGGGTAGGCCATGACACCAGCTCTAGTTACACTGGTGGCAGCTCCTGTCCCCTCCCCCACTGCTGCTGGGACCTGTTCTCTCCTTTGCCCCCTTGTCCCTGCACTGCCCAATTTGGACCGCAAGGGTTGCCAGGGAAGGGCACTGGCTGCCTTGTTTTCAGAGGTCGTAGCACCTAGATTGCTCCAGCCCCTTGCACTTGCCTGCAGGCCAGAGTGTCCCAAACCCTCCCAGTCTCAGCTGCTCTTCCCCAGTTCACCCAAGGTACTTCCCAGGGAAGAGCTGCCGACAGTTTGGGGGTTCTCTGTTCTTAGGTCCATCAGCAACCCCATTGCTCCCCTCTGCTTCCTTCTGCACGGAGACTGACGCCATGCAGGTCTTCAATTGTCAATGGTCTGTCCCTGCTGCTCATACTGGGGGTTCCTGGGGAGCCAGTGCCAGGTATCGGGATTGCAGACATTGTCTGTGGGTTTCCAGAAGCTCCTTGTGTTAGGAACATATGGGGCCCGTGCACAGAGGGCAGCAGAGGCCTTGTGGGATCCAGCTGTGCTAGGGGTGAGATTTATCTGTCTCTCCTGGCCATAGCCAGGAAATCCCCATTTTTCTTAAGCTAGCTTGAGTTGGGCTTTTCTAACACACAGCTAAAGAATCTCTTGATAAACCTTGGGACTCTCCATGAGGCCTTATATGGCAGCAGGTCTGTGGCTTGCAATCCCTTCAAGTAATCTGCCAAAAACAATGTTATGACGAAGGTCCTTCCAACACAAAAGGTGTAGAGCCCTAGCAAACTCCTACAGAAGAAAAAGGAGAAATAATTCGTTTGTAGTCCCAGCTACTTGGGAGGCCAAGGTGGGAGGATCACTTGAAGTCAGGAGTTCGAGACCAGCCTAGGCAACATAGCCAGACCCCATCTCTACAGAAATAAAAAAAATTGCCATTGTGGTAATGCACGGCTTGTAGTCCCAGGTACTCGAGAGGCTGAGGCAGGAGGATCGCTTGAGCCCAGGAGGATCGCTTGAGCCCAGGAGTTCCACGTTGCAGTGAGCTATGATTGTGCCACTATACTCCAGCCTGGGTGACAGAGCAAGACTTTGTCCCAAAAAAAAAAAAAAAAGAAAAGAAAGAAAGGAAAAGAATAAAAGAGAAATTACCATAGATTGGGTGGCTTTTAAATGATAAATGTATTTCTCACAGCTCTGGAGGCTGGAAGTCAGGGTGCTAGCGTGGTGGGCTCTGGCGAGGACCCTCTTCCTGACTGCAGATTGCCAACAACTCATTGTATCCTCACATGGAAGAAAGAGAGCTAGAGAGCACTCTAGGGACTCTTTTTCTTGTTTGTTTTAATTAAAAAAAAATTTTTTTTACATGGGCATGCCATGTTGCCCAGGTTGGATTTGAACTCCTGGGCTCAAGCAACCCTCCAGCCTCAGCCTCCCAAAGTGCTGGGATTACAGGCATGAGCCACCATTCCCAGCTAATTTGGGCTGTTCCCAAAGGCTCAAGTGATCCTCCCACGTTGGCCTCCTGAGTAGCTGGGGCTACAGGCGTGAGCCACCATGCCCAGCTTCTAGGACCTCTTTTATAAGGGCACTAATCCCATTCATGAGGGCCCCACTCACTCTGCACACATGACCTAAATGACCTGCCAAAGGCCCCACCTCCTAATACCATCACCTTGGGGGTTGGGATTTCAACACAGAAATTTATGGGGGGCACGTACATTCAGATCATCATGAACAGTAACTCCTATGTGTGACAGAAGGTGACAGAGGTGGGTAGTGGTCTTCCCCTCAAGGGGGTGAGTTGCCACTAGCTGGGGAATCTTCTGGAAGGCAAATGCATATGAGCTGGGCTTTACAGGAGGCAAGCGTTTCTCTATGGAAGGGCAGAGGACTGTGGGAGGTAGGAGGTGGGGCTGGGGCAAAGGGAAGAGGGGAGCAGGGAAGTGGGGTGACTGCACACTGGGAGTGGGGAATCAGATGGAGGAGACGATGAGGAGTTCTGTTAAGTTCAAGATGCCAGTGCCAGTGACCAGCGGGCGATGGTCTCTGGCTTGAGGGACAGGATGGAGGGGAGACTGTCTGAGGATGGACAAAGCTGGAGGGAAACAGCCAATTGCAAAGGCAGGAGGGCGGAAGGGGGAGGGGAGAGGTGGGATCAGCACTGGTATAGACAGGCGGTGCTGCAGCCCAGCTCCTCTCTCTCCTCTGCCTCCTGCCCTCAGGCCCCTTCGAAGGCCCGAATTACCACATCGCTCCCAGATGGGTGTACCACCTCACCAGTGTCTGGATGATCTTTGTGGTCATTGCATCCGTCTTCACAAATGGGCTTGTGCTGGCGGCCACCATGAAGTTCAAGAAGCTGCGCCACCCGCTGAACTGGATCCTGGTGAACCTGGCGGTCGCTGACCTGGCAGAGACCGTCATCGCCAGCACTATCAGCGTTGTGAACCAGGTCTATGGCTACTTCGTGCTGGGCCACCCTATGTGTGTCCTGGAGGGCTACACCGTCTCCCTGTGTGGTAAGCCAGTCGGGGCCCAGGCTCAGCGGAAACCACTCATTCACCCTGCAAGCCCCTCCGGCCACCTCATGATGATCGGGGCCCAGCTGCTCCTGTAGGCCTGTCTCCCTCCACATCTGCGCCTCACATCCATATACTGAAGGGTTCTGGAGGCTTCCATCTGAACACTCACATTAAATTCAGCTCCCTTGAGTCAAACATACCCTGAGTTCCTACTCTTGAGTCAGGCTCTGCCCGGGGACAGCCAGTTTGGAGCTGTGGGGCTGGTGTGGGAGGAGACAGATACAGAGCTAGACAACCCCAGAACAGTAGGGGGGCGGGGACTCTGGGCACCCTGGACAGAACTCCCCTGCAATTAGGGATGCCTGCTCTTTCAGCTCGCCAGCATCTGCTTTTCCCGGAGGAGACACAATTCCCAGATCCTCTCCCCATCCCCATCACTAATATCTCTGTGGGCCACTATTCCGCTCAGGTCAGGAGACAGTGGCCGAGAGGTACTAGCGTGCCAGGCTCTGTGCTAAGGAGGGGGCCCTATAGCCAGACGGCAACCACACAGTACCATCATCAGTCCTCTCAGACAAGAAGGGGCCTGGGGCAGGTGGTGGAGGAGCGGCTGGGAGCAGTTTGTGGTTCGAGTGGATAGAGTACCACCAAGCAGCCGTGGCTGCTGGACACGAGGTGGGCAGGCCCAGGTCTCAGAGGCCTCAGACGTCATGCCCAGGAGCTGGGACTTTCTTTCAGGAGGAGGAGACCCCACATCCAGCAGCAGCAGCTCCTGCTCTTGCCTCCCCACCACTCTTAGCAGCCTCCCCAACCCCACCCCGTTAACTGCCTCAAATTGTACCCACGATGGCCCAGACCAGAGAGGGTGCTTGTCCAAGTCCCGGCACTACCCCGATAGTGTAGAAGGGGAGCCAAGGGAAGGTCAGGCAGAGAAGGTCCATCCCCAGGTCCGAGTGCTCTCTGCAGCAGGCATGGCCTCGGTGGTCACACGACCCTTCCCGAGTGCCCCCCTGCATCTCCGCCCACGTCTGTCTCCGTTTCTGCCATGGTCTCCCGCTCACCCTTGCCTCTGCTCATGGTCTGTTCTTGGGTCAGTCAGGTGCCAAGCAGCCAGCACTTCCCCACCACTTTTGGTCCACGGATGCCCTTGGCCATCTGGGAAGCCTGTGGACCCCATCTCAGGAGAATTTTTGCAAACGCATAAAATGAGACCCATAGGATTACAAAGGCAGCAAATTATACTGAAATACAGTTATCAAAGTATTAAACATTCATCAGTAACATAGTCTTTAGTTAAAAGCATTTACTGGCCAGGCTCATACCTGTAATCCCAGCACTTTGGGAGGCTGAGGTGGGAGGACTGCTTGCCTCCAAGAGTTTGAGACCAGCCTGGGCAACATAGTGAGACCTCTTCTCTACAACAAATAAAAACAGCTGGGCGTGGTGGCACACCAGTAGTCCCAGCTACTCAGGAGGCTCAGGCGGGAGGATCGCTTGAGCTCTGGAGGTCAAGGCTGCAGTGAGCTATGATGGCACCACTGCACTCAGCCTGGGCAACAGAGTGAGATTCTGTCTCAAAAAGTAAATAAAAATAAAAGCATGTGTTAAACGTATTAGTGACACCACTCAGTATTAAGGTATTAAGTAACAGGATCCCGCCTGACAACCACTGTTATTTCAGAGTAGTGATGAACATAAGTGGTATTCGAACTCTCTGCCACCTCTATGAATTGACAGGAAAACATCTGTGACCTCTCTTGCTGACCGAGTCACGGGTACTGCTAATACTGCCACGTTCATAATGGAAGGAAATTTCCAGTGTCTGTTCGAGGTTGGTGGAAAGAAAGATGTCGTTTTTTCCACCTCAGTCCGTGGAGCCCTGAATTCTGTGTGCAGACGTTTGGGGTCTAAGCAGGACAGTGGGAAGCTTTGCTTCCCACCTTTGCTTTGGCTCAAAGCCCTCATCTGTCTGCTCTCCCCATAGGGATCACAGGTCTCTGGTCTCTGGCCATCATTTCCTGGGAGAGATGGATGGTGGTCTGCAAGCCCTTTGGCAATGTGAGATTTGATGCCAAGCTGGCCATCGTGGGCATTGCCTTCTCCTGGATCTGGGCTGCTGTGTGGACAGCCCCGCCCATCTTTGGTTGGAGCAGGTAAGGGTGCGAGGACGCAAGATGGAGTGGGCAGGGTCAGACTCTGTGACCTTAAGGCAAATCACTTCCTTTCTCTGGGCCCCTCTGAGCGTGCAATGTCTATCAATGTATGAATGTGGCTGCAACATAGGAAAGGCTCTGTGGTCCCCGAACCTCTGGAAACATATTTATCCCAAGCACGATCAGGTCACAGGCGCACACGGAGCTCAGGCCATCAGCACAGCTGTCAGTGAACGCATAGCGTGTTTGCATTCCAGGTCTCTTTCTTGCACACGCTGCCGCACCACGCCCCCCACCTTTCAGAGGCTGCTTGGGTCATAGATCCACCTGGGCCTACAGAGCACATGTCCTGGCCAGGCCAAGCAAGTGGCTCAAATGTTTGATTGGAGTGGACTGGGTGGGACAGCATTTCACTGTTTTATCGACAAGCTCGTGAATAAGTTCTCGTGGTGTTTGGAGAGGGAATGTTCTTTCCTCGAGAACGTTCCACAATTCTAGGAAACAAACCTTGTGGAAGCCTGTCTCTGTCTCCCGCCCTCCTCATGCCGCCATGCCCCACACAGCTGCCCGTTATCAAACATGTGTGGTGAGCTGACCCTGGTGGAGGCTCTCCCGCGGGTTATCTCATTTAATCCTCCAGGCCACTAAGTGAGCAGGGCCCTTTATTTCAGTCATGGCCTAGCTGACCTCAGATAAAAGACTCAGCTCTTCATGGGTGTTCTCAGAAGGTCAGGGCAAGAAGGAACCTCACAATCCCTTTGTAAAGAAGGGGAGTGATTGGGAAGATGAAAATGTCCTGGAAGCAGATAGTGGAGATGGTTGCACAGCATTGTGAATGTACCAAAGGTCACAATGGTACTTTTTTCTTTTTTTGAGACAGGGTCTCACTCTGTCACTCAGGCTGGCACAGTGCAGTGGTGTAATTATGGCTCACTGCAGCCTCCACCTCCTGGGCTCAAGTGATCCTCCTACCTCAGCCTCCTGAGGAGCTGGGCCTACAGGTGCACCACTTCACCCAGCTAATTTTTTTTATTTTTTGTAGAGACAAGATCTCACTATGTGATCCAGGCTAGTCTTGAACTCCTGGGCTCGAGCAATCCTCCTACCTCTGCCTCCAAATGTGCTGGGACTATAGGCGTGAGCCATTGTGCCTGGCCTATAATGGTACATTTTATGTGATGTGTATTTTACCACAATTCAAAAAGAAGAAAGGCATGACATCTAAAAATGGACAAGGATTAACCAAAATCCTACCCAACGGTTTTGTTTTGGGTTGATGAAAATGTTCTGGAAGCAGAGGTGGTGACTGCCACAGAATTGATCACTTCAAATTGGGTAATCTCATGCAACATGAATTTCACCTCAATTTAAAAAAACAAACCCCACCCGAGTTAGCACCGTGCCTGGGCCGGGGGTCCTGGGTCACCCCACCCTGCATCAGGACTGGCTGCCGGCCCTTCTCTCCAGGTACTGGCCCCACGGCCTGAAGACTTCATGCGGCCCAGACGTGTTCAGCGGCAGCTCGTACCCCGGGGTGCAGTCTTACATGATTGTCCTCATGGTCACCTGCTGCATCACCCCACTCAGCATCATCGTGCTCTGCTACCTCCAAGTGTGGCTGGCCATCCGAGCGGTAAGCCCCCCGATTCCTCCTGGCCTCACCCGCCTCCTGCCCCTAAGCTGCTCTGCCCTCAAATGAGTCCACTGAGACTCCTAAACTATTTTTCCAAAAATCCTTAGAGAAGAGGATTTTACCCCTATAAGAAAATATTAAGATCCAGCGATGAGAATCAGGTGATTCCTTTGGGACTGTACCAGTGGCTGCAGGTTCAGCCCCAGCCCCGTTGTCCTCAGCTCTGTGAGACGGGAAAGCACTGCCACTCCCTCCCTGGAGGAGTCCACTAAGGGAACAGAGGTGTGCCTTGCCCCGACCCTGGACAGTTCTCCCCGGGGTGGAAAGGCTGCCTTTCCCACAGAGTAGAGTGGAGCAGCCACATCAGCAAATGACACCTGCAAATCAAGGCGTGTTTTTATGAGGCTGCCACCGGAGTACCCTTGTCCTTTTCATAGGCTGTGGGGCCGACCAAGGAGTGGACCCGAGAGTGCCATTTGCCCCCCTGACCCACTCTCCACCTCCATGTCTGGCCCTCTGCCCTGGGAAGCTGATCCTGTCCACAGCCGTCACCCCCCACCCCTAGACTAGGCTACCACTGGGAGCCCTTCAGGAAGTCAGAGCAAGGGAGGAGAGCCAGGCTGGTTCTTTTCTGTTAGCAGTGGGAGCCCTTTCAGGGTGCTGGCTTTCCTATATGAAGCTGCCTGTGCCCACAATTGGATGGGCATGCCTGCCAAGCTCTCTCTAGAGGAGTCTGTGAGCCTGTGAAAGGCCCCCTCACCCCGTCACCTTGGGGTGAAGGCTCCCACAGGTACCCAACCATGGCTTCGGCTGTATTAGTCTGGGATGGTAGAGCCCCAGCTCCACAATGTGGCCCCGGCTCTGCTGTCTCAGCCATCCCTGCATTCCAGCCCTCACACTCCCTCTCTCATCCCCACTCATCTGCCTGCCGCCAGTCCCTCATCCCTGGCAGGTGGTGGCTGGCCTCTGGCCTCCCCCACAGTGCCTCTGCCTGGAGGCCATTCGTCTCCTTCCTCCCAGCAGGCATGAAGGAGCCACCCCACCAAAGCTGCCCTCAGCTGCCTCACCGTGAGTCCAGGGCAGGATTTAGTCCACAGAGTGGCCAACCTAGCCTAGGAAGCCTGAGGGAAGTGTATGCATTGCTCTGACACTCCCATCGCGCACCCCGCCAGCCACTGCTTTTGCCTCCCCCGCCATCTCCACCTTGTTAACTCCTTCATTCTCCACGCCCAGTCATCAATCAAATCAGGCCTCCATGCTCAGGCCTGAGCGCAGGACAGGACAGTCTGTTAAGGGATCAGGTGAAGCAAAGGAGCTTGTTAGATCCAGCTCTGGGGTCATCTTAGGCCACACCTAGCTGCATGCCACCTCCAATTCTAGAACTCCCCCAGGGCCAGCCTGAGGCAGCCATGTCTGCCTGGGGCCGGCTGTGCTCCACTCAGGGCTGGAAGATGGCTGCTGGGCTCCTCTCCTCCTCCCCACAACTCCCTATGCCTGGGTCACCTGCCTCTTGCTGCCCTCCAACCCCCGACTCACTATCCCTGTCTCCCTTAGGTGGCAAAGCAGCAGAAAGAGTCTGAATCCACCCAGAAGGCAGAGAAGGAAGTGACGCGCATGGTGGTGGTGATGGTCCTGGCATTCTGCTTCTGCTGGGGACCCTACGCCTTCTTCGCATGCTTTGCTGCTGCCAACCCTGGCTACCCCTTCCACCCTTTGATGGCTGCCCTGCCGGCCTTCTTTGCCAAAAGTGCCACTATCTACAACCCCGTTATCTATGTCTTTATGAACCGGCAGGTAAGCAACACCATCAGCAGATCCCACTCAAAATACCGTGTGCCCTAGAAGGGTGCAGCGATGGCCCCACCTGGAATCATGTCTCTGATAAGAAGCCCGCGGAGCATCTGGGGGACCCTCCAGGGAAATGACCGGGAAAGGCTCAGCGTGTGACCCAGCCCCAGCCAGAGCTCCGGCTGGCCCTTAGCAGAAGGCTTAGGTGTGCCCTCTGGAATCCTTTATAGTCTCGGCCTGAGGGTGGCATTTCCCAAAGCGTCTGTGTGCCGTGCGCTCTTCCCTTCCGGTGGCCCTAGAACTATGGCTGCCGAGCTTCAGGGGCTCTCCTGGCGTTCAGACGCTCTAGGAGTTGGTGAGCCCTAGGTACATCCACCCTAGGTGTGCCCCTCTTCTGTTCAGACTCGACCCTTCTCAACCTTCATCTCTCCATTTTCAAACCGTAACCTCTGGAATTTGTCTTCCTATAAGAACAAAAGCCGGCCCTCCTTGGCTACACTGACCAAGAGTTCAAGAGCTTTCACGAGTTTGTGGGTTAGTTCAGGGGGGACGTGCTGTGGTCCTGCCCAGAGGCAGCCTCCTTAGCTGGCATATTGGGCCTCAGCAGCAAGCTGCTCACACACCTAAATCCCCCCACCTCCTGCAGGTTACAGGCTTCATTAAAGCGCAGCTGTGATGTGACTTGATGGTGGCCAGAAAGGTGTGCAGAGGCCTCCCATTTCACCAGGCCCAGTCCATCCCTTCCACTGGGCTCTTCCTTGCTTCTCCATCTTAGAGCCACTCAATGGCTCCAGCCCCTTTGGCTCAGCTTTGACTCACACAAGCCAAGTCTGCAGAGTTCATTAAGGGTTCATTCTCTCTGGTAACTTTTAAATAGTAAGTAGGACCAGGCCTGCAGTGGATTTCCGGGAACTCGCTGTAGCACACTGATGCCCAGAGTGTAGTTCTATCCCTGACCCCTGTTTCCTGACTTTCATGAGGATCTTTTTTAGGTTTCTGGAATCCTAAACTATCTTGCCAAGTACTGTCTTTACTGGATTATTTCCATTCTCCTTTCCAGAACTCCCCCTGGACAGGGGGAGACAGATGTCTGCACTTCTGGACCTCACCAGGCCTCGAACTTTGCTTTTACCCTTTCCACATAATTATCCTGTCCTGCCACATTCTGAGAGAATTTTCTGGAACGCAGTTCCATGAAGACAGCAAATTTTGCTCAGGACAGAGTCTGGCACACAGTGGGTGCTCAAGCAGCAGCTGCTGAATGGATTCCTCAGCCCTATCTCCCAGCTCTTCAGCCGAGCTGATTCTGCTGTTTGTCCCGTTTCTTATGTTATTAATTTCAACCATTATATTTTTTATTTTTGAGAGTTTTGATGATAGAGGGAGTTAGAGCTAGTCAAGAGTAGGCCTGAAATATTTAGAAAATGCCTTTGGTCTGGGTCCTCAAAGCATTGTGGTTACTTCAGGGATGACACAGGACATGATTTGAGACATTCATATGGCCCAGATCTCTTTGGGGTGAAGCAGCAAAGACAGACCCCTCCTGGTACCGGAAGACGCTTGGCTGGAGAGATGAGGTAGGGGCTAGATTGTCATTACCTAGGCCTCACCTTGCCCCAGATCCATGGACTGGAAAAAACATGACAACCACATGCCTTTTCATTAATATTCCTCCGAGCCGCTCACCAGACAGTCTGGGGACAGGTCACCACTGCCCCTTAGCTGTCACTGTGGATGAGTGTCATGGGGCTGCCGTCACAAACTACCACAAACTCAGTGGCTTCAAACCACAGAAATGGATTCTCTCAGGGTTCTGGAAATCTTGAGTCTGAAATCAGGGTGTTGGCAAATGGAAAGGTTCCCTATGGAGGCCGGGAGGGAGAAGCAGCTGCAGGGCTGCCGGCAGTCTTTGGCGTTCCTTGACTCCAAGGTGTGTCACCCCAGTCTCTGCCTTCATCTTCACGTGGCCTTCTTCCCTCTGTCTGCGTGTCCGTGTCCAAGCGTTCCTTTTCTTATCAGGACACCAGTCATTCGATTAGGGCCCACCCTGCTCCAGTGTGACCTCATCTTAACCTGAACACATCTTTTGGGGGACCCACTTCAACCCAGTGTAGTCACCATCAACTGCTAAGTCAGATGACATCCCCGCGTGTGAGGGAGAAATAATCCAAGCCTTCCTCCATCCCCCATGGGATTCGGAATGGGTGAAGGGAAGGCTCGGGCACGTACATTCAGCACAGTGCTCCACCCTTCCCTGCTCTGCTCAATAACGCTTTCTGTCCTTCCAGTTTCGAAACTGCATCTTGCAGCTTTTCGGGAAGAAGGTTGACGATGGCTCTGAACTCTCCAGCGCCTCCAAAACGGAGGTCTCATCTGTGTCCTCGGTATCGCCTGCATGAGGTCTGCCTCCTACCCATCCCGCCCACCGGGGCTTTGGCCACCTCTCCTTTCCCCCTCCTTCTCCATCCCTGTAAAATAAATGTAATTTATCTTTGCCAAAACCAACAAAGTCACAGAGGCTTTCACTGCAGTGTGGGACCACCTGAGCCTCTGCGTGTGCAGGCACTGGGTCTCGAGAGGGTGCAAGGGGGATAAAGAGGAGAGAGCGCTTCATAGACTTTAAGTTTTCCCGAGCCTCATGTCTACCGATGGCGTGAAAGGATCCTGGCAAAACAGAAGTGTGAGGCAGGTGGGCGTCTATATCCATTTCACCAGGCTGGTGGTTACATAATCGGCAAGCAAGAGCTGTGGAGGGGCTTGCTGGATGCCCTCAGCACCCAGGAGGAGGGAGGGAGCTAGCAAGCTAAGGCAGGTGGCCCTCCTGGCCCCTTAAGGTCCATCTGCTGGAGGCCCAGAGTCCTTGGAGTACAGTCTACACCTGGAGGGGACCCATTCCTGCCAGTCTGTGGCAGGGATGGCGCGCCACCTCTGCCAGGCCAGGACCCCAAGCCCGATCAGCATCAGCATGGTGCAGGTGCACAGGCGTGAGCTGATCAGTGACGAGGGGCAGGCACACAAGGTGGAGACAAAGACCAAGAGGACGGTTGCCAGTGAGAGGCGCGGACTCAGGAACTTGAACAACATCTGCGGGGGACGGCTTTGGAGGTGCTCCGCTGCCTCCAGTTGGGTGACTTGCTGTAGCATCTCCAGCTTGGATATTCGGCTCTTGAAGGTCTCCGTGATCTCCTGCAGGAGACGAAAATGCACGCACCAGAAGTCAGCACAGAGTTGTGGTCGTTTATTGAGTTCTTAGGGGTGAGCAGAAAGCACTGTGGAGTGGGTATTCGAGGAGGGAAGCAGAGAGCCTAGAGCACATTCAGGGCAGAGGGGAGGGCGCAGGCTCTCCAGCAACAGGGAAAGCTTCATCTGACCCGGCTGCACTCCCCCATCCACTGTCTCCCGAAGCTGAGGACCTGGTCAAGACACAGCTACCCAGGGACGGGGGTGGGCGCTATGGGAATGGAAAAGTGAGGAGAGGGAAGCCAGGTCTAAGGAGGGGTTCTGAGAGGGCGCTCCCTACACCTGCAGCCGCAGCAGAAGCAGCTCCACCCCAGATCTCCCGAGTCAGAGGCTCACGGGTGAGCACTGCAGCACCAGAGTGGCAAAAGCAGCTAAGCCAGATGGTGGGAAGCGGAGCGTGAGTGTAAAGATCAGATGCTGCTAGCTCTGAAACAAATGTGTGTGGCCATCGAACCCTCAGGAGGGGGCAGCTCGAGGACCCGTGTCTTGCTTTGGTTTGGGGGTATCAGAATAGATTCGCTCATCCCTCCAGTCTTCTTGCAAGGCTCCCCCAGGAGGTTCTCACCCATATTTCCTTGGCTCTCTCATAGGATAGATAGGCCATTCTCTCTTCGCTGCAGGCCAGATTGTGTTTGAGGTTGTAAATCTCATTCAGCTGTCCCTGCAGGCGACCATTCACCTGTTCTTCCATCAATGCTTGCCTTGGGAGCAAAAGAGAAAGTGAGATTCCTTCAGTACCTCATCCAGAGCTCATGCCAACAGCGAGCGGTCCTGACCTAGACTAGATTCGGGTTCAGCTTCTGCCTTCCTCCCCGCTCCCCAGGCTCTAGGGAAAGCCTGCCTCCCACTCCAGGTCTGCCTGGGAACACCCCAAACACACACCAGCCACACGCACACCAATATTCATATATATTTTATATGTAGTTACTCTTTTGTAACAGCTTTACAAAAATAGCCACAGACTAGAAGTTGTAGAAATGACAGTGTGAACTATCTGTGTGTGCTCTTCAGTTCCGCAAATCCCCCAGGACCAGTGTTGAGCACGAAGTCTAGCCTGCAGTTTAGCCTGCAGTTACTCTATAGAAACATGGTGACTATAAGGATTGAAAAGCCACAAAAGACCACAGATTCCAGTACAATTCCATTAGTTACGAAATGTCCAGAATAGGCAAATCCATAGAGACAGAAAGCAGATTAGTGGGTGCCAGGGGCTGGGGGTGGGGGATGGGCAGTGGCTGCTAATGAGTACAGGGTTGCTTTGGGGCTGGTGAAAATATTGTAGGACCGGGCACGGTGGCTCACGCCTGTAATCCCAGCACTTTGGGAGGCCAAGGCGGGCGGATCATGAGGTCAGGAGATCGAGACCATCCTGGCTGACACGGTGAAACCCCGTCTGTACTAAAAATACAAAAAAAATTAGCCGGGCGTGGTGGCGGACGCCTGTAGTCCCAGCTACTCGGGAGGCGGAGGCAGGAGAATGGCGTGAACCCGGGAGGCGGAGCTTGCGGTGAGCAGAGTTCACACCACTGCACTCCAGCCTGGGCGACAGAGCGAGACTCCGTCTCAAAAAAAAAAAAAAGAGAATATTGTGGAATTAGATAGTGGTGATGGTTGAACAACTCTGTGACTATACGAAAAACCAGTGAATTGTACACTTTAAATTGGTGAATTTTATGGGATGTGAATTATATCTCAATAGAGCCGTTATTTAAACAAAAAGAGAAAAGTGAATCATGGCAATAGTTGCGCAACTCAGTAAATTTACTAAAAACCATTGAAATGTAGTTAAAATGGTGCATTTTATAATATGTAAATTATATCTCAATAGAGCTGTTAAAAAACCACAAGCAGGCCAGGCGCAGTGGTTCACAGTTGCAATCCCAGCGCTTTGGGAGGCCAAGGCAAGGGGATTGTTTGAGGCCAGGAGGAATTCAACACCAGCCTGGGCAACACAGTGAGACCCTGTCTCTACAAAAAAAATTTTTAATTATCTGGGTGTGGTGGCACGTGCCTGTAGTCTCAGCTACTCTGGAGGCTGAGGCAGGAGGACCTCTTGAGTCCGGGAGTTCGAGGCTGCAGTGAGCTGCCATCACGCCACTGCACTCCAGCCTGGGCAGCAGAGTGAGACCCTATCTCTAAAAGAAAACAATCACTACCTGTTGTGTATATAATTATATAAGTAGTAAAAGTATAAAACCATGCATGGAAAAGATAAGCACCCAAATGAGAATGGTGAGGCCAGTATAGCAAGGCCAGAATAGCAAGGAAGGGAGATGGTGCTGGAAAGGGGTAATGAGGGCTTCAACAGAATATTTTAAAGTTTTATTTCCTAAAAAAATAAGATTTGAAGTGAATATGGCAAATGTTAAGATTTCAGAAAGCTGGGGCTGTTAATTATGTTATCCTTACATTTTCCCTTTGCTTGAAATACTTCATAATTTAAAAACTTCTATGAAGTTCCCCTTTTGGCACCACAAAGAACGGGCCAGAAGGACAGAGGCCAGGGGGCCAGTGAGGGGGCTCTGGCACCACCGCTTACGTAGAAGAGAGAAGGCACCAGAGCGTGATGGAACCCATAGACTGGCAGGGCTGCCGCCCCAGGAGGCCCAGGAGGGTGGCGGCAGGCCTCAGGTGCAGGAGGTCTAAACGGTGGTGCTGACAGAGACGGGGAAAACAGTGACGACTTCTATTCGGTCCCACTCCAAGGACTTGACCAACACCCACACGGAGAAATCCCCCGGGCACTGAATAAGCTGACAGCTCATTTGTTGAAAGCCAATTTGTCAAAAGCTGGTTCCTCGCAGCATTTCAAGGAATATTCCATTTGTCTCTGCCCCAGGTCCCTGTTAAGAAGAGAGTCGGTGGACAACATGGACTAGGCCACTGCTCACAGAGAGGGGGAGTGGGTCGGCAGGATGGTCACCCCGAAAATAGATTCCTCATTACTGTCTTTCCATTTACATGAATGATCTAGCTGTGAGAACATTCAAGATTTTAACTGTCCTCAGGAATATGAAGTCAATCTTCATCAATGTATTGGTAAAGATACATGAAGATATTCTTCAGTGCATTCTTGAAGAGTCTCTTCAGATGTCAGTAAACAATATTTTCATAAGGATATTCTCTCAGTCTCCCCTTCTCTCTGGCCCCCATCTCCTGGCCCTCTGGCAGCCGCGCTCCCTTCTCTTCCTTGGTCAAGGACCCCCCTCTCTCCACCTCCTACAGTCACAGAAGCAAATGGACAACTCTGGAGAATGCTCTTATGAACACAAAACGATGACCAGTCAACCCAGACACCCTCAAGACAGACCGAAGGTGTTAAGACCACCCTCTCCAACACAAAGTGTTCTAAACTTTATTGTTTTTTTCAAAATAGTGTTGTTGTTTTTTTTTTTTGAGACGGATCTCCTTCTATTTGCCCAGGCTGGAGTGCAGTGGCACGATCTTGGCTTGCTGCAACCTCCGCCTCCCGGGTTCAAGTGATTTTCCTGCCTCGGCCTCCTGAGTAGCTGGGACTACAGGTATGCGCCATCATGCCGGGCTAATTTTTTGTATTTTTAGTAGAGACAGGGTTTCACCATGTTGGCCAGGCTGGTCTCCAACTCCTGACCTCAGGTGACCCGCCTGCCTCGGCCTCCCAAAGTGCTGGGATTACAGGTGTGAGCCATTGGGCCCAGCCAGAAAGAGTATATTCTTGGTCATTTCTGAGAATTTGCTTTTGGCAAATTGAGCTAGAGCCTAATCATGGCCCACAACTTGGAGGAAAAGTCTGAGACGGAGAAACAGCTGTAGGAGGGGTCAATAGCCCAGGTGCAATCGGTGCATGTGGCCAGGATGGATGAGCTCACTCTGAGCAAATGTGCCAAAGCAAGGGGCCCTGGGGAGCTGGGGGAAGAGCCAACAAAACAGAAGCGAAAGCAGGAGGAAATTCGCCAGGACGGCTCACACAGGAACCCAGAGGATGTAGGGATACAGTGGAAAGGTTGAACATACATGTAACTGGGGCCTTAGAAGGGGAAAAATGAGAGACTAGGGCAGAGTCACTATTTGAAAATATAATGGCTGAAAACGTCCAAAACTGACAAAAGACATCAAGCCATAAACCCAAGTAGCAATGCGAAGCCCAAGCAGGATGAATGCAAAGAAAATCACACCAAGGGGAGAGTCAGCGGCACAAAAAAGAAGAGAGAAAGAAAATCACGCCAAACATCATCATAGCAAAACCACTAAACAACAAAGAAAAACAAAAGATCTTAAAAGGAGCCTGAGGAAAACAAAACTGTGATCCGAGGAGCAACAAGAAGACTGGCAGCTGCCTTTTCAACAGAAACCATGGAAGTCAGAAGGGAATGATTTGTTCAAAATGCTTATTATTTCCAAAAATTAAGTGCCAACTTAGAATTCTATGTCCAGCAAAAAATATCCTTCAGGGCCGGGTGTGGTGGCTCACGCCTGTAATCCCAGCACTTTGGGAGGCCGAGGCAGGCAGATCACGAGGTCAGGAGTTCAAGACCAGCCTGGCCAACATGGTGAAACCCCGTCTCTACTAAAAATACAAAAACTAGCCGGGCGTGGTGGCACATGCCTGTAATCCCAGCTACTGAGGAGGCTGAGGCAGGGGAATCGCTTGAACCTGGGAGGCAGAGGTTGCAGCGAGCCGAGATCTCACCATTGCACTCCAACCTGGGTGACAGGGTGAGGCTCTGTCTCACAAAAAAAAAAAAAAGAATTCCTTCAGAAATAAAAAGGAATGATGGCATGTGTGAGGCAATAAGGTGACAGTGACTGCATATTTAACATTGTGGACTTGTTTTAAAACATTTTTGGTATGGTATTTAGGCTATGTTAACAAAATGATCCATATTTCAGGTTCACACTGAAATATTTACAGATGAACTGATATAATGTCTGTGCTTTGCTTCAACGCAATAGGGATGAGAGGAACCAGTTCAGAGAGCAGATCAGACCTTAGGTCAGACCTCCTCAGAGATCCCAAGATGCAGGATGCTGTGACATGGAGGAGAAGTCGGGGAAAAAATGGAAGTTAACACGACCCCAGCCTGCAACAAAGCCCTAAGCAGATACCTTGAGGAAAGTCAGCCCGAGGCTGGATCCCTGGGGCTGAGAGGTCACAGAGCAACACTGAAGCCTCTAGGAACCATAGCCTGTTATCTCCAAGCCTCGTCTGAAAGCGAAACATACCAGAACAGTCTTGGGACAGAGGAGCTAGGGTCTGGATGCCCCCAAGGACCTCGTGTCCAGGAGGGAAAGAAAAACATGGAGACCTGGCATATTCACTTCCGGGCGTTTTCAATATGACAGGAGGCTATAAGAAAATTTCACGACTGCCCACTTGTGGATACAGCCAGAAATACAAAGCAAGAGTGAAAGTTTTGCCTACTCGGCACCTGAGTAGCTTCTTTTTTATTCAATTTTTATTGAGGTAAATTTCATGTAACATAAAATGAATTATTTTAAGGTGAACAATTCAGCGGCATTTAGCACATGTGGTGTTGTGCAACCACCATGGCTATTAATAGTTCCAAGACATTGGCCGGCTGCAGTCATGCCTGTAATCCCAGCACTTTGGGAGGCCGAGGCGGGCGGATCACGAGGTCAGGAGATCGAGACCATCCTGGCCAACACGGTGAAACCCCGTCTCTACTAAAATATGCAAAAATTAGCTGGGCGTGGTGGTGCATGCCTGTAATCTCAGCTACTCAGGAGGCTGAGACAGGAGAATCACTTGAATCCGGGACGCAGAGGTTGCAGTGAGCTGAGATCAAGCCACTGCACTCCCTCCAGCCTGGGCAGCAGAGCAAGACACCACCTCAAAAAAAAAAAAAAGCCATTAACAACTTTCTTTCTTTCTTTCTTTCTTTCTTTCTTTCTTTCTCTTTTTCTTTCTCTCTCTCTCTCTCTCTCTCTCTCTCTCTCTCTCTCTCTCCCTCTCTCTCTCTCTCTCTCTCTCTCTCTCCTCTCTCTCTCTCTCCTCTCTCTCTCTCTCTCTTTCTGTTTTTTTTTTTGAGACAAGTTCTCACTCTGTCCTCTATCACCCAGGCTGGAGCACAGTGGCACAATCATAGTTCACTGCAACATAAAACTCTCGGGCTCAAGCGATCCTCCTGTCTCAGCCTCCCATGTAGCAGGGACTACAGGCATGTGCCACCAAGTCCGGTTAACACTTTTAAAATTTTTTGCAGAGATATGGTCTCACTTTGTTACCCAAGCTGGTCTCAGACTCCTGGGCTGAAGCAATCCTCCTGCCTCGACCTCCCAAAGCACTGGGATTACAGCCATAAGCCACCACATCTGGCCCCATTTTTCTTTACGATCTTTCAAGGACTTAGTTTGCACATAGGAAGCAGAAAGGAATTGTAAATTCAGTTCCATCAGCATCTACTTGGGGCTTACACACAAGTATTAATTAATTCTCACAACAGTTCCAACAATAGTGGGATCATTTTTACCTCCATGTTACAGATGTGGAAACTGAGGATTGCAAACTTGAAGCACCTCGTCCAAGGTCATTCAGTAAATACCTTGCAGAGAGGAGGCTGGGCCAGGCCTAAATCCAGAATCAGCCCTCCTGGCCCTGCCCTGATGTTCCCAAGACACAGCAGATAGAGTTCTGACATACATGGAGGAGGGAGGCAGCCCAGAGGGCGAGCTGGGTCCCTTCAGGAAGGGAGGAAAAGCAGCATCCAGACTGATCCATGAAACAGGTACTCACAGAACAGCCATCATGTGCCAACATGTCTTTGGGCAGTCACTCAGACACAGTGGCCGACCTGAATGTGCTGATATTTTGACGAGAACAATACAACACAAATGAATACCTACACAAGGGAGAGCAGTTTAGGCGGTGAGTGCTGCGAGAAAGGAAAAAGTAGGGGAGTGACAAAGACTGGTCCGGAGTATATAAAGAGCTCTGACAACTCAACAATAAAAAGACAATCCAAGTTGAAAACAAGCCAAAGACTTATTGGCTGATAAGCACATGAAAAGGGGTTCAGCATCATTAATCGTCAGAGGCAGGGTCACACACCCACTAGTCTCATGGGCTAGGATACTGGTTCTCAACCAGGGGCAATTTGCCGGCCCCCCCCTCCCCAAACAAGGGACATTTGGCAATCTCTGGACAGACATTTCTGGTTGTTACAAATAGGTGGGGCACGGTAGGCTAAAATTGCCCCCCTAGGCTGGGCACGGTGGCTCACATCTGTAACCCCAGCACTTTGTGAGGCTGTGGTGGGCAGATTACCTGGGCTCAGGAGTTCAAGAACACCCTGAGCAACAGGGTGAAACCCCGTCTCTATGAAAAATACAAAAAAATTAGCTGGGTGTGGTGGCACGCGCTTGTAGTCCCAGCTACTTGGGAGGCTGAGGCAGGAGAATTGCTTGAACCCAGGAGGCGGAGGTTGCAGTGAGCCAAGATCGTGCCACTGCACTCCAGCCTGGGTGACAGAGAGAGACTCTGTCTAAAAAAGAAAAAAACAAAAAGCCCCTCCGCAAAAGATATCTGTGTCATAATCCTTGGAAACTGTGAATGTTACCTTCTATGACCAAAAAAGGGGGCTTTCCAGAAGTGGTGAGTTTAAGGGTATTGAGATGCAAAGATTATCCTAGATTATCCTGGTGGCCCTAAATGCAATCACATGTATGAGAGAGAGGCAGAAGGACATTAGACACACACAGACGAGAATGTCATGTGAAGACAGAACACAGGTTTGAAGATGCTGGCCTTCAGGACAGGAATGATGTGGCCACAAAATTAAGGAATTTGGCAGCCACCAGAAACTGGAAGAGGCAAAGATCAGTTTGTCCCCTAGAGCCTCCAATGAGTGTGTGTCCTCCTCGCCTGATTTCAGCCCAGTGAAACGGATTTCGGCCTTCTAGCCTCCAGGACTGCGAGAGAATAACTTTCTATTATTTTAAGCCATGAAGTTGGGGGCAATTTGTCACGGCAGCATCAATTAATTCACGGCACCACTGGCATCAAGTAAGTGGAGACCAGGGATGCTGCTCATCATCCTAGAATGTACAGGACAGCCCCGCACAACAGAGAATCATTCGGTCCAAAATGTCGACAGTGCCAAGGTCGAGAGAACATGGGCTAGGGTGATGAAATTTTGGAGTCTAATTTCACCAAGTTGTGGCTGAACTTAAGAGGCTGACATTTAAAAGACTGATCTTGCCAAACGTTGGCAACTGGAACTCTTATACACTCCTAGCGGGACTGTAAAATGGTATAGCCATGTCGGAAAACAGTTCCTCTTTTTTTTTTTTTTGAGATGGAGTTTCACTCGTTGCCCAGGCTGGAGTGCAATGGCACGATCTCGGCTCACCGCAACCTCCGCCTCCTGAGTTCAAGCGATTCTCCTGCGTCAGCCTCCCGAGTAGCTGGGATTACAGGCATGTGCCACCACGCCGGGCTAATTTTGTATTTTTAGTAGAGACAGGGTTTACTCCATGTTGTTCAGGCTGGTCTCGAACTCCCGACCTCAGGTGATCCGCCTGCCTCAGCCTCCCAAAGTGCTGGGATTACAGGGGTGAGCCACCGCGCCCGGCCTTCCTCTTTCTTAAAAAGTTAAGCATACTGCTATGGGGTACATGTCCCCCCCAAAACTCGTGTTGAAATTTAATGGCCATGTGATGGTGTTAAGGGGTGGGACTGGTAAGAGGCGATTAATATTAATATTGTTATCATGAAAGTTTGGCCCCCGCTCGCTCTCTCACGCCCTCTTGCCCTTCTGCCTTCCGCCATAGGATGATGCCGTACAAAGGTCCTCACCAGCTGCCAGCGCCTTGACATTGAACTTCCTTTCTTTATAAACCACCCAGCCTGCGGTACTCTGTTACAGCAACAGAAAGTGGGACTAAGACACATAACACTTCCCTGTTATCTAGCAATTCCATATATGAAAGCATATGTTCACAGAAAGACTTGTGCGAGAACGTTCATAGCAGCTTTATTCAGTCGCCCCAACTGGCAGCGGACCAGGGCATAAGCAACCTGCGGCGTCTCCATGCAATGGAAGGCTGCCAAGCAATACGAAGCCATGAGCTACTCACTTCACACAGCTTGGGTGGATCTCAAAACAATTCCACGGAGCGAAAGCCGCCAGACACAAAGCACTGCGTGCCGTGCGATTCCACTTACGTGAAGTTCAAAAGGAGATGAAGCTAGAGTGACAGAAACCGGAACAGTGGCCAATTATGGGAGACGGGCATTCACTGGAAGAGGGTATGAGGGTACTTTCTGGGGTGGTGGCAAAGCTCTTTATTGGGATTTTAGCTGCCCAGGTGTAAACCTTTGTCAAAACTCGTTAAACTGTATGCCTAAACTTAAATGCAATTTCACTGCATAAAATTTACCTCAAAAAGGCCAGGCGCGGTGGCTCACTCCTGTAATCCCAGCACTTTGGGAGGCCGAGGCAGGTGGATCGCCTGAGGACAGGAGTTCGAGACCAGCCTGACCAACATGGAGAAACCCCATCTCTACTAAAATTACAAAATTAGCCAGGCGTGGTGGTGCCTGCCTGTAATCCCAGCTACTCGGGAGGCTGACGCAGGAGAATCGCTTGAACTCAGGAGGCGGAGGTTGCAGTGAGCCGAGATTGCGCCATTGCACTCCGGTCTGGGCAACAAGAGCAAAACTCCATCTAAAAAAAACAAAAAAACAAAAACTTTACTTCAAAAAACCCCGCTTCCAAAAGAATAAAAGAAGAGGCCATTTGAACGTGGTAGCCTGGGAAGTCCCTTTGAGGAGAGGACATCAGAGCAGAGCCTAAAGGACAAGCTGAGTGTGGGAGTTTCCTCTGGCTGCCATCACAAAGCGTTACAAACTTTGAGTGGCTTTCCCAGCAGAGATGGCCTCTCTCCTGGCTGGGGGTCCAGCAGTCCGAGAGGAAGGCCCAGGCTGGGCGGGCTCCTGCCGAGGACCGAGAAGGCGCCTCCACTCGGGGCCTCTGTCCCAGCTTCTGCTCTGCTGCCCACCTGCGGGCTTCCTTGGCTTCTGCCACGGCAGGTCGGCCTCAGCCTCTGTCTCCACACGGCGCTCTCCCTCTGGGTGTGTCCGTGTCTCCGTCTCCCCTTTCTGTCAGGACACAGGTCACACTGCATTAGGGCCCACCCCTCTGCAGAATGACCTCATCCAGATCTAACTCATCACGTCCGCAACGACCCTGTTTCCAAATAAGCCGGTTCCTTGTCACCAAGTGGAGCCTTCAATGAGTTGATGCCAAGGCAGGTCTAGGGAACTAGAAATGGGGCAAGAAGCAATGTCCTCCAGCCAGGTGTGGTGGCTCACACCTGTAACTCCAGCACTTTGGGAGGCCGAGGCGGGTGGATCGCTTCAGGTCAGGAGTTCGAGACCCCTGGTCAACATGGCGAAACCCCATCTCTACTGAAAAATACAAAAAGTAGCCAGGCATGCTGGCGTGTGCCTGTAATCCCAGCTACTCGGGAGGCTGAGGCAGGAGAATCGCTTGAACCCGGGAGGTGGAGGTTGCAGTGGGCCGAGATCGTGCCACTGCACTCCAGCCTGGGGGACAGAGTGAGACTCCATCTCATAAAAAAGACAAAAAAAAGAAGCAATGTGCTCCTCACAGTCGGGTTTTCTCCCAGGACCATTTTACTCATCCAACAAAGAACAAAGATGTCCCAGCAACCCATCTACCCCAGGCATTGACCACTCGGGCTACAAAGGTGAAGGAGGAGGGTGGGGCTGGGCAGGCTGGGACTGGCTATGGACCCCAGAGAGTAAAGATGGTTTTGCTGGCACCATACCCCCAACTCCAGGACTTGTCCATGCCCTGTCTACGGGGCCAAGACTGAAACCTGACTGCCTTTCACCATCAAGCAGAAGTCAGCTGCGCATCCTGTAAGAGATGGGGAAGGACCCCCAAGACCCTCCCAGAGCCCCCTGGCTCATTAGGAGGCTAGAGGGGGCCTCCTGCAACTCTGCATGCAAGGTGCCCAGATGAGACCTGGCCAGTCGAGACTTTTACTTGAAGGCTCCCCATGCCTTCCTGGGGTGCCATCTCTTCTACCAATGAACATTTTCTGAGTTTCTCAAGCCTTCTTTCCTCCTGACCCACGAAGAAACTGAGGGACCGGGGCCTTCTGGTCCCCCAGGAGACTGGCTTGTGCTGAGGAGGTAGGCCGCTCACTGTGCATCTTCTCGGAGATCTGAAGCTCCTCCTATTTCCACAAGAAAGAAAGGGAAGCTTGGCAAAGACCCTTCCATCCAGAATCATCAAGTTCGCGACGCCCGTGCTTCTCCTCAGCACACAGAGAGGAGAGTTACCAGGGGCCTCAAGCAACTCCAGCGGAAGCAGTCACAGTCCTTCCAGGACCCAGGAACGTCCTCTGCAAGGACCTACAAACCCAGACCTCATGAAGGAGGAGACCCCAGGGCCAGCCCCAAGCCTCCTGAGTCTAATTGTTGCTGTGATAGAGACCCTGCACGTCGCAGAATCAAAAAGAATATATTGTGGGTTTTTTTTTTTTTACCACAATCAATTAAAAAATGCATTAAAAAGTAAGAACTGTCCAGGCACAGTGGCTCACATCTGTAACCCCAGTACTTGGGGAGGCCGTGGCCAGGTGTTCAAGACCAGCCTGGGCAACATAGCAAGATCCCATCTCTACAAATAATAATAATTTTTAAAAAGTTAGCCAGGCATGGTGGCACATGCTTTGTACTCCCAGCTACTCGGGAGGCTGAGGCAGGAAGATCGCTTGAGCCCGGGAGTTCAAGGCTGTAGTGAACTATGACTGCATGCAGCCTGGGCAACAGAGACCCTGAAGAAAAAGAAAGAAAGAAAGAGAGATAGAGAGAGAGAGAGAGAGACAGAGAGAAAGGAAGAAAGAGAAAGAGAGAAAGAAAAAGAAAGAAAGAGAGAGAGAGATGGAAAGAAAGAGAGAAAAAGAAAAAGAAGAAAGAAAGAAAGAAAGAAAGAACTTTTGCCTATCCAAAGACTCAGGAAAAATAAAAAAGAAAGCCAGCCCTCATAATGAGATACCACTTCACAGTTACATCTGTTGGAAAAAAAAAAAAAGGATAACAACAAATGTTGGCAAGGATGTGAGGCAACTGGAAGCCTTCTGCATTGCTGGTGGGAAGATGGAGCTGCGCGGCTGCTGTGGGAAGACTCCTCTAAACGCTACACCTGGAGTCACCACGGGGTCCAGCAATTCTACTCCTGATTATAGACCCCAAAGAATTGAAAACTGGTGTTCAAACAACTGGCATGTATCTGAGTGTTCAGCGCAGGGCTTCTCACAATAGCCAAAAGGTGGAAACAACTCAAATCTCCATCCACTGATGGACAGATAAACAAAATGTGGTCTACCCATGCACTGGAATATTAGTCAGCCGTCAAGAGAATGAAGTACTGATACGTGCTACAACATTAGTGAACCTTGAAAACAGTGAAAGGAGCTAGACACAAAAGCCCACATATCGTATGGTCCCATTTATATGAAAAGTCCAGAAGAGGCAAACCCACGGAGACAGAAAGCAGATTAGGGAACGCCTGGAGCCGAGGCTAGGAGTGACCGTGTAGTGAGTCTGGAGGTCTCCTTCTGGGGTGATGAGAATGTTAGACAACCGGACAGAGGTGATGGTTGAACCACACTGCAGATGTACTTAATGCACTGAATTACATGCTTCCAAATGGTTAATTTCACATTACGTGAAATTATGTGAATTCTACATCAATTTTTTTAAGTAAGCCCTTGTCATAAATGCGTTTAATACAGTTGCTGCCTCAGCATCCAACTTTAGCAGTTGTACCCTGTCACCTTTGCCCTAGATAACACCCCTCCCTCCCTGTCATGTGATTGTTTGCGACATAGCCCACGTGGTCCTCGCCTCACTGACCCAAAACCCAACACATCCCACGGCTGCTGACCACGATAAGACCTAATGCTCAACACCAGAGTCATGTAAATCAGTTTCCTCCTCGTGCATGTTTTCTTTAAACCAGCCAATCCACAACCCCCGCAGGAAAGCCTGTGGGATCACTTCACACCCTGTGACCTTAATACAGGCACAGCCCCGGAAGCTTCCCCGCCCTTCCGTTCTGGGCTTCGCTGTTGCACAGCTGATGAGCTCAATCAGCTCCCTGCTGCCTCCAGACTTCCCCTCTGCCTCCCATCAGCACACCTAACATCTCTTCGATCTGAGTCATACATTTCTTTTTTTTTTTTTTTTTTTTTGACACAGGGTCTTGCTCTGTCACCCAGAATGGAGTGCAGTGGTGCAATCATGACTCACTGCAGCCTCAACCTCCCGGGCTCAAGGGATCCCCGCTCCCGCTCAGCCTCCTGAGTAGCTGTGACTACAGGCACGCGCCATCACGCCCAGCTAATTTTTTGATGTTTTTGTAGATACCGGGTCTCACTATGTTGCCCAGGCTGGTCTCAAACTCCTGAGCTCAAGCAGTCTGCCCACCTCAACCTCCCAAAGTGCTAGGATTACAGGCGTGAGCCCCCACGCCCAGCCCATTTCTGCTGTTTCATGCATTTTCGTCTGCCTCCTCACTGTGGCTCCCCTGACACACACATCCGAACCTAACTTTCCCACGGGTCAGGGATCTCCTAGAAACTGGGTATCTCGGCTATGGCCACTCTCAGTAGAGACATGCCGAGACCAAATTAAAAAGAAACCATAATGATAAAAACCACAACAGCCCTCCTGAAAGCAAACGGATTTAACTGTGATAAACAGCACAGGACTTGCAGTATGGATTCTCAGTTTGTGATGCACCAGAGGGGACGCAACAGTCACAGGGAGCCTGGCTGGTTGAAACACTTCTGTGTCCAGATCATGTAAAAGTTTTGAAGAAGATTTTACGGAAGTATATGTTTTTAAAATGCCATGAACTCCTGTGTCCCCTGCATCTAACTTAGCCACACAGCCAGGGTGTGGTGAAATGCTCTCAGGTCCGCACTTAGCAGCCACGTAGCCTGCTTGTGCCTCCGTGAGACTCTGCTTCCCCAACCATAAAGTAGGCGTCTGAGGGCCAAAGAACAAGGCTGCTTAACCTGGTGCCCCAGCTCAGTTACGAGCCCGTGACAACAGTGAAAAATCATCAGCAGCCCTTTCTCCTCCTGTAGACCTGCTTGGGCCCTGTAGACCTGCTTTTCTGCTCACGATGAACATTAGTAAGGGTAGGCTCGCTGCTGCAGCAAACAACCAGACATCCCATGTCACAGTCCAATGGGGGGTACCGGGTCAGAAGTGCAGGCTTCTAGAATTTGCAGCAAAAGTCTGAGAGGGGGAGAGACAGAGGTATTGCCCTGCTCCCCGGTAGTCACCGCTGTATCAAGAGCGGGCGAAAGACTCGGATTTGAGAGGGGTTAAGAGTTTACCTGAGCACAGCATTCTCATTGGCCCCTGTGGCTTGGAAACATACGGGGAAGTTTGTAACTGCCACCAAGTTCTGCTGTTGCTTAATAGAAAGCTGACCGGGTAAGTGTGATTTTCACAAAAGGGTCTTTGATGCTCCCAAGATTTTAGATTTGGTTGCCATGTCCTATGAAAATAATCTGCAAGAGACGCCTGTGACTCTGACTAGTCATCTCATTGACAGTGGTTGCCCTGTAATATTCTTTGATTGTCCTTTAACAGATTCTTAGGCCATGTAAACGCTGGCAAGATTTCCCTGGGGAAACTAAAGAGGATGATTCCCACACGCCGCTTCCCCTGCATCAGGCACTAAAAGGACTGCGGA
Source organism: Homo sapiens (assembly GCF_000001405.40). Classification (NCBI taxonomy): domain Eukaryota; kingdom Metazoa; phylum Chordata; class Mammalia; order Primates; family Hominidae; genus Homo; species Homo sapiens. Next base: position 154,286,570 of record NC_000023.11, read on the forward strand.
GTTCTTCTTTTCATGCAAATGCTGAGAATCTTGGCTCACCTAAGGGAATCGCTGCCTCCCTAGCCAGGACGCTGGAGGGACTGGCGTTAATTAGCCACAGACTGCAGCGAGGGGGACAGAATGTGGCACCCCCTGAGGGCCCATGGAAACCCAGAGAACGGTCCCAATAGGAATGGAGAGAATCCGTTGAGAGATTGGGTTTGCCTTTTTTTTTTTTTTTTTTTTTTTCCTCCAATTGGTAGGCCCTAGCCTTATCTTAGAGGGAAAGAAAATCGAGCTAGGGCAGGGTGAGGTGGCTCACACCAGTAATCCCGGCACTCTGGGAGGCTGAGGCAGGCGGATCACGAGGTCAATAGATTGAGACCATCCTGGTCAACATGGTGAAACCCCGCCTGTACTAAAAATACAAAAAATAGCCGGATGTGCTGGTGCACGCCTGTATTCCCAGCTACTCGGGAGGCTGAGGCAGGAGAATCGCTTGAACCCGGGAGGTGGAGGTTGCAGTGGGCCGAGATCGTGCCACTGCACTCCAGTCTGGCGACAGAGTGAGACTCCATCTCAAAAGAAAAAAAAGAAAAAGAAAATCGAGCTACTGCACGGTGCGGAGAAAGCATTCACCAGAAGGCAGTCATTTTTGAAATAAGTATCTGAGACCCGGCCTGTGCCCCAGCTCAGCTAGGAGCACATGTGAAGAGACCAGAGCTGGCGAGGCGACTCCGGTCCTGACTCCCACCTTCCCAGCCGACTGGGACCAAAGGACGCCACCTCCCTAACTAGTGCCAGGTGTCTACCGGACTCTTGCCACCCCCATGTTGTCCCCTGCCACCACAGGGTCAGGGCCAGCCGCTATGCCGCTGCAACCACCCGGCAGGGGCTGCCAAGCTGGAGCATTTTCGCTAGCAAGGGTCAAGGCAGGTGTGGGACTGCAGGGAGAGGGCTGGCTCGCCCCACTGCAGGGCCCAGTCGCTAAAAGAAGCATGGACCTGCTCTTCCAACTGGCCCCTCACCCTGGCTCTCCAGGCTCCTGTCCTGGCTCCCTTTCACCCTCCCATAGGTGGCTCCTGGGAGCGGTTCCTCCTCTGCTTCCAGTCCCCAGAGCCAAGGCCTCACCTACACTTCTCCTCCTGAAGGGACTCCAGCAACAGCTGCAGGTCAGTCAGAGACCTCTCCTTTAGGCTGTGATAGGACTCCTGGAGGCTGATGTGGAACCTCTTGGCTTCTTCCAGCTCTGCCTTTACCTTCTGCAACAGCAGGTTTTGTTGCTGGGCCACATCCTCTGTCTCTAAGCACGTCCCCTGCTGTAAGCTCTGGAAGCGACTCTCCAAGATGAAGGGCCTGCTGGCATGAGGCAGGTTGACCGGCCCGTCTTCCCCACCTGGCTCGGGGGGCTCTGAAAGCAGGGCCTTCTCACTGGGTGGCTCGCAGTTGGCTGGGTCGCTTTCTGCCATCAGCAGTAAGCCCTCGGGCCTGCAGCCTTCCTCCAGCTCCTGGAGCTGCTGGTGACACTGGTGGAGCCTGTGCTCGATCTGGGCGATGGTGGCAGAGGCGCGCTGGTTCACCTTCTCAAAGGCCTGCTGGATGTGCGGCACCTGGTGCCGGTCTGCTTTGGATACCAGCTTGAGGTAGCTCACAGTGTTGCCATCCCGACTGGCCTTCTCCACTCTCAGCTGCTCTGAGAGGTAGAGGATGCGGTGCCTGACACTATCCTGTAAGTTGTGGGCTAGGCCTCCATCTGCGAGGCTGGAAGGGCCACTGGGGCCGTCTTCGCTGGATGACAGGGACCGGCATGAAGGCACATTGGAGGGGAGGGTTGCGCTGGGGCTCCTGGTGTGTTCCGCCTACGTTGGGAAACAAGAAATCACAATACGGTGCTCTGTGAGCCGCAAAGTGTGGGAGAATTGGACACGTTATGACTCCATAAAACACTTCCACATATGCATGGATACTTACACACGCAAGATTTGTGCATTCAAGATGGGCCCGACACAGACTGAGGAGGTGATGCTCATCTTCAGGGCCCCTCTCCCCTCCTTTTCAGCGTCTGACTCCTTGCTCTACATGTGTGCCTCACTAAGACCCACAGGTGGCCAGACTCCCTTCTACATCTGCCTGTTTTTGCACTGCACTCCTATTTTCTCTTCCAAAAATTACCAATTGTGGGTCTCATTTATAAAGAACTGTTCTTGTAAAGTATGGAATAAGCTTATTTCCGTCAACTCTTACAGCTTGCTGTATTGCTACTCCCAGGGAGACAGGAAGGGTTAGGCAGAGAGATTTGCCTCCTAACAGGTTCATTCATTCATCCAATCATTCATTCAACACATACTTTCTCTGAGTGCCTACCACGTGGTACAGAAGCCAGATACATTCCTTGATCTCATACAGCTGACAGTCTACGGCAGAAAATTCTACTGTAACACAAAAGAATGAGTCTCTCACATGGTGAGGGGATTAACATTGCCTTTGACGAAGAGCCCAGTTCAAATCCTGGCTCTACCACTCTGAGACCTTGAGCAAGTTAATAAACTGCTCTGAGGCTCAGTTTTCTTACCTCTAAAATAAAGATGGCAAGAGCAGCATAGCTGGAACCCAGCCCACCAGAGCAAGGAGCTAGGAGAGGGAGGTGGGGGGCAGCTCAGGTGCAGCCTCTGTTCCGTTTCTACTTTTTTGTTTTTTGAGACGGAGTCTCACTCTGTCACCCAGGCTGGAGTGCAGTGGTGCAATCTCGGCTCACTACAACCTTCGCCTCCCGGGTTTAAGCAATTCTCATGGCTCAGCCTCCCGAGTAGCTGGGATTACAGGTGTGCATCACCACACCCAGCTAATTCGTGTATTATTAGTAGAGACAGGGTTTCACCATGTTGACCAGGCTGGTTTCCAACTCCTGACCTCAAGTGATCCTCCCGCCTCGGCCTCCCAAAGAGTGCTGGGATTACCGGTGTGAGCCACTGCATCTGGCCTATACCTCAATTTTTAAAATGCAAAGTGATACCACTATGTACCCAGTAGATTGGTCAAACTCAGACAGACTAACAACAATAAGAGTTGGCAAGGATATAGCGCAACAGGAACTCTCAATCATTACTGGCGGGAAGCAAATTTGTACTACAGCCACCTTAGAAAACCACTTGACAGTATCACAAAGTTGAAGATATACCTACCAAATGATCCAGCAACTGCATTCATAGGCGATATTCCCAGGAGGCAAGTACACTGATGTTCTCAATATCCAACAACTAGCAACAAACCACCTGCCCAGAAAGTGTAAGTAAACTGTAATATATGCAACAACATACTACTGTACAGCAATGAGAATGAACTACAGCCTTGAAAAACATGAATGCATTTCACAAGCATAATGTTGAACAAAAGAAACCAGACAGAAAATCCATACTATATATGGTTCCATTTACATAAATTCCAAGAGCAGGCAAAACTAAACAATATTGTGTAGGGATGACTACACAGGCAGGAAAGCTAAAGAGCAGCATGGATGTTGGCAACAGAAACCCCAGGATGGTGGTTCCCACTAGAGCGGGAGAAGGGGATTATGACTGGGGTGACTGTGGAGGCTGGGGTGCCTGGCCTGAGTAGTGGTTAAATGTGTGTTCACCTTATCGTTACTTCTTAAAACATACATCAATGTTTTCTGCACCTTTATATACATATGCCAGATTTCACAGTTTTCAAACTATTTAAATGTTCAATATAGGCCAGGTGTGGTGGCTCATGCCTGTAATCCCAGCACTTTGGGAGGCCGAGGCGGGCGGAGGTCAGGAGGTCAAGACCAGTCTGGCCAACATGGTGAAACCCCGTCTATACAAAATACAAAAAAAAAAAAAAAAATGCCTGGCACAGTGGTTCACACCTGTACTTCCAGCACTTTGGGAGGCCGAGGCGGGCGGATCACCTGAGGTCGGGAGTTCAAGACCAGCCTGACCAACACAGAGAAACCCCATCTCTACTAGAAATACAAAATTAGCCAGGCGTGGTGGCACACGCCTGTAGTCCCAGCTACTCGGGAGGCTGAGGCAGGAGAACCGCTTGAACCCGGGGTGCAGAAGTTGCAGTGAGCTGAGATCGTGCCACTGCACTCCAGCCTGGGTGGTAGAGTGAGACTCCGTCTCAAAAAATAAATAAATAATAAATAATAATATGTTCAATTGATGGATTTAATGGCAGATTTGATATGGCTGGAGAGACTGTTGGTAAATTGTACAGAGGAGCTAAAGAAAGTATCCAGGCCGGGCGCGGTGGCTCACACGCCTGTAATCCCAGCATTTTGGGAGGCCAAGGCGGGTGGATCACCTGACGTCAGGAGTTTGAGGCTAACCTGACCAACATGGTGAAACCCTGTCTCTACTAAAAAATACAAAAAATTAACTGGGCATGGTGGTGGGCACCTGTAATCCCAGCTACTTGGGAGGCTGAGGCAGGAGAATGGCTTGAACCCAGGAGGCAGAGGTTGCAGTGAGCCGAGATCACGCCACTGCACTCCAACCTGGGCAACAAGAGCAAAACTCCATCCCAAGAAAGAAAGAGAGAGAGAGAGAGAGAGAGAGAGAGAGAAAGAGAAAAGAAAGAAAGAAAAAAAAGTATCCAGAATGCAGCACAGAGGCACAAAAAAATAGAAAACTTGAAAAATAGAAGACATGGAAGGTAGCATGAGTAGGTCTAACAAAAATCCAATTGTCACACCAGAGAGAGAAGACAGACAGAATGAAGCAGCAGCAATATATACATATTTTTCTTCTTTTTTTTTTAAATTGAAATGGAGTCACACTCTGTTGCCTAGGCGGAGTGCCGTGGCACAATCTCGGCTCACGGCCGACCTCTGCTGCCCGGGTTCAAGCACTTCTCGTGCCTCAGCCTCCCGAGTAGCTGGGACTACAGGCGCGTGCCATCACAGCTAGCTAATTCTTTTGTATTTTTAGTAGAGATGGGGTTTCATCATGTTGGCAAGACTGTTCTCGAACTCTCAACATCAGGTGACCCACCCACCTCGGCCTCCCAAAGTGCTGGGATTACAGGCATGAGCCACTACGACCGGCCACAGCAGCAACATTTTAAGAGATAACTCCCTAAGAACTTTCCAGAACTGAAGAAAGACACAAATTCACAAATTCAAGAAGCCCAATAAATCCTAAGCAGGGAAGACAGAAATAGGTCCACACCTAGACACGAGATTTTTTTTTTTTTTTTTTTTTTTGAAACAGTGTTTCGCTCTTGTCGCCCAGGCTGGAGTACAGTGGCGTGATCTCGGCTCACTGCAACCTCTGCCTCCCGGGTTCAAGCGATTCTCCTGCGTCAGCCTCCCAAGTAGCTGGTACTACAGGCGCCCGCCACCATGCCCAGCTAATTTTTGTATTTTTAGTAGAGACAGTGTTTCACCATGTTGGCCAGGCTGGTCTGGAACTCCTGACCTCAAATGATCCGCCCACCTCGGCCTCCCAAAGTGCTGGGATTACAAGCATGAGCCACCGCCCGCGGCCGACACAAGATGTTAAAAGCAGCCAGAGGAAAAAAAGCTGATTACCTTTAAAACCATGACTTTTAGACTGCAGGCTGCCTTCTCAATAGCATCAATGCAATCCAGAAGATAGTTGACTGATATCTTCGATACACTGAGAGAATAACTGTCAGAGAGAAAAAAATAGGTCACATTCAAAGAATCAGAAGTCAGAATGGCTTCAGACTTCAGCAACAGCATGGGGAACTAGAAGACAATGAAGTGCTGGCCGGGCACGGTGGCTCACACCTGTAATCTCAGCACTCTGGGAAGCCCAGGCAGGCGGATCACTTGAAGTCAAGAGTTTGAGACCAGGCTGGCCAACATGAGGAAACTCTGTCTCTACTAAAAATACAAAAATTAGCCAGCATTGTGGTGGGCGCCTGTAATCCCAGCTACTCGGGAGGCTGAGGCAAGAGAATCGCTTGAACCCAAGAGGTTGCAGTGAGCCGAGGATCACTCCCCTGTACTCCAGCCTGGGCGACAGAGCAAGACTCTGTCCCAAAAAAAAAAAAAAAAAAAAAAAAAAAAAGACAATGAAGTGCTGCTTTCGAAATTCTGAGGGAAAAATGATTTCCCAGCCTAAAATTCTACACCCCAACTGTCAACTGTGGGGTTAGACTAAAGACATTTTTAGACATGAAGGAGTTCAGTACACCACTGACAAATGTAAGAATTCAACAACTGTTTAAAAAGCAAGTCTTGCCAGGGCAGTGGTGTGCACCTGTGGTCCCAGCTACTCAGGATGCTGAGGCAGGAGGATTACTTGTGCCCAGCAAGTAGAGGCTGCAGTGACCTGTGACTGTGCTACTGCCCTCCAACCTGGGTGACAGAGTGAGACCTTGTCTCAAAAAAAAAAGAGCGGGGGGGGGGGGCCGGGCCGGGCGTGGTGGCTCACAGCTGTAATCCCAGCACTTTGGGAAGCCAAGGCGGGTGGATCACTTGAGGTCAGGAGTTTGAGACCATCATGGTCAACACTGCGAAACACTGTCCCTACTAAAAATACAAAAATTAGCCGGGCATGGTGGCACACACCTGTAATCCCAGCTACTGGGGAGGCTGAGGCAGGAGAATTGCTTGAGCCGGGGAGACGGAGGTTGCAGTGAGCCGAGACTGCGCCACTGCACTCCAGCCTGACTGACAAGAGTGAGATTGTCTCAAAAAAAAAAAAAAAAGTAATCACTAGAAAAGAAGCTACATATGTACATAACATCCAAATAACCAAGAGGAGAAAAAAATGGGACTTGATTAATCAAAACAAAAACAAAAAAGAAAGAAAGAAAGGGGGAGAAAAAAAAACAAGGGCTGGGTGTGCTGGCTCATGCCTGTAATCCCAGCACTTTGGAAGCCAAGGTGGGTGGATCTCTTGAGCTCAGGAGGTCAAGACCAGCCTGGGCAACATGGCGAAACCCCGTCTCTATTAAAAAAAAAATTAATACAACAATTATCCTGGAGTGGTGGTGCACACCTGTAGTCCCAGCTACCCAGGACGCTGAGACGGGAGGATCGCTTGATCCCGGGGATGTCGAGGCTGCCATGATCGCACCACTGCCCTCCAGCCAGGGTGGCAGACTGAGACCCCATCTCAAAAAATAAATAAATAAAAGCAAACAAGAAAAAAAAAGGCTTGAAACATATCTGATAGATAAAGGGCTAATCAACACAATATATAAAGAACTGCAAATCAGTAAACTAAGAGCAAATAACCCAATATAAAGACATTAAAGGGTAGCCACGGACATCTCAGACGACGAAAAACAAAAGACAGTAAACGTATAATAAAACATGTAATTGCAAGGTGATCCGGGAATAGTAAGCGAAAAGCAACAATTAAATACTATTTTCTCATCCACCAGAACGCCAAAAATTAAAAAGCCTAACAATGTCCAGGGCTGGCGAGAATGTGGCAGAAGGTGATGTCACATACCCTGCAAGTGGGAATCTAAACAGATTCAGGGTTTTGGTTTTTTTTTAATCGCAATTAGGTGGCCTGTTAAATTTTTTTTCTTGAGACAGAGTTTTGCTCTTGTTGCCCAGGCTGGAGTGCAATGGCTCGATCTTGGCTCACCGCAACCTCGACCTCCCAGGTACAAGCGATTCTCCTGTCTCAGCCTCCCAAGTAGCTGGGAGTACAGGTATGTGCCACTACACCCAGCTAATTTTTTTGTATTTAGTAGAAACGGGGTGTCTCCATGTTAGGCTGGTCAGGAACTCCTGACCTCAGGTGATCCACCCACCTTGGCCTCCCAAAGTGCTGGGATTACAGGAGCGTGTGCCACTGTGCCCAGCCACTTTTTTTTTTTTTTTAGACGGAGTCTTGCTCTGTCGCCCAGGCTGGAGTACAGTGGCGCCATCTCAGCTCACTGCAACCTCCGCTTCCCGGATTCAAGTGATTCTCCTGCCTCAGATTCCCATTAGCTGGGATTACAGGTGCCCACCACCGCCTGGCATGGTGGCTCACACCTGTAATCCCAACACTTTGGGAGGCCGAGGTGGGCAGATCACCTGAGGTCAGGAGTTCGAGACCAACCTGGCCAACATGGTGAAAACCCGTCTCTACTAAAAATACAAAAAATTAGCCAGGTGTGGTGGCGGATGCCTGTAATCCCAGCTATTCAGGAGGCTGAGGCAGGAGAATCGCTTGAAGCCAGGAGGCAGAGGTTGCAACGAGCTAAGTTCGAGCCACTGCACTCCAGCTTGGGCGACAGGGCGAGACTCCGTCTCAAAAAAAAAAAAAATGTAAACACACATTCCCTTTAACCCAGCAGAACATGGGAACCCAAGGGCATTCAGCCTGTGGCGCGACCAGGCGGCCTGACTTGAGCTCACGTAGAAATTCGGCATTTTTGAACCAAGAGACAGCACTTGGGATCCGGAATGTCTGGACTTGGGCACGGCGCTGTGGAGCTGGCGCCGTTGGGAGCCATGCGAGTTCTGGGTCGGTAGGTCACCTCAGAGGTGGGGAGAAGGTTCTCTGAGACCGACATGGGGGCTAGTGCTGGCACCACCGGACATGGGGCATTTCAGACACAGGGCGAGCACATTCCCTAGTTACCAGGGTTCATTCGAGTCAGTCACGTCACAGGCTGGCAATGGGCTAACTCCTCCTCAACAATCACACGGGGCTTGCCTCATAGAATGTTTTAAAAAAGGAAAGGAGGCTGGCGCAGGCGCCAACCGTCTCAGAACCCTGAGCACTGCCCCACCCCCACCCTGCCCGCCATAGCCTGGGCTGTTGTGGGGGAGGGGTGACCATTTATCACGAAACAAAAAATTGCGCCACAGCAGCTCCCTCCCTCCCCCACCTTTACGGTTGCAGCTGCACGTCCCACGTGCAGCACCACCCCCTGACACGTGCGGCACCACCCCCTGACACGTGCGGCACCACCCCCTGACACGTGCGGCACCACCCCCTGACACGTGCGGCACCACCCCCTGACACGTGCGGCACCACACAGCTAGTGCCGGAACTTTTTGTGCAGAGAAAGAAGACCCTGCACCCGCGCGGAGGGAGCCCTTTTGAGATTGCAGGAGAGAAGATGAGAATGGGACTATTTTCAATAACTGTGCACATGCAAGTCACAAACATTCCAGATCCCTTGACTTGCTTGCGGAGGGAGCGGCCGGCGGAGGGAGCGGCAGGTGGAGGGAGTGGCACGAGGCATGCGGAGGGAGCTGCACCGACATCACATAAACGCACTGGGCAGCTCGCAGGCGCCATTCGCTCTTCAGACGCCGGAGACGTAGGAGTGGGTCTTCAGACTCCAAAGGGGTTGGACTAATGGCGGATGCTGAGGCGAGGGCTGAGTTCCCGGAGGAGGCCAGACCTGACAGGGGCACCTTGCAGGTGTTGCAAGATATGGCCAGCCGCTTGCGAATCCATTCCATCAGGGCCACATGCTCCACGAGCTCCGGGTAAGTTCTCCTCATTGAAGTCTGGGTCATGCAGGGCCACGGGCCCGGTGGCTTCAGGCCTGGTGGCCATGAGGCCGTGTGGTGAAGGGAGAGCCTTCAGAGGCACAATGGGCTGTGTCGTAATGCCCTGTCTTGGGCTGTTGGGGCCCGGTCGAGCACCCTAGATGGCAGCGAGGCACTATTCCCGCCAACCCAAGGGTCGGTCGGTTGGTTGGTCAGCCGCGGGTTCTGGAGCCCGCCCCTCAATTTACCCACGGCCAAAGTTCTGGAGGTCGCCAAGATCTCCAGTTGGGAGACAAAGGATCCAGACTGGACTGAGGTGGCGGGAGAATGTCACTGGGATCAGATTGGGCTAGCTGTGGTTTTCATTTTAGCGGGGAGCAGGGCTTCCCTGGTAAGCAGTTGTACTGGATCCCCGAGGGTGAATGAGCGACTCTAACCCAGGATGTGAGGATAAAAAGCAATTAAAATTCCAGCCTGGGCAACATGGCGAAACCCCGTCTCTTACCAAAAAATAAAAATAAAAAATGAGTCGGGCATGGGGGCGCACACCTGCACTCCCAGCTATTCGGGAGGCTTGCTTGTGCTGTTGGGTTTGCTGGTATGCAGTTGATGGTTTTTGCATCAGTTTGAGGGATATTGGTCTCTAGTTGTATTGTAGTATTTGGTTTTGGTATCAAAGTGTAATGCTGGCTTCATAGGATGTTTCAAAGTGTTCCATCTTAAATTTTTTGGAGTGGCTGGGTGTAGTGGCTGCCACCTGTAATCCCAAGCACTTTGGGAGGCCGAGGCAGACGGATCGTGTGAGCCTAGAAACTAGTTCGAGATCAGCCTGGGCAAGATGGCGAACCTCTGTACAAAATGTTACAAAAATTAGCTGGGCGTGGTGGCACGTGCCTGTAGTCCCAGCTACGCGGGAGGCTGAGAGGCTCAGGTTACAGTGAACTGAGATTGCGCCACCGCACTCCAGCCTGGGCAAGAGCGAGACCGTGCCTCAAAGAAAAAAAAGTTAAACCCAGCTGAGGGCGGTGGCTCACGCCTGCAGTCTCAGTACGTGGGGCCTGAGGAGGGAGGATCGCTTGAGCCCAGGAGTTCGCATTCAGCTTGGCAAACAGTGAGACCCTGTCTCTAAAAAAATAAAGTAAAAGAAACCGGGAATTGAGTACGAATTGGAACAAAAATGAGCTGTTGAATTTGCTAGTATGCGGTTGATGGTTTTTGCATCAGTATAAGGGATATTGGTCTACAGGTTTTTTTTGTTTTTTTTTTCTTTTTTTGTTTTGAGACGAAGTATCACTGTCGCCCAGGCTGGAGTGCAGTGGCACGATTTTGGCTCACTACAAGCTCCGCCTCCTGGGTTCACGCCATTCTCCTGCCTCAGCCTCCGGAGTAGCTGGGACTGCAGGCGCCCGCCACCACGCCTGGCTAATTTTTTCTGTTTTTTAGTGGAGACGGGGTTTCCCCGTGTTAGCCAGGATGGTCTCGATCTCCTGACCTCGTGATCCGCCCGCCTCGGCCTCCCAAAGTGCTGGGATTACAGGCGTGAGCCACCGCGCCTGGCCTGGTCTATAGTTTTGTTGTAGTATTTGCTTTTGGTATCAAAAGTGTAATGCTGGCTTCATAGGATGAGTTTCAAAGTGTTCCACCTTAAATTTTTTGGAGAGGTCGGGCGTGGTGGCTCCAACCTGTAATCCCAGGACTTTGAGAGGCCAAAGCAGGCGGATCGTGTGAGCCTAGAAAGTTCGAGATCAGCCTGGGCAAGATGGCAATCCCCTGTGCAGAATGTTACAAAAATTAGCTGGGCGTGGTGGCACGTGCCTGTAGTCCCAGCTACGCGGGGGACAGAGTTTGCAGTGAACTAAGATTGTGCCACTACGGCCTGGGGAACAGAGGAAGCGAGACCTTGTAGAGAAAAAAAAATTTTTTTTTGAGGAGTTTGAAGAAGACTGTTGTTAATTTTTCTTTAAATGTTTGGCAGTAATTACGAATGAGGCTTTTATTTATTGGGCGTTTTTTTTATTACTGCTTTAGTCTCCTTACTAGTTAGTTGTAGGTCTATTCAGATTTTCTTGTCCTGATTAAGTTTTGTGAGGCTTTCTGTTTCTAGGAATTTATCCATTTCTTGTAGGTTAGTCCATTTGTTGGCATGCAGTTATTCATAGTACACTGTCACTCTTTTTATTTCTGTAGAAGCGGTATTAATGACTCCACTTTAACTTGATTGTACTTTTTTTTTTTAAGCAGGGTCTTGCTCTTTCACCCAGGCTGGAGTGCAGTGGTGCAATCATAGTTCACTGCAGCCTCGAACTCTCGTGGGCTCAAGCGACTCTCCTTCCTCTCAGCCTCTTGAGTAGCTGGAACTACAGGTGCACACCACCATGCCCTGCCCATCTATTAATAGCTAGTTTTGTTGACCTTTTATAAAGAACCAGCTTTGGCTAGGGGAGGTGGCTCACGCCTGTAACCTCAGCACTTTAGGAGGCCGAGGCAGCTGGATCACTTGAGCTCAAGAGTTCAGGACAAGCCTGGGCAACATGGGGAAACCCCGTCTCTGCCAAAAATACAACAATTAGCTAGACATGGCGAGCACCTGTAGTCTCAGCTACTCGGAAGGCTGAGGCGGAAGGATTGCTTGAGGCTGCAGTGAGCCATGTTTGTGCCCTACACTCCAGCCTGGGTGACAAACTGAGACCCTGTCTCAAAAAGAAAAAAAAATTGGTTTCATTAAATTTTTTCTATTTTCTTAGTCTCTGTTTTATTTGTGCTTTGATCTTTTTTATTTCCTTTCTCCTGCTAGCTTTGGGTTTAGTCCTTACGTTGTAAAGTTAGGTTGTTGATTTGAAGGGTTATTTATTTATTATTATTTTTTGAGACAGAGTCTTGCTGTGTCGCCCAGGCTAGAGATGGGGTTTCTCCTTGTTGGCCAGGTTGGTTTCAGACCCCTGGCCTCAAGTGATCTGCCCGCTTCGGCTCCCAAAGTGCTGGGATTACAAGTGTGAGCCACCGCACCCGGCCAGATGTGAGGGGTTTTAAAAAATGTGTTTACAGCTAGAAATGTCCCACTTGGCACTGCTTTTGCTACATCACATAGGTTTTGGTATTTTGTACTTCTGTTTTCATTTGTCTCTAAGGGATTTTTCATTTTCTTTTTCTTTCTTTTTTTTTTTTTTTTTTTTTTTGAGACGGAGTTTTGCTTTTGTTGCCCAGGCTGGAGTGCAGTGGCACAATCTAGGCTTACCACAACCTCTGCCTCCCAGGTTCAAGCAATTCTCCTGCCTCGGCCTCCCAAGTAGCTGGGATTACACGCATGCACCTCCACGCCCAGCTAATTTTGTGTTTTTAGTAGAGACGGTGTTTCTCCATGTTGGTCAGGCTGGTCTCAAACTCCCGACCTCAGGTGATCCGCCCACCTCGGCTTCCCAAAGTGCTGGGATTACAGGCATGAGCCACCGCACCCAGCCTCTCATTTTCTTTTTTTAATTTTAATAGTGTTAGGGGTATAAGTTGTTTTTGCTTATGTGAATAAATTCTATATTGGTGAATTCTGAGATTTTAGTGTACCCATCACCCAAGCAGTGTACATTGTCCCCAATATGTAGTCTTTTATCCCTCACCTCCTTCCTACCTTCCCCCTTCATTCTCCTCCCCAAAGTCCGTTATATCACTCCAAAACTTAGCTCCACTTACAAGTGAAAACATACAGTATTTGGTTTTCTATTCCTGAGTTACTTCGCTTAAAATAATGACCTCCAGCTCCACCCAAGTTGCTGCAAAATACATTGTTTTTTATGGCTGAGCAGTATTCCATGTTGTATATACACCACCTTCTTTATCCACTCATTGGTTGATGGACACTTAGGTTGGTTCCTTATCTTTGCAATTGTGAATTGTGCTGCCTATAAACATGTGTGTGCATGTACCTTTTTCATATAATGACTTTTTTTCCTTTGGGTAGATAGCCAGTAGTGGAATTTCTGGATTGAATGGTAGATAGATGGTAATCTACTACTTTTAGTATTTTTTTTTTTTTTTTTTGTCTTGAGACGGAGTCTTGCTCTGTCGCCCAGGCTGGAGGGCAGTGGCGCAATGTTGGCTCACTGCAACCTCTGCTGTCCGGGTTCAAGCGATTCTCGTGCCTTAGCCTCCCGAGTAGCTGGGACTACAGGCACACGCCACCACTGCCAGCTAATTTTTGTATTTTTAGTAGAGACGGGGTTTCACCATGTTGGCCAGGCTGATCTCGGTCTCTTGACCTGGTGATCGCCTGCCTTGGCCTCCCAAAGTGCTGGGATTACAGGCGTGAGCCACCGTGCCCAGCCCGATGGTGTATTTTGATGGGAATTGCATTGAATCTGTAGATTGCTTTGGGCAGTATGGCCATTTTCACAATATTGATTCTTCCTATCCATGAGCATGAGATATCTTTGTTTGTGTCATCTGTGATGTCTTTCAGTAGTGTTTTGTAGTTTTTCTTGTAGCTGTCTTTCACCTCCTTGGTTAAGTATATTCCTAGGGTGGGTTTTATTTGTTGTTTTTGCTGTTTACAGCTGTTGTAAAAGGGATTGAGTTCTTGATTCTCAAGCTTGGTCGTTGTTGGTGTAGTGCTACTGATTTGTGTGCATTTATTTTGTAACCTGAGACTACTGAATTTGTTCATCAGATCTAAGAGTCTTTTGGATGAGTCTTTAGGATTTTGTTTGTTTGTGTTTGTTTGTTTGCTTGTTTTTGATGGAGTTTCTGTCACCCAGGCTGGAGTGCAGTGGCATGATCTCGGCTCGCTGCAACCTCCACCTCCCGGGTTCAAGCGATTCTCCTGCCTTACCCGAGTAGCTGGGACTACAGGTGTGTGCCACCGCACCCGGCAAATTTTTGTATTTTTGGTAGAGACAAAGTTTCACCAGACCATGGCCAGGCTGGTCTTGAACTCCTAACCTCAGGTGATCTGCCCATCTCGGCCTCCCAAAGTGCTGGAATTACAGATGTGAGCCAACCGCGCCTGGCCTAGGGTTTTCTAGCTGTATGATCGTATCATCAGTGTTACAGCACTAGTTTGACTTCCTCTTCTCCAATTTGGATGCCCTTTATTTATTTCGCCATTGGCTTTTGGTTGTGTAAGAGTGTGTTGCTTAATTTTCACAAATTTGTGAATTTTCCAGTTTTCCATCTATTATTGATTTCTAACCTCATCCCATTGTGGTTAGAGAAAATACTTAGTGCAATATGTTTTTTTAAATCTTGTTGGCCAGGCGCGGTGGCTCATGCCTGTAATCCCAGCACTTTGGGAGGCTGAGGTGGGGTGGATCACCTGAGGTCAGGAGTTTGAGACCAGCTTGGCCAACATGGTGAAACCCTGTCTCTACTAAAAATGCAAAAATTAGCCGGGCGTGGTGGTGCACCTCTGTAATCCCAGATACTTGGGAGGCCGAGGCAGGAAAATCACTTGAACCCGGAAGGTGGAGGTTGCAGTGAGCCGAGAGAGTGCCACTGTACTCCAGCCTGGGCAACAGAGTGAGACTGTGTCTCAAAAAATAAATAAATAAATCTTGCTCCAGAGCCTGGGCTAGATAGTAAGAGGACAGTGTGGATGCAGTTAAGAACCATATATGTCTGAATTTTTTGTACATGTTCATTTTGTTCCCTTCACCTTCAAAATTAGTAACAGATGGCTGCATTTTCTCAAGGGATCTGTGTGGCTTTTAAATCTAAATCATCCACTTACAGGACATTTGCAAAGCAAGAGGTTTTAGTCCCCATTTTCTTTCTTTTTTTTTTTTTTTTTAGTAGAGACGGGGTTTCTCCATGTTGGTCAGGCTGGTTTCGAACTCCCGACCTCAGGTGATCCGCCCACCTCGGCCTCCCAAGATGCTGGGATTACAGGCATGAGCCACTGTGCCCGGCCTAAGTCCCCATTTTCTTTTTTCTTTTTTTTTTTTAAATGAGACAATTATTTATTTTAGGCAGATAGTCAACTTAAAAATCATTCAGCGTGGGCACTCCTGAAACTGTCAGGATCATGTTGGTTTCCTCGCTGTTTGCCGGCTATTGGCATTTGTGTCATCACACACAGTCCGATGAGGTGACAACAGAAAAGCATATCTCACTTCTATCGTAGGTTTCCATTCACTTTCGGGTTCTCAATCGCCCTGTGTTTCCTCAGTGATACTCCAGACTTTCCAGATGTTCTGGTTGACCCATTCCTCTTTCTTTTTTTTTTGCAAAACAAAGCAAAAAGCAAGAAGAGAACTTTACATTTTGTCCAATAGTCCTAAGAAATTTTCCCTGTAGAGAATGTCATCTAAGTCAAAACAAGGGTTGAATAGGGGCACCCAAATCAGTTATCACTTAGGGCTGTTATAAGAAATGCCAAGACTGGGTGGCTTAAACAGCAGATATTCGTCTCTCACTGTCTGGAGGCTACAAATCCAAGATCAAGGTGCTAGCATGGTCAGTTCTGGCGAGGACCTGCTACTGGGCTCAAGAGCACTACCTTCCCCCCCGTATCCTCACATGGTCGGTCTCCAGCCTCTTCTCATAAAGGCGCTGATCCCATTCATGAGGGCTCCACTCTCACAGCGTAATCACCTCCCAAAGGCCCTGCCTCCAAATACTGTCACACTGGCATTAGGATTTCAGCATAGGAATTCTGGGGGGACACATTCAGTCCATGGCCTCCCGTACCTGTGAATGTGATCTTATTTGGAAATAGGGTTTTGTAGGTGAAATTAAGTTAAGGATCTTGAGATAAGATCATCCTGGACTTAGGGTGGACCCTAAATCCAGTGACTAGTGTCCTTATAAGAGAAAGAAAAGAGAGATTGGAGACACACAGACACCGTGGAGAAACGCAGGAGAAAAGGTCCTGTGAAGGCAGAGAGGCAGGGACGGGAGTGACCCAGCTGCAAGACGAAGAACACCTAGGGCCAGCAGTAGCTGGAGAGGCAGGGGCGAGGGCGATCCTCCCCTAGGACCTAGGGAGAGAGCGTGGCCCTGCTGCCACCTGGATTCTGGATTTCTGTTTTGAGCCATCACGTTTGTGGCAACTCACCCTGGCAGGCTTAGGAAACGAATGCGTTAACCCATTGCATTAGCGCACAAAATAACACCCTGACTCGTTTCCTGCGCCAGCCTCCTACCTTGCCTTCTACTTATTAGACCCTACCTCTCATTCCCCATTTTTTAAAATTTTTATTTATTTATTTATTTATTTATTTATTTATTTATTTATTTATTTATTTTGAGGCAGGGTTTCACTCTGTTGCTCAGCCTAGAGGTGCAGTGGCGTGATCATGGCTCACTACAGCCTTGACCTCCTGGGCTTAAGCAACCCTCCCACCTCAGCCTCCCAAGTAGCTTGAACTGCAGGTGCATGCCACCCTGCCCAGCTAATTTTTTTTTTTTTTTTTTTTTTTTTTTTTTTTGGAAAGACGAGGTTTCACCATGTTGCCCATGCTGGTCTCAAACTCCTGGGCTCAAGCAATCCTCCTGCATCATCCTCCAGAAGAGCCGGGATTACAGGTGTGAGCCCCCACGCCTGGCCTCTCCCTCCTTTTTATCATTCCCTCTTCCCTCGTCTTCCTTGGCTTTCCTCCTCACACCTCCTGCGTTTGGCCCCCTTCCATTTTCTTTTCTGCTTCTCTTTCCCAACTTCCCCCTCATCATGCCAGGGGGACTCCTGGGCTGCGTGCCACCCCCCTGGAAGTCCCCCATAATGAAGCAGGATTTATGCCTCACACTTCACCATGGGAGAGCAGAAACCTCTCACTTGAAGCAAAAGGCACTGAAAATAAGCAAATAGTTATGCATTTGTCACTACCGAGTCCTAGCTGGCTTCCACCCTACCCCCCGCCCCCCACCATCTTCTTGCTCATTCAGGTCATCGTGTTCTCTGATACCCAGTAACTTCCATCATTTTCTACATGCATTTCTGTTGGTCTTCTGAGAATTGTGATTTTCCAAAGTAGAAAGGGCACATCGTCTTTTTGGAGCCTCAAAGGTGCAGACACTGATGCGTTGGGGGAGATCACAGTGTGACAAGGATGGGGTGGGAGTGTGTCACCCCCCTTTCTACCGACCCTCAGCAGTGGGGAGAGAGCAGAGGAGATGGAACCTGAGAGGAAGAAGAGATTTCCAATTACTTCCTTCTCGGTCCCTTCTCCACTGAAGCCTGTTACTCCTCTGCTGCCGGGGCCTCTTGAGTTTTCTCTCACTGAGCCAGGAAAGAGCTTAGTGAATAAAGAACAAGGTATCCCAGCAATGCAGGGAAGATGTCCAGGACAGTGAGTGTGAACGAGGGGTCCTGGAGAATGTGCACGCCAGCCCTGCAGGAGAATGTCCACGCCAGCCCTGCAGCCTGGTGGGCTCTGCCATCAGCACCCCAAAACCATTCATCAGTCACCTTCGACAATTGCACGTGCAAAAGCCCTCTTTTTGTGTCCTTTGAAGCTTTTTTTTTATCAGGCTGGGTGCGTGGCTCATGCCTGTAATCCCAGCACCTTGGGAGGCCGAGGCGGGAGAATCACTTGAGCCCAGGAGGTCGAGGCTGCAATGAGCTATGATCATGCCACTGCACTCCAGCCTGGGTGACAGAGTGAGGGCCCATCCCTTCGCGGGTCCCCATTAAGAAAATGGGGGAGGGACAGTCCCCATTTTCTTAATGGGGACTTTCTTAGTGAAATTTGAAATGAGAGATTATTAATATGAGCTGGGCCTAACATCTTTTTTTACTTGCAGTTGGGGCAGAGCTCCAGGGAGTTGGTTTTGTCCCCTGCTGTCTTGTCCCCTCCCCCTTTTTAATTAATTAGGGCCTGGCTGGACTCACATGCAGGCCGCTTTCTAAGAGCAGCAGTTACTTTGGCAGCATTCAGAAAGGGCCTCAGTTACTCTACCATGACAAATTTCTCAGTCTGTCACCGTTCACTTCCTAAAAGAAATTCATTGTAGAAGGTAGAATGGGATCTTCATGGCATTTCTGATTCACAATGCTCCTGAAAGTTCCTCGGCATGTGGAAAGGCCACAGATGAATTTAAGCATGTGAAAGAATACTCATGTCAGAGGCACAAAGGAAACTTGCCCCGAGTCCACGGTGCTCTGCGGTTAGGAGCTGGCCTCACTGTGCACAGGGGGAGGGGTGGTGAGCTTACCGGGCTTTAAAGCGCCCTTCCAACCTGTGAGCCCTGCATTCCTTACCCTTGGTTGGATTCTTCCCGGGCTGGGAGAAATGACCGCTTCTATGAGGAGACCATGTGCCGAGGTCGTGTGCTAGGAAGCCAGTTGCTGTGAGAAATGACCAGTGTCATGTCTGTCTTTCAGCCACCCTACATCATGTAGCAGTTCTTCTGAGATCATGTCTGTGCTGTTCTTCTACATCATGAGGTACAAGCAGTCAGATCCAGAGAATCCGGACAACGACCGATTTGTCCTCGCAAAGGTATGCCGGTGGGGAGCCCAGGGCTGCTGTGGCGCCTGCTGGTTAAGCCCAGTTTGAACAGCCACCGTGTGGGAACAAGGCCTGAAATGGGCCTCGTTTATTATTTTGGTTCTTCTTTCTTTGCATCTTAAAGCTCGAGTGTTCTAGTGAGGGCCACTTGGAGCCCTGTGATGGCATGGTAGGAAGGGTGGCTTGGGAGAGCTGACTGTCCTTCCTTTCCTTTGGTCACACCCTGCCTCGCCCCACTTAGCACGAACGCTTCCCCCATGGCAGGGTTATGCTGCTCCCACCCTCTGTGCTGCCTGAGGAGAGGCAGGCAGCCTCAGTGAATCCCACTCACTGAGCCTGGGGGAACTTGAGTGTAACCGGGAGGGACATCCCACCCCTGTCAGTTAGCTTCCTCTTCTATGTTTCTGCACATCTGACCTGAAACTGATGGGCACTTCTCATGAGATTGGGCAAAATACCAGCCACTTCATGAAGTATCATGGGTGATAGGAAAGAAAAAGAACCTTAAAAACAAGGTCAGTTTGAGAATGTGTGGCTGGTTTGATGCCATCTCAAAGTACACTGTGTCCCGAAGCAAATTAAAACCTGGCTAGGGGCCGGGTGCAGTGGCTCACGCCTGTACTCCCAGCACTTTGGGAGACTGAGGTGGGTGGATCACTGGAGGCCAGGAGTCCGAGACCAGCCTGGTCAACATAGCAAAACTCCGTCTCCACTTAAAAAAAAAAAAAATTAGCTAGGCATGGTAGCACATGCCTCTAATCCCAGCTTTTCGGGAGGCTGAGGCACAAGAATTGTTTGAAGCTGGGAGGCAGAGGTTACAGTGAGCCGAGATCGTGCCACTGCACTCCAGCCTGGGCGATAGAGCAAGACTCCATCTCAAAAGAAAAATCTGGCTGGGTAGAGTACTGTGTCCAAATAGAAATGCCAGATTAGCACAGTGGGAAGTGAAGACAAAAACTGGGCATAGCTGAAGTAAGTGCCTAAAGGTCATAATTGTGACCCTTGTCTTGGTGTCTGAACCATAACATCAAATGGTTTGGCAAAAAATAAATAGAATTTACATGTGTACGCGCATGTGTGGAGAGAGGGATGAAGTAAATGCCTTCCATTGCTTTCAGTTGGTTATTGGAGGTAAGCAGTATACAGGAAGGAAATCATTGTGCTAGGCTTTAAACATGTCTATAAACTTGAACTTTTTTTACATCTTTTTTTGTTCTTTTTTTGGGGAGGTAGAGTCTCGCTCTTGCCCAGGCTTGAGTGCAGTGGCTCGGTCTCAGCTCAATGCACCCCTGACCTCCTGGCCTCAAGCGATCTTCCCATTTCAGCCTCTTGAGTAGATGGCATTACAGGCATGTGCCACTACGACCGGCTAATTTTTGTATTTTTTGTAGAGACATGGTCTCACTATGTTGCCCAGGCTGGCCTCAAACTCCTGGGCCCAAGCGCCCACCTCTGCCTCCCAAAGTGCTGGGATTACAGGCAACAAGCCACCGCTTCCAGCCCTCTTTACAATGAAAATTGAAAAAAAAATAGATATATAAACGCAATATGGGTGTTTAGATTTCTGGTTTAAAATAAGGAAAGGCTGGGTACAGTGGCTCACACCAGTGCTTTGGGGGCTCCAGCAGGAGGATCTCTTGAGACCAGCCTGGGCAACATAGCAAGACCCCAGTGTCTACAAAAAATACGAAAATTAGCTGGGCGTGGTGGTGCGTGCCTGCAGCTACTCAGGAGGCTAAGGTGGGAGGATCACTTGAGCCTTGGGAGATAGAGCAAGACCCTGTCTCAAAAAAAAAGAAAAATCTAGACTGTCATATAACAGCTGCTATCAGAGCCATTGGCCTTAGGGGATGAAGAGGCTTTCTATCGGGCAGCAGCACACCAGGCCCTGTTCGGCTGCCAGAATTTGTGTGTTCATCAGATTTAGCTGGCTGATGAAATTGGAACAAAAGAGAAAACACATGAAGCATAGTCCATTGTGGTTTGCCTGGGAACGGGGTAAACAGCTATACTCCAGGCAGAGCAGATCTTTATTCTAGCCTTTCACCTCCCTGAATCGTC
Source organism: Homo sapiens (assembly GCF_000001405.40). Taxonomy (NCBI): domain Eukaryota; kingdom Metazoa; phylum Chordata; class Mammalia; order Primates; family Hominidae; genus Homo; species Homo sapiens. The sequence goes on from NC_000023.11 coordinate 154,307,492, forward strand.
TGCCCCGCAGCATAAGGGTTCTTGAGAAAGACAGCACCCATGTGGGAGCACTTCTGCCATAACGGGCATCATACTGATGCCTCACCATTTTCTCAATCTATCCTCACTTTATCCTTGACCTCCTGTCACCTAAGGGGGCTCTGGTCTCCATTGCACCCATAAAGTCTTTGAGATGGGCCCACTGGCCTCACACTTCACAGCCAGAGGGAAGCAGAGTTGGTCTGACTGCTGAGCCCAGGCTCGGTCCATTATGTTATAGGACTTCCAAGGGCATGCAAGGCGACTGGGAGCCAGAGCTTGTTACGTGAGTGTGGTGGGTGCCATAGGGAGGGAGATGTGGCTAGAGGCATAGTCAAAAGAGACTTGAGTTGAGTGGGGCAGTTCTGCTGGGCTGGAAATGCAGAACCAAAAGGGAGTCTCTGGGGGGCACAAAGCATGCAGAGAATTCCGGGGAAGGTCAAGAGCAACCAGAGAGTAGCAGAGGGTAGGAAGCAAGAAGCAGGAGATCAGAGAATCGTAAATACCATCCATCCATCTACAGTAGTGATGACCTCGCTCATCTCTGCTCGAATGGCGCTGACGTTTGAGCAGAGGAGGGTGACAGGCAGGAAACAAACTTTTAAGTCAATAGATGGAGTGTCAGGTGGGGCCAAGCATCTGGAATCAAGTAAAAGTGGAGGAGGTAGGAGGCACTGGTTGAAAAAGAGTGGTCCAGAAAGACCTCAGTGCTGACGCTTGAGCAGGGATTTGGAAGAGGCAGGAGAGTGAGCTGTGCCCACATCCACGCACAAGCACTCCGGTAGTGGGTGCCATGAGTGCTAAGGCCCTGAGGCAGGTGTATGCCCACTGTGTTCAAGGAGCAGCAAGGAGGCCAGGGTGCCAGAGCAGTGGAAGGGAGAAATGGAGGTGATGGGGGCTGGGGTGGGCAGACAGGTGCAAACAGTTGAGCTCTACTTGGTGGGAGGTCGGAAGACCTTAGAAAGTTGAGCGATGTGATCAGTCAACTTCAGTTTTAACAGGCTCCCCCTTGTGGCTAGATTGAGAATGGCTGTGGGGGAGGCTGGGAGGCCACTGCAGTGACAGAGGCAAGGGATGTTTAAGACCAGGTCGAAATGGTGGCTGCAGAAGCTGTTGGGTAAATTCAGTATGCTTGCAAGTTGGGCCTCTCCAGTCAGTGCAGCAGCTCTTTGGCATGACCTTGTGGCCCACAGAGGGCCACATTTTCTGCTTGGGATAGTGATGACCCTGTGCCTGCAAACAGGATGTTGGGGGTGGGGTAGATGCTAGTAGAAAGGGATTCATTTCTAGCGTGGGCACTTCTAGATGAGCACGTGTAAGATCTCAGTTGACCTGAGTTTTATAAACCAGGGAACCAGAGTATTCTCTTTCTGGTTTCTGTTTTAAGAATCCATATCCTCCATAGGATTGAACATGTGATTTGTGCATGACCGGGAAGGGCCATGGGAAAATGTCAAGAATCATACTTTACGTTTTCTGCTTTGTACTTGGGCTCCCCGTCTCTATTCCCAAAGCTCCAGCCACCCTTGCCATACTGTATGGATTACCTATGACTCCCTGGGCAGGGACAGTGGATGTCTTCGTCACCTTAGTCACCTGAGTTTCCAGCCCAGGCTGAGCCCTGGGCTTGACCCATTTTCCACTTGTAACGTTGATCGGAAGCTTGGGGTGCATATGGGTGTGGGGAAGAGGAATTCACCCAGCAGGGCGGGAGGGGCTGTTCGGATGGGACGCTGCTACAGAGCTGACAGGAGCAGCCTGCACTCAGTGCGTGAGTCCACCTGATACCATGTCCTGCAGCTGCGTCTGGGCTCACTGGGTCCCTTCTCTTACAGAGACTGTCGTTTGTGGATGTGGCAACAGGATGGCTCGGACAAGGACTGGGAGTTGCATGTGGAATGGCATATACTGGCAAGTACTTCGACAGGGCCAGGTGAGGTTCTTCCCCAGAAGCCATTTAACTGCCCTACATCTACATCCCCTTCCTAGAGTCTCGGGGGGCAGCCACCTATCTCCGTGATGTGGAGAGCCCTGAAGGGCCAGTCCCCATCACATCCCGTGGTGACCCCTCTGGAAGGCCTTCCCTGTGCCTTTTCCCCACCTCGGGCGGCTGCCCCACTTTCTCTCCCACAGGTCTGTTGAAAGGTTTCAGCTGCTGTTGCCTTTCCATTCTTATCCTAGGGTTGATAGCTTTTTTAAAACTTCCAGCACTTTAGTGGGGTCTGGGATGTGTGGTTTGTTTTTGAGACTGAGTCTCACTCTGTGGCCAGGCTGGAGTGCAGTGGCATGATCTCGGCTCACTGCAACCTCTGCCTCCCAGTTTCAAGTGATTCTCCTGCCTCAGCCTCCTGAGTAGCTGGGATTACAGGCATGCACCACCATGCCCAGCTAATTTTTGTATTTTTGGTAGAGATGGGGTTTCGCCATGTTGGCCAGGCTGGTTTCAAACTCCTGACCTCAGGTGATCCACCTGCCTTGGCCTCCCAAAGTGCTGGGATTACAGATGTGAGCCACTGTGCCTGGCCAGATGTGTTTTCTTGATGCGAACACTCACGTCGTTGGTTGTGGAGGAATTTACTTCACAGCAGAACACGTTTCCAAGGTGGGGTGTTTTGATTGTTGTGATTATTGTAAATAAGTTGTAAGAACAGAACTAGCAGGTGGCGGCGGGAGGCGGTGGCTCACGCCTGTAATCCCAGCACTTTGGGAGGCCGAGGTGGGCGGATCGCCTGAGGTCAGGAGTTCGAGACCAGCCTGGCCAACATGGCGAAACCGCCTCTCTACTAAAAAATACAAAAACTAGCTGGGCATGGTGGCGTGGGCCTGTAGGCAGGAGAATTGCTTGAACCCGGGAGGTGGAGGTTGCAGTGAGCCAAGATCACGCCACTGCACTCCAGCCTGGGTGATGGAAACTCTGCCTCAAACAAACAAACAAAAAAATTAGAAGGTGGCAATGCTTTAAAAGGGAACTTACCAGAAAAATGAATGTGTAAATGTTTGGGGAACTTAAGGATGCTGCTTTCTTCCCCTTCCCCTCTGGCCCTGTTTGCTTATTGATAAGGAAATGTGGCAGAAGAACCTAAAAGTTGCTTTACAGCTAGAACAGAAAACTAGCCAGAGGTAAAGCCTGCTTGTGAGCCCCCAGGCTTTTCAAGCTCGGCTTTCTTAGCTGCTGGGCTGGGGCAGAGTTGATGAGGGAGATTGTGGGAAGCGAATGGTCTGGAGCAGCAGCTCCAGTTGCGTCCGTTTCTCCTCCTGAAATGCATTTGTTTGGTTGGCCCAGATGATCCCCCACAGGGTCCTAAACCTCTCTTGTCTTGCTCCAGCTACCGGGTGTTCTGCCTCATGAGTGATGGCGAGTCCTCAGAAGGCTCTGTCTGGGAGGCAATGGCCTTTGCTTCCTACTACAGTCTGGACAATCTTGTGGCAATCTTTGATGTGAACCGCCTGGGACACAGTGGTGCATTGCCCGCCGAGCACTGCATAAACATCTATCAGAGGCGCTGCGAAGCCTTTGGGTAACTGTATTCTCTTGTGCTTGATTTCCATTCTGTCCTGCCCCCTTCATCTCTTGTAACCCAGCCTGCTCCTCTGTTGGCAGGTGGAACACTTATGTGGTGGACGGCCGGGACGTGGAGGCACTGTGCCAGGTATTCTGGCAGGCTTCTCAGGTGAAGCACAAGCCCACTGCTGTGGTGGCCAAGACCTTCAAGGGCCGGGGCACCCCAAGTAAGCAAGCACTTTCCTCCTGCTCCTGGTTGTTAAAAGCATCTGTCCGCTCAGCAGCAGAGGCGGGAGAGGCTTAGAGGGGCCTAGGCAGATGACTCATTTAGTGAATAGCAGTTCTGCCTGGAGTATATGTTGGAGGCTCCTGCTCTCTTATTTTCACTAGCTAGTGTCTGCTTAGGATAGGAGATATCAAAAGCCCTAGCAGGTGAACAGTGATGTGCTGCCTGCACAAGGGAGTGGCTAGGAGTACAGCCCATCGGAGGACTGACAGGGAACAATCTCTACGGTTAGTAGAATCAGAAAGCGTGCTGTGTGTATGAGCAGGTGCAAGAAATAAGAGTGCATACCTACACACGTGCCTAGGCCCACACTCTTCTGGAAGAACCCTGGGAATTGGGGAAGACGGGAGCTTGGAATCACCAACTATCACATTTCAAGGCTGACAGCTGAAATTGTTTATCTCAGGTTTAACTCATCACAAAGAGTGCGGCTCCTGGATTTTTTTAAAAGACTATAGACATTTTAGAATAAAACTGTTCTGTGACTCCTACCGAAAATATAGTTTTACTCTGGTACCCTCCGTTCAGTAAATTATTTTACCAGTGTGCTCCTGGCAGGACCCTGGGTGTTGTCCTTGCCTCTGCCTCCCCCTCATATGCCCACACATAGACCCAGTCCCCTAGATTACATCTTGGACCCATTCACTCCTCCCCATCTCTACTACCATGACTGTTGCCACACCCATCATCTCTCCCAAAGTTCCAGCTGGCCTCCCTCCACACCAGTCTCTACACTGCTGCCACAGTGATCTTTCTACAGTGGATCTGATCAGTCACTTTCCCCACTCCAAACCCTTCAATGGTTTCCAATCTTGCTTTGGATAAAACTCAAACTTCTCATACCCACAAGACCCACCCTCCATGGTCTGCCCTACCTGTCTCTCCAGCCTTATTCTCATTCTCCCTTCCACTCACCAGTGGCCCTCAGGGGCATAGCTAGGTGCAATGGCTTGCACCTGTAATCCCAGCTACTTAGGAGGCGGAGGCGGGAGGATCACTCGAGCCCGAGGAGTTGGAAGCTGTGGTGAGTTATGATCACCCACTGCACTCCAGCTTGGGGAGGAGTCATAGCGTGAGACCCCTGTCTCAAAACAAAAAGCCTCAGGGCCTTTGTCCAAGCTGTTCTCTCTGGCTGCAGCAGCGTCCCAGGCCCTCTGTGCCAGGTGTTCCTCCTGTGAGTCCTAGGGTGACATCTTTTTCATCGGGGTCTGTTTTTCAGGTGACCTCATAGGCACTCACTAAATATTTATGGAATGGATGTCTTTTGTTTGTTTCATTACAGGTATTGAGGATGCAGAAAGTTGGCATGCAAAGCCAATGCCGAGAGAAAGAGCAGATGCCATTATCAAATTAATTGAGAGCCAGATACAGACCAGCAGGAATCTTGACCCACAGCCCCCCATTGAGGACTCACCTGAAGTCAACATCACAGATGTAAGGATGACCTCTCCACCTGATTACAGAGTTGGTGACAAGGTAGGCAGAAAGGTGGATAATTGAATAAATCAGATACGTCAACTGCTTTGTTCTCTAATGTTGTTCGTATGTACACAGGATTCTTCATTTATTCTGGTCTCCATGGACGAACCAATTACTAGAGTGACATGTAACTAACAGTTCGTAGGCAATAAAGAGAGGTTTGCCATTTTTAAAAAATACATTTAGGGGTCCAAAGTGCAGCTGTGTCACGTGGATAGATACTGTGTAGTGGTGAGGTCTGGGCTTTCAGTGCACCCAGCATCGGAGTAGTGGACATTGCACCCAGTAGGTACTTGATCTTTCACCACTCCTGGCTCCCCTTCTCTTTTATTAGGTCTGATTTTTATTTTTGGCTTTCACATGTGTGTCTGAATTTTCTGATTGGTCAATTGCTATTTATTAGCTCCTGGTGTGGTGTGCCTTTTTCTAGCTTCCTAACTTTGGTTTGTGCATGAAACTGCCACGACTCTGTGTCTCCGCTAAGAAGACTGGCCCCAGGCGGGCTGACCTTTTGAACTTACTCTCTGAATTACACAGAGGAGCAGGCCAATTCATCAGAAACCTCAAAAAGGAATCAAATGATGCACAAAACTCTTGAGTATCAAGTCCTTTTGGTTTTTAGCACCTTTACATCCTGCCTTCTGGTATATCATAGCAGACCTGACATAGGCAAGTTCTTTATGGCCTAGAGGAAGTAAGGCGGCGAGCCTAGGGAGGAAGGACACACTTTCTGATCCTTCTTTATTTGGAGAAATTTTGAGTGTTGCTCATGTTTTCTTAGCCTGGTAATGAGGGTTAAAAATAAATGAATTTTGAATACTTGAGAAATCAAAAGACAAAAACCAGAAGAAAGGAGACGGTATATCAACAAAGGGTGGGCCAGGCACAGTGGCTCACTCCTGTAATCCCAGCACTATCAGGAGGCCAAGACAGGAAGACCACTTGAGCCCAGGAGTTCAACACTAGCCTGGGCAAAGTAGTGAGACCCCATCTCTACATAGAATTTAAAAATTATCCAGGCATGGTGCCATAATATGGTTCCAGGTACTCTGGAGGCTGAGGCAGGAGAATCACCTGAGTCCAGGAGTTTGAGGGGATAGTGAGCTATGATTGGGCCACTGCACTCCAGCCTGGGCAACGGAGCGAGACTCTGTCTCAAAAAAAAAAAAAAAGTTTGAGAAAACTATATAACTCCATAGTTGCATAATTGGTATGAAAATGTGTAAAAAGCGGGGGGACCATTTTTAGGAATACATAAAATATCAAAATTGACTAAAAGAGGTATAAAAACCTTAAATGGATCAATAGCCCTAGAAAAAAATGGAGAAAATTATCCAAGTGCTATACCCCCAAAGCACCAGGCTCACCAGGTTATATAAGACTGACTCATTTTTAACCTTTATGAAAAGAGTAATTTCTAAACTGTTTCAAATTTTTCCAAATACGGAGGAAGATGAAAATGTCATCCCGATTTACTTATGAAGCGAAAATGTGACAAAGCTAGCCTAAAGAAAACTGCAGAGCAACTTTCTTTATGAATACCAATATAAAAATTCTAAATAGAACATTAGCCCATCTCAACTTCATTAGTACATTAAAAAAATTAAATGAATCAGTGAGCTCAAATTAGTAATGCAGATGACTCATGCCAGGAGATGTAGGAATAGAATTCAGTGTTCTAGTGTTAGGTTAAAGGAAGGAGGGAAGTGTGATCATCATCATACACACTAAACAAAAGCAATTCATAAAACTCAACATTTTTTTTTTGAGATGGAGTCTCGCTCAGTCACCCAGGCTGGAGTGCAGTGGTGCAATCTCGGCTCACTGCAACCTCTGCCCCCGGATTCAAGCGATTCTCCTGCCTCAGCCTCCCAAGTAGCTAGGATTACAGGCTCCCGCCATCATGCCCAGCTAATTTTTGTATTTTTAGTAGAGACGGGGTTTCACCTTGTTAGCCAGGCTGGTCTCGAACTCCTGACCTCAGGTGGTCCACCTGCCTCAGCCTCCCAAAATGCTGGGATTACAGATGTGAGCCAGCACACCTGGCCAAGTAATTTGAAAAATATAATGAGAACCATTAATGTCGGAAATCTCACTCTTGAGCTGTGGAGTGTTTACCTGCTTAGGAAGTGGGGGTTGGGGGAGCGGGGGATGTTAACTAAAAAGAGCACAATTTGAGAAAAACTTGGGTGCCACATCAGCCATTTAGTATGGATTTAAGATTGGCTAGCAGTCCATGTTTATGACATTAAAGGAAATTTTTGGTGAGTCACGAATTTACTTTCTTCAAGATAGATGATAATTTGTCATTCTACAATATGGTACCTTCCTTCTGTAGTCGTTCCTTCTAAATGCATTTGAAGAAACTCTACCACCTGATTGTCTCTGTCTTCTAGATAGCTACTCGGAAAGCATGCGGTCTGGCTCTGGCTAAGCTGGGCTACGCGAACAACAGAGTCGTTGTGCTGGATGGTGACACCAGGTACTCTACTTTCTCTGAGATATTCAACAAGGAGTACCCTGAGCGCTTCATCGAGTGCTTTATGGCTGAACAAAACATGGTGAGTGTGTAGTGTCTCTCAGGGCTTCTTAGAATCAATGGCCCACTGGACACAGGAGGCCCAGCCTGTGCTAGTTTTTCTTTCCATTTATGAAAGCAAAAGGACTGGAAAAAAATTTCCTGGGAAGCAGGAGGCAAGTAGCCAGGTGGAGTCTGAGAGGTGGCTTCTAGGTCTGCTAGGAGGGCCGTAATAGACTACTCGGCACTTGGAGTCTCCAAGTTGGCTGAGGGCAGCAGGCCCAAGGCCACAGACAGTGGGTCCTCTGAGCCTCGAACCATCTGAACCCAGGGCTCTGGGCCTGAAGCATCCCAGGCTCCCTAGTAGCTCCTTCTGCCCAATTCTGCAACCACCCAGAGGCACACTGGCTGAGGAGTCACAGGGAATGCAGAGTTTCCTTCTCTCCACTGTAGAGGGGCCTAATATAGCACAGAAATGCAAATGTTGCACTTACTTCAATCACAAGAATATCAATGCTTAGAGCTGGTGCCTTAGGCAAAGCCATTCTGCTTATCTATGCCTCAGTCTCTCCCCAGAGTGATATTAATGCAGGGAGTATCTCAAGCACATGCACACAAGCGCACCCCTCTGGAGAGGAAGGAGTTATGGCCAGTAAACCCTTTGAACTCTAAAGCTCTGCGCGTCATAGAAGATGATGCCCAGCTCCTGTCATTAGGCCAGAAAACCACAGGCCAGCAGGTCTTATGTGACCACCAGTGACTTTATTTATAACAAGTAGTATTTTTAAAAAAAATTTTTTTAGACGAAGTCTCGCTCTGTCGCCCAGGCTGGAGTGGAGTGCTCAGCTCACTGCAAGCTCCGCCTCCTGGGTTCACGACATTCTCCTGCCTCAGCCTCCCAAGTAGCTAGGACTACAGGTGCCCACCACCACACCCGGCTAATTTTTTGTATTTTTTAGTAGAGACGGGGTTTCACTGTGTTAGCCAGAGTGGTCTCAATCTCCTGACCTCGTGATCCGTCCGCCTCGGCCTCCCAAAGTGCTGGGATTACAGACATGAGCCACCGCGCCCAGCCAGTATTTTAAATTTTTTAAAAATTAGTTGCCAGCATTTAAAAATCAGATTATAGGTGTAGTGGCACCAGCCTGCAGTCCCAGCTACTCGGGACTCTAAGGCAGGAGGATGCTTGATCCCAGGACTTAAACGCTGCAATGTACCACTGCATTCCAGCCTGTGAAACAGCGAGACCCCATCTCAAAAAAGAAAAAGAATCAGGAGGTCTTATATAGAATACATATTTCTGGATTCTTTTGAAAAATGGGAAGAACTACTACCATAGGGTGGCATTCCCTCCTGACGCCAGTTGACTGAAGCCAAACAGCACCCCTGTTGAGATGGGTGTCCCCACAGCTCCCCATGCTCTGCTGGGCCATTTGGGTTTTTTGTTGTTTTGTGGTTTTTGGTTTTTTTTTGGGGGTTTTTTTTTTTTGAGATGGAGTCTCTCTCTCTCTCTCACCGAGGCTGGAGTGCAGTGGCACGATCACAGCTCACTGCAACCTCTGCCTCCCAGGTTCAAGCGATTCCCTTGCCTCAGCCTCGCAGGTAGCTGGGATTACAGACATGCGCCACCATGCCTGGCTAATTTTTGTGTTTTTAGTGGAGACAGGGTTTCACCATGTTGGTCAGGCTGGTCTCCAACTCCTGACCTCAGGTGATCTGCCTGCCTCAGCCTCCCAAAGTGCTGGGATTACAGGTGTGAGCCCCCGAGCCTGGCTCATTAAGCTGTTTTCATTTTGAATAGAAAACAATGCGATCCGTAATTTTCTGGATTAATGCTCCTGTCAAAAATTTTGCTCCCCACCTCACTGATTGCCTCAGCACGCAGCCATGTAGTCTACTCCGTCCCTGCTGATATGTTCTCACAGTTGGAAAAAAGTTGTAAAGAAAAGGCGAGCAGGTGGTATTTAGTGCCATGTTGAAAGAGGTGGCTACAATGTAGAGCTTGACCAGGGGCAGTCAGGGACAACCTCTCAGAAAAGGTGATACTTAAGCTGAGTCTCAGGTGACGAGGGGTCAGCCGTGTGCAGATGTGGGAGACAGCATTTCAAGCAAGGGGCATGGCCAACTGTAGGCAGGCCCAGGCTTGGAATGTTTGGAGAGCAGAGGAAGGGCCAAGTGGTAGGAGCATGGTGAACGCAGAAAACTCTCCAGGGCCCAGGTCATACGGGGTCTTATAGGCGCCCTTTTCAGTATCTCTGGTTCTCTTGCAGTTTGCTGGGAAGCCACTGGAGGGCTTTAAGCAGGAAAGCAACAGCCTGCGTTTTCCAAAACTCTGAAGACTGGAGAATGGCTTCACGTAGGAAAGGGAGGAGAAGGAGAGGGTGACTTGGACCAGGGCAGTAGCTGTGGAGTCGGAGGGAAGCAGACTTGTCACATATTGCCTTGGCAGGAGAGCCAGCAGGATGCCAACGGCAGGTGTCAGGACAGGACCCAAGGCTGGTGCTTGAGTGTGGGTGGCAGCACCTGGGGGAAGGTGGTGTCACCTCTTGAGATTGACAAGACTGGGGGAGAAGTGGACTGGAGGGCACCATCAGGAGCTCTGTGTGGGCCTGGGGGGTTGGGGCACCTGTTAGATGTACAGAGGGGAGACAGTGGTATCAGATGGCTGGGCAGTAGATCAGTCAGTCATTTTCACATGTGGCCGCTCCACACCACTAAATGCAGTTTTCTAAACTACATATTCGTTGGCCTAGTTTTAAGCTAACATCTTTTTTTTATTTTTATTTTTTGTAGAGATGGAGTCTTGCTCTGTCACCCAGGCTGGAATGCAGTGGCACAATCATGGCTCCCTGCAGCCTCAAACTCCTGGGCTCAAGGGGTCCTCTGGCCTCGGCCTCTTGAGGAGCTGGGAGCCGCCATGCTTGGCCACATCTACATTTTTAATCATAAATTTAAGTCGTTGCAAAGGATGTAGTTGTTCATATATTGACATTTTTGATACTTTAATACTCAAATCATGCCATTAATGATGACACTGGCTGGGCATAGTGGCTCACACCTGTAATCCCGGCACTTTGGGAGGCTGAAGCTGGAGGATTGCTGGAGTTCAAGAGTTCGAGACCAGGCCGGGTGCGGTGGCTCACGCCTGTAATCCCAGCACTTTGGGAGGCCGAGGCGGACGGATCACGAGGTCAGGAGATGGAGACCATCCTGGCTAACATGGTGAAACCCCTTCTCTACTAAAAATACAAAAAAAAAAAAAAATTAGCCGGGCGTGGTGGTGGGTGCCTGTAGTCCCAGCTACTCGGGAGGCTGAGGCAGGAGAATGGCGTGAACCCGGGAGGCAGAGCTTGCAGTGAGCTGAGATTGCGCCACTGCAGTCCAGCCTGGGCGACAGAGCGAGCCTCCGTCTCAAAAAAAAAAAAAAAAAAAAAAGTTCAAGACCAGCCTGAACAACATAGTGAGACCTGGTCTGTAATTAAAAAAAAAAAATTCATGCCAAGCCACTTTTCTTTGTCAGAAATTAAAACCCTTTTTCTACTTGATTTCCAATTTCCATTCCATTCATTTCCCCAATATATCTTTATGCATGAAAGCCTTTTATTGATTGTCCTATCATTTTTCTCTGCAACAAAAATATGCATATAAATTGATAGGTTTTTAAAAAATTATAATATAGGCTTCTGAGCATTAGGTTTTTTTTTCTGGACTGAGATAGAATTTTGATTATTATTAGCTGGTATGTTAGTGGATGAGTATACTTGTAGTTTGAATGTGATAGCATTGAGAACAGATTCTATTCCTGTTTTTCATCTTCATGATGTGCTATGAAACCTTACTTACATGAATAAGTAGATGGGAAGGGAAGTTTTGTTAGAGGAATGTCACTCAGTTCTTTGAATTCCTTCCCAGTTGTAAGTCAAAAAATCACATAGTGATCTTTCATGTAAAGTTGTTTATAAAAGTTATTTACAGAGTTGACAGTTTCATTAATTAAGTTCTTCACTTTCTCTCCACCAGCATAGTTATTTCAAATTGTCCTCTTTACTTGGGTCTGGAGGTTCTGCACTCCAGGATGATCCCCCTGTAAGAGTCAGGTGGCTGAGAGCATGCCCTTTGGGGATCAGGTTGCTAGAAGGTGATTGTTAAAAGAGACAGTGGGAGACCCAGGGGCAGTGGCTCACGCCCGTAATCCCAGAACTTTGGGAGGCCGGCCGAGGTGGGTGGATCACCTGTCAGTTCGAGACCAGCCTGACCAATATGGTGAAACCTCGTCCCTACTAAAAATACAAAAATTAGCCAGACGTGGTGGCGGGTGCCTGTAATCCCAGCTACTCGGGAGGCAGAGACAGGAGAATCGCTTGAACCCAGGAGGTGGAGGTTGCAGTGAGCCAAGATTGCACCAGTGCACCCCAGCCTGGGCAACAGAGCAAGACCCTGTCTAAAAAAAAAAAAAAAGACCATGAGGGGAGCACAGACCCTCCTTTTGGCAGATGAATGTAGACAGAGTTGATCTGGAGTTTGGGATCTTGAGTGTAACACCCACAGCCACATCCCCTTTGGAAAGCCTGTGTGTATCCGCAGAGAGGTTTGTATTCTAGTTTGAAGCCTTCTGGGGTATTTGAGCCCGGACTTCTGGGGAAGGGGGGTAAGGAATGGCAATGTAAAGTGGGGATCATTACCAGAATGCACATCAGGGGAGCATTGGGCCAGATGCGACTTCCCGAGGGTGCACAGGGCCCTGAGGACTTGCCCCAGCAGCGCCCATGAGGCGACAGCAGTGGGCCACTGCCACACTGCAGAAACCGAGAGGAGGAAATGCCTTGAGATCAGGGGCCAAGTCAAGTCACAGGCCACCCAAGGTCAGGCAGCCTCTTGGTTTTGTGGCTTCGAGGTCCCTTGTGGGGATGGTGGCCTAGATGAAGTAGGCTGGGAAGAGCGTGGAAAATGAGAAAGCAGGGGCAATGACTATAGGCAAGTTTTGAGAAGTTTGCTGCGAAGGAGAACACAGATGTAAAAGCAGGACAAGGCGGAGATGGGGCTGTGAAGATAAAAGGTGCTGGCGCACACCTGAATGGAAATAGAATGATCCAAGAGAAAGGGAAGTAGCACAAGAGGGGAGGAGGAGCTGCATGGCTGGAGACCCCTGTGAGAAAGCAGGAACAGGACAGATTCAGGATGTCCTGTCGGGGCATGGACCCTGGAAAGCTGCGGACACCAGGAGGGCAGGCAAGAGAGTCTCATCTCTTGCTCCCTAGGAGCTATGAGTTGAGGGCGCCGTCTGAGCAGGAGGGACGGACGGGTGCCCAGGGTTTGAGGAAAGAGGGGTGTGGGAAGGACGCATGCTAGAACTTCAGAGCAGTTCAGCAGGTGCAGAATGGGAGTTATCATGGGGACTGTGGGAGAAGGGGCGGTGGGGGCAATGCCCAGGGATGTTCTGATTCATGTTCTCTGTGCTGCAGGTGAGCGTGGCTCTGGGCTGTGCCTCCCGTGGACGGACCATTGCTTTTGCTAGCACCTTTGCTGCCTTTCTGACTCGAGCATTTGATCACATCCGGATAGGAGGCCTCGCTGAGAGCAACATCAACATTATTGGTTCCCACTGTGGGGTATCTGTTGGTAAGGGTTCTAAATGCCATCATCTTGGTAGCCTTCCTCCTTCACAGAGAAAGATTAGCATGTGATTGGTTAAACCACGAATTTCCTTATGGTTCCATGAAGTTTGATTATTCAAGCCTTTTTCTTGAAAAAGCCATATTGTACTTTAAAAGTGTCAGACTCTCAGGGCAACTTTTGAAGTGCATCTCTCGGTGGTACTGTTGTTTCAGACAGTGAGAAACAGTTGCTTATCCCGAGTGCCCCTTGTGTGTTGAGCTGCGTGCAGGTTATGGACAGGACTGGCAGAGTCATGGAGCCTTTTCTGCCCTCGCTGTGGTTGCAGTCTAACTGAGGGTGAACAGCATCACAGAGGACGAGGAGCATTCTGGCTGGCTGCACAGCCTGCTCAGGTGGGAGGGGGGCTGGGACCACCATCACCACCTTCCTGCCTGGGGCAGCGAGAACCCTGGAGCGTGACACGAGGCAGGAACTCTTACAAACACACCCTTCTCAGAGTAGTAGTCACCTGGCAGGTGGGCTAGAAGGAAACCACAGGAAACGGGAAGCCAGAGAGGGGATTGAAACAAGGTGTGCAAGGTGGTGGGGGAGAAAACCAGGGGGGTGGGGGGGGACCTGAGAGTGAAGAAAGAGGTGAGTGTGCCTAACAGATGGAGCACTCTGCAATGGCGTGAAGAGCAAAACACACGAGTCTCCGGGATTCCTCACTTGGGAAACGTCAGAGAGTCATTTTCGTGAATGACAGAAATGACATGGGAAAGATGAGCCAGCTGGCGTGCCTGTGGCAGGCAGATGGGCTTACTAGATGTGGCTGCACACACTTGCTTCTAGAATGCCAGAGATGCACGCTGGAAAGCCATCTCAGGGACTCCCTGGGAGAATGAGGCTGGACGAGATGGCTCTAGATGGAGCTAGAGTCACGGCTGTCTGGGTGAAGCTGGAGGCACAGGTGGTGGCCAGAGAGAGGAGGCGCGGCAGTGTTGCAGGGGCAGAGGGGCCTAGGAAAGGGTCCTTGAGCCCACCTGTGGCTGTGCTCAGTTTCAGTTTTGAAATAGTCACATGGAGAAAGTGACTCTAGGTTCCATCCAAAGAAGAACTGGAAGGCTGGGCGCAGTGGCTCATGCCTGTAATCCCAGCACTTGGTGAAACCCCATCTCTACTGAAAATAGAAAAATTAGCCAGGTGTGGTGGCACGCACCTGTATTCCAGCTACTCAGGACGCTGAGACAGGAGAATTGCTTGAACCCAGGAGGCAGAGGCTGCAGTGAGCCAAGATCACACCACTGCACTCCAGCCTGGCGACAGAGAGAGGCTTTGTCAAAAAAAAAAAAAAAAAAAAAAGCCAGAGCGGTGGCTCACACCTGTAATCCCAGCATTTTGGGAGGCCGAGGCAGGTGGATCATCTGTGGTCAGGAGTTTGAGACCAGCCTGACCAATATGGTGAAACCCCATCTCTACTAAAAATACAAAACTTAGCCAGACATGTTGGCACATGACTGTAATCCCAGCTACTTGGGAGGCTGAGGCAGGAGAATTGCTTGAACCTGGGAGGTAGAGGCTGCGGTGAGCCAAGATGACCTAGTGCGCTCAAGCCTGGGCAACAGAGCGAGACTCTGTCTCAAAATAATAATAGTTAATTTTTTTAAAAAAAGAGCTGGGCTGTTGAGGTTAGACAGTGGTCCTAGGCAAGGCAGTGTGCATGGTGACAATCCCCTTCCTAGCTGAGAAAAGCTAAGCTGCCCAGTGCACATTAAGATTTCTCTTTCACATTTCTGGTGAGAAACTACGTTCCCAGATACACCCTAAAGTACCCTGTAGCACCCTCAGCATGCTTTGAAGGTGTGTTAACTACTTGGAAGGCCTGGAGAAATGAAAAAGACCACTTTGGTATGCAAAACCCGGTCTCTGGATATAGAAAAGATAGAGCAGAAAAGGGAGAACAAAGCCTGAGGACCTTCCTAAAGAGAACGGGTTCAGAGACTTAGCAGGCCAAACTCAGGCCACCAATGCTCAGCCATCGTGGACAGTAACTTGGAGTGATCCATCTGAAAAGTCAGCTGAGACTTTTCAGTTGACTAACCCGAGGTGTCACAGTGTGATCTCAAGGGAGACAGGCGTGCAAGAACACAATGTAAATGAGTTGTGAGGATGCAGCGGGACCATTTATGGGGCTCTGCTACAGCTCGGGACACCCCGTGGCAATAGGAATAATTGCTTCTTCAGAGCTAGAAGTGGGTGGAGGGCAGGTTCCTAATGGGGTTATGCTCCTGTTTTCATCGGGCTCTGGTTCTCTCAGGTGACGATGGTGCTTCCCAGATGGCCCTGGAGGATATAGCCATGTTCCGAACCATTCCCAAGTGCACGATCTTCTACCCAACTGATGCCGTCTCCACGGAGCATGCTGTTGCTCTGGCAGCCAATGCCAAGGTATTTTTAAGGGGACACTAGTTTCAGACAGAAAATGCTTCTGGACTCTGCTAGTTTCATACTGATGATTGGACTTTTTTTTCTCAACATAAAAGTGATATTCATTATAGAAAATTTGGTGATAGAATTCTTTACAAAAAAAACAGGAGATTATGCACACAAACACATTTGCCTTGTAAAAGAGTCCAACAGTACAGGATACTGAACAAAACCTGACAGCCTGTCTCAGTCAGGGTTTAGCAGAAGAAACAGGGACCATTCTGGGTGTTGTAAACAGGAGAAGGTGTTTAACAAAGGGTGCTTAAGAAGCCGCAGGAGCAAGCTTCAGGCAGAGTCCCAGACTATAGTGTTAGTCTCCAGTGGCTGCAGCCAGAGGCCAAGAAGCTCCTGCTGTGTCCTGACATCCAGGAAGCTGGAGAGCGGGTGGTAGGCTACCACTACAAACGAACCCGGGTTCCCTGGCCCTGGCTTGCCTTTGGAACAGCTTAGGGCGCCAAGAGTGTGTGGGACCTCATGCAAGGGCATCAGATGGACAGAATCAAATTCCTGTTCAGAACCTAGCTGCACGGGAGACGAGGCAGTGTGGTCTTGATCTTTCCAGCCTTTCCCACTAACGTTCAGCAGGTTTCCCTTGCCACCCTGGACCTCGCCCATGCGCCACACAGGTAACCCCTGGCACAGTCGGGATGGGGACTGTATGTTCCCTTTCCAAGCACTCATGGGCGTTTCTTTGATTTTTTTTTTTATAAGTGGGCTCCCGCTTTACATATTATTAGGTACTTTTTTGTGTGGTTTTTGTGTTTTGTTTTTTGGGTTTTTTTTCTTTGGAGACAGAGTCTCACTCTGTCGCCCAGGCTGGAGTGCAGTGGCACAATCTCGGCTCACTGCAGCCTCCGCCTCCCAGATTCTCCTGCCTCAGCCTCCTGAGTAGCTGCGACTAGAGGTGCACTCCACCACGGCCGGCTAATTTTTGTATTTTTGGGGAGAGACAGGGTTTCGCCATGTTGGCCAGGCTAGTCGCAAAACTCCTGGCCTCAAGTGATCCACCCACCTTGGCCTCCCAAAGTGCAGGGATTATAGGCATGAGCCACCGCACCTGGCCAATTGTGTACTTTTAAAATTAGTTTATCTTGGAGATTGTTCTGTGATTTCACACGTTATAGGGTTTCATTTCTAGAAAGGTCAAGAGAGGCGCAAAACAAGATTAGGTGATAGAAATTAGAGTAGAGGTTGCTTCATAGTGGGGGGAGACTGACTGGAAGGAGGCACAAGGGAACTCTGCTGGCGGAAGCGCTGCTGGGCTTGGATGAGGGCTCCACGGCGGATGCAGCATTCAGGAAGGGCTGAACTTAGGATGTATGCATTTCACTGCAGCTGAGTTATGCCTCGGTGAAGACACTGAATAAAGATGGATCATAGCGTATGAACGAACAGTAGCGACGTTTCTTGCTATATTCGTTTATAATGCATCCATTAATATGTATGTAAATTAACAAATACTTTAGACATACAAGTGTTCATTTATACTGGTAAATGTTTATGTGCTCAAATTGGTCATAAAAATGTATTTACATTTTATTGGGAAAGGGGCCAGTCGTCTTGTATTCAGATAGATGTTTATGGTCTTTCTAAGGATGAAGCATTACAAGTTATTGTGGCAAAAGTTAATGTTTTAACATTCTATTCGGGCTTTCTAGTCAATGTGAGTCAGTGCTCCTGCCGTGAGTTAATGTTCTGTCTGCACAGAACAAGTCAGTGAGTATTGGGGAATCTTCCAAGGGGATTGGTGTGATGGCATGGGGGAGCTTGTCCTTCAGGGCAGCCCCAAGGTCCTGCTGGGACCTGTCGTCCACTGGTTGTAGATGCTCACCCCTTTCTCCAAAGCCTGTGTTTTTAGTAGAAAGAGCTGTCCTCTTCACACCCCTCCTTCACTTCTTTCAACGTCTGTTGTTGGAAATTCATTGTTTGCTTTTCTAAACCATGGCTCCATTTATGCCCTAGGGGATGTGCTTCATTCGGACCACCCGACCAGAAACTATGGTTATTTACACCCCACAAGAACGCTTTGAGATCGGACAGGCCAAGGTAAGGGCTTACGCGCTCCTGCGTTATTCAGTATCATCTCCTGTAAAAAGAACACTTCTGAATCTATCACCAGCTATCTTCAGAGTTGAGACATCATCCTTTCTTTGCTCTCATTTTTTTAAAAAACAGTTGTGACCTTTACCTGCTTTTCCTTGGGAAGGAACATTCTATGAATTTCAGCTTAGCCTGAACTTTTCTGCTTTCCAAATGGAGTCTTTTGTTGTTGTTGAGTTCAAAGATAGTAACATGAAGCCACTTGAGCGGTCGTGGCTATAATTTATCTTGGCCGCAAGCTAAACAAAACAGAAGCCAGCGCTTTGGGAGGCCAAGGCGGGAAGATTGCTTGAGGCCAGGAATTCCAGAGCAGCCTGGGAAACATAGCGAGATTCCCATCTTTACAAAAATTTTTTAAACTAGCCGGGTGTGGTGGCATCCACCTGTGGTCTCAGCTACTCAGGAGGCTGAGGAAGGAGGATAGAGGAGCGCAGGAATTCAAGGCAGCAGTGAGCTATGATGGATCACACCACTGTACTCCAGCCTGGGTGACAAGAGTAAGACCCTATCTCTAAAAACAAGACAAAAAATAATAGAAATCACTTGAAATGAATAATCTGTTAGGTTCAGATTTTACAGATCTAAGGCCAGGAATAAAAGGGAACATGATCTCTGGTATTCTCACAAAAGCCCTGAGAAGTTCAGATTATCAGTCCTATCTGTAGATGAGGATTGGAGAAAGTAAGTGTCTTACTTAAGGGTTTACAGCTTGTGAGTACCAAGACCAGAATCCAGGCCTGAGTAGTGAGCCCAGTCTCCCCAGGTCTGCCCACCACGCTGACCATCCCCTGCTCAGCCTGCCTGTCAGGGCCATGCATAGAGAAAAGCAGAAACGTCTATGGAGAAAATAAGTGACTCTGCTCATCACCTAGGGAGTGGGGCTTGTAGACATTTTGGCATGCTTCCTTCCTGTCTTTGTTCTAGGCATACATGTATATTTTACACAGTTGAGATCATACTGAATAGAAAGGTTTGCCCATAGCCACTCTTGAAAGAGCAGCAGGTAACATCCAATTTGGTTGCTAAGGACTAGGCTGCTCCAGAATTCACAGTTGCAAGTACTCAGAATGGCCAGAGTGCTGCCATAAAGCAGGTGTTTCCAGAACTGTCCACTGTGTGCCATAACGTAGCTGGAAAACGCCACCAAATGGAAAAGTTAGTGTTCACCTTTGGTGTTAACTACAGGTTCTGTTTCTATGGGGAGGGTCTCTTGACATTCACATGGTTTGCAGAGCTTGCTTATTTCTGTCGTCTCTTTTCTAATAATTTTCCTGTCCTGACAAAAGCAAGTAAATTTACTGATAGTAAAGGATGTGAGATAAATGTGTGTGATAACATGCATGGCATGGATCGTTAAAGGGCTGGGCTTTGAAAAGAGGACATGGATATGTGTGCATGCGTGTATAAGTATTTTAAGAGGCCAGGACATCCTTAAAGAATGGGGTGGCTCAGAAACCCTTTCTGTACTATCAGCAATGGTTCTTAAGCTACAGGGAAACCTATACAGAGGGGAAGTGGAGAATAATTCCAGATGCCTCCGATGGGTAGCTTTGGAGGCAACAATCTATGAAAGAAGCCCAGGAACTCTGTCTTTGCTTGCAGAATAGTACGTTGTCGAGAGCGAGGGCTTTGATGTCAGCCCCGCCTGGCTGTGGGTCCCAGCCCTGCCCTGGGCCACTTCCTCCTGCTCTGAGATTTGCTTTCCTCAGCTGCAGAACGGTTGTGCCACTGAACAGATCTTACAGGGAGGCTGTGAGGGTTCTCAGAGTTCAGGCACACAAGATCTTAGCACTCAGCGTGTTGCCAATGCCCAGAATGTTCTCATTAACATGTTAGTCACTGGAGTCCAATCTTTGCATGCCATAGTGAGCTCTCAAACCAGACTCCTGATGGGTATGTGGCGTATCCATGCTCCAGGACAGCTGGAGCAGTGTAATTTCCTATCAAAAAGTATGTGTCCTGGCTTGTAAATGCATCTGATTTTTTTAGTAGTGAGTTATTAAGGAGTGAAATTGTTAGAATTGGGGGATAGCGGCATAGCAAAGTGCCTTCCACTTTGACATGCATTCTGTGTGTAGTAACCACGGCATTCTGTTTTGCTGGCACTATACCAGGTCCTCCGCCACTGTGTCAGTGACAAGGTCACAGTTATTGGAGCTGGAATTACTGTGTATGAAGCCTTAGCAGCTGCTGATGAGCTTTCGAAACAAGGTCAGTTGGTTGAGTATGAGCATTGAAGTTCAAGCTGGGAAGAGGTAGGACTTCAGCTACCTCCTGTGCCCTGAGTGCTCTTTTTATTTTTATCCCTGCATGTTATTCTGAGTCTCTTTCTTGTACCAAGCTGGTTTTTGCTGTTCTGCAGATATTTTTATCCGTGTCATCGACCTGTTTACCATTAAACCTCTGGATGTCGCCACCATCGTCTCCAGTGCAAAAGCCACAGAGGGCCGGATCATTACAGTGGAGGATCACTACCCGCAAGGTGTGTGTGGGCATTGAGAATGCTTTGGAAGGTTTTGGTGTTTTTGTTTCCTTGATTGGCCACATGGCATGCTCTCAGGCATCACCTATAGTCTACCTCTCACCCAGCATGGCTTTGTTATTTGATGTTCACTAAGCGTGGGGCCATACTCATACACATCTGTGTGTCCCCAACAGAGTGCACAGTGCCCAGTCACCAGGGCGGGTCAGTGGCAACACAGAGGAGTGGCTATTGCAGGCAAGCGAGGTGTCATGAAAAGCATCGCAGTTTCTTTGGGTTTGGAATGATGAATAGTATGCCCCAGGCCAGGCGTGGTGGCTTACACCTGTCATCCCAGCACTTTGGGAGGCCGAGGCAGGTAGAGATCACTTGAGGCCAGAAGCTCAAGACCAGCCTGGTCAACATGGTGAAACCCCATCTCTACTAAAAATACAAAAATTAGCTGGGTGTGGTGGTGCATGCCTGTAGTCCCAGCTACTTGGGAGGTTGAGGCAGGAGAATCACTTGAACCCAGGAGGTGGAGGTTGCAGTGAGCCAGGATCATACCATTGCACTCCAGCTTGGGAAACAGAGTGAGACTCTGCCTCAAAAAAAAAAAAAAAAAAAAAAAAAAAAAAAAAAAAAAAAAAAAAAAGTGTGCCCCGACGAAAGCAGGTATAGCAGAGAACACAGCAAATGCAGAAAACAGTGTGTCAGGGAGAATGGGCTGGGCAGTGTTTGCGCCTGGAAAGGTTAGGTGGGACAGATGATGTGATACAAGGAGCATTGAGTGTTCATGCGGCAGGGGCCCTCTGAGCCTGCACAAGCGGTGCCTGATCTCTCGAAGGACTCCTGGGACCCAGCACACAGTTGCTCTCACACCTGAGGTTGATGACAGGGAAAGGGTGCAGGGGGGGATCCACCAGGGCAGGAACCATGGGCCAGGTGGAGTTGAAAGAAGTCCTGCCCCAGCCTCCCCTTGGCCCCACAAGGGGCATACTGAGAAGTGCCTCCCACGCAGGCTGTGTTCCTGCCTAAGGGATGCCTGCTAGAGACTTGGCACCTCAAGTGTGTACTGGGGGCAGGTCCTGTTGGCACCCTCTGCCAGGCAGGTACCCAAATCCCTGGCTCCCAGCAGGAAAGCAGGTGCTCATGTCAACCACATTGTTCCTACAGACAGTCCAGGTGCATGACCGCCCTGTCTAGTGGGGAAAGTGTTAGAGTAGCAAGGGAACCTTCACGAGCCAAGAGCTAACCTTGCCAACCAACAGCCTCAAGCCAGCTAGTCACTTTTCTGCACTGTTAATTCATTAGTTCTAACCATTTTCAGGTCCCCAACAGCTTTGAGAATCAGAGTGCCACAGACCCCCACACTCAGGCAGCCCTTACTGTAGGTTGAGGCAGAGCAGTTTGGAAACTGGCAGTTTAGAATGAGAACTCCGCAGGCCCATCGGAGTGGCTGTTCACATGAATCAGATTTTCCCCTGGGAAGCTGCAGATTCAAAGGCCTCTATGTGGTGAGGCTTTAAGGCTGACGAGCTGCTTTCACAAAAGGGCCTAACATCCTTGTTTCCCCAGGTGGCATCGGGGAAGCTGTCTGCGCAGCCGTCTCCATGGATCCTGACATTCAGGTTCATTCGCTGGCAGTGTCGGGAGTGCCCCAGAGTGGGAAGTCCGAGGAATTGCTGGATATGTATGGAATTAGTGCCAGACATATCATAGTGGCCGTGAAATGCATGTTGCTGAACTAAAATAGCTGTTAGCTTTGGTCTTTTGGCCTCTTTACCCTGTGTTTATGTTTGTTCCAAAACCATCATTTAAATCTCTACTGTCACATTTTGTTTCTTAAAAGCAAAGCCAGCTAACACCTTCATTCATCCCTAGTTCGGAAATTCAAGCTAACTACTTACCCTTTAAACTGTCACTGCATATGCAAGTACCGCTCTAATTTTTGGATCATTAAAGGGAGTTACACAACTTTTAAGTGAAAAAAATAGGTAACAAAACAACCACCTGATAGTAAGTTTTCTGATAAGACTATAGATAAGTGGTAGAGGTAATCAATTCTTCCGAAGTGTTTCCTTCGTGAATAACTGGTAGAGGTAATAGTTTTTTCAATGTATTTCCTTCATGAGTAAAGAAAATGTGGATTGAAGTATAGATTCCAGTAGCCTAGTTTCCACAGCACGATAACACCATGACGCCTACTGCTGTTCCCACCTTGGGATTCTGTGTGCTGCCATCCCACCTGCAGCTGCCCTGGAATTCCCTTCGCTGTTTGCCTTCATCTCCCTCCACGTTTGAGAGGCTGTCAGGCAGCAGCGAAAGCTTGTTAGGATGTCCTGTGCTGCTTGTGATGAGAGCCTCCACACTGTACTGTTCAAGTCAATGTTAATAAAGCATTTCAAAACCAGCTGCTTTATTCAGCACGTGCCTTCTGTGTGAATCAGTTTCTCAGTGGTCAGTTCCTAAATAAGGAAAGAGCTTTTATCCAAACCAGAAAGAGTGAGCCATGGCCCCCACCAGTAAACCTGGGAAAGAATAATGGGCTGCAGAGGAAGCACTCGCTCGAGGACAGCACCTGGCCTGAAAAGCTGTCCCTGAGCTGACGCCTTCCTGTCAGCTATAAGCACATAAAGTATGTGGCTAGAGGCCAGGCGTTGTGGCTCACGCTTGTAATCCCAGCACTTTGGGAGGCCAAGGCAGGTGGATCACCTGAGGTCAGGAGTTCAAGACCAGCCTGGACAACATGGTGAAACCCCCTCTCTACTAAAAAAGACAAAAATTAGCCAGACATGGTGGTGCACACTTACAATCCCAGCTACTCGGGAGGCTGAGGCAGGAGAATTGTTTGAACCCAGGAAGCGGAGGTTGCAGTGAGCCGAGATCCTGCCATTGTACGCCAGCCTAGGAGACAGAGCGAGACTCTACCTCCAAAAAAAAATTTAAGAAGTATGTATCTAGAATCAAAGTGTCAACCAGAAAAAGATGAACCTGAGCTTCAAAACTAGATTTAAAATTCTACTAGATGTGTCTGCTGTGTCACATTCCTGTTTTGGCTTTGGTTTTGTTTTGAGACAGGGTCTCACTATGTTGCCCAGGCTGGTCTCAAACTCCTGGCCTCAAGTGATCCTCACGCCTGGACCTTCCAAGGTGCTGGGGTTAGAATTACAGGCGTGAGCCACTATACCCAGCCCATTCCTTATTTTTATTGCCCAAATTAAGTGGTCAGAGATCTTTGGAGTCATGACCAGTGTGACTGAGGAATTGTTCTAGAATGTGCGGGATAGAGATGGAAGCACTGGCCTGGGGCTTGGAGTCCTCAGGACCTCCTCCTACTCCTGCCCTTGTAAGTCACTGAGCTGGTTTCCTGGCCTGTAAAATGAGCATGATGATGGCTCTGCTTATTTCATAAGATTTCAAAATTTATTTTGTAAAAATAGTTTCTATAGGGTGATTGCAGAAAATTTAGAAAATGCAAAGAGGCAAAAATGTTTTACCTCACTTATCTCACTACTTCGAGGTAATCACAGCTTCTCACACTCCAGACAATTTTACTCATTTAAGGTATACAATTCAGTGGTTTTCATTCTTTTTATGGCCACATACTATTCTATTGTATGGAGATAACACATTTTATTCTTCCATTCAGTTGATGAATGTGGATTAGTTCCACTTTTGTCTCTTGTGAATAGCGTTCTGACAATTCACATATTTTGTGAAGATGTAGGTTTCACAAAATATGTGAAAGATTTTGTGTAGATGTAGATTTTCCCTTCTTATGGACATGTATACTAGGAGTGGAATTGAATTGCTGTGTCGTAGGATAATTCTGTGTACCCTTTCAAGAGTGTGGTGGGGGGTGGTGTTTAAATACCGTTTTGTGAGGAGTAGATGCAGTGACACTGAAGGTGGCTGTAAAGCATTACTTTAGAGGAAGGCATTCTAACAGACAAGCCACGCTTGCTTGTATTCAGGTGCAAAATGTCAGGTTTGGTGAGACCACAGGACACATAAGCGCACGGTGGCAACAAATGGAGCAACAGATTCCATGATTAAAATGTGCAATTTCTAAACACAGGAAAGAGCCCCCAAAGCCTCACTTCAGTCCCCTAGAAGGTTCTAGGCAGAAACAGTAGGGCAGATCAAAGGAATGAGAGCATAGGAGCCATGATCACCCAGCGAGGGGAGTGAGCCCTGTTGCCAGCTTGGCCTGGCTGTGGCTTCTGAGTAAACACGTGTGTTTGTTAACTGTTAAGAACCTGGTAATGAATACTCCCTGGAAGATGCCATGGACCCTGGCCTCTGGCCAGTCCCCTCGCCCTTGAGTCCTCCTAACATCTTATTGCTCTGATTACTTCCCATGGAGAAGCCAGCCAGCAGGGACTCGGGAACCATGTGTCCCAAAACCTGGCTTGAATCCCCAAATCTGCTTCTTGACTGTGGGGCCTTGGGTAGCTGTAGAAGGGGATGATGGTGCTGATGACGGGGACAGCATGTATCCCACAAAGCTGTGGTCAGGATGTTAGTGCCATCTTTTCGAAACACCCATGCAGGCCCACCCTGCATACCTGGCAGCTTCCTACTCCCCAGCACCCCCAGCACGCCCTCGGCTGGCCAGCCCCATCGGCCCCTCAGCACGATCCTTCCCCGCCTTGCTGGGATTATGTTGGGGCTGGCAGCAACCAACCCGCCTGCCCGCTTCTGGGCCAGGCAGCCCTGTGCAACCCGAGCTGCTCCCCTGTCCCCGCTGTCCCACCGCCCTCCCTGGACGCCTGCTACCCACCATCAAACACCGCCTCGTGCCGGCCCCGCGCACCCTCCCGCCCCGTCGGCCCCACGCTTCAGGCGCTACCTGGAGGGCATGGCTCCTACCCGTGGGCACTCGCCTTCACCCTTGGAGCCCGGCCTTCCCCGGGCAGCCGGGAGAGGTTCTACCACTTCACGAGGCCTCCTCGCCCTGCCAGGCCGAGGTCAGGGTTAGAGAAGCTGGGTCGTTAGATTCGGGAGAGCTGGAATGATCTGATGTGTCATTCCGTACTTGGGTGAGGAAGCCGAGCACGCAGAGTTACCGCTCAGGGCAGGACCTGGGCTGCACCTGGTATCAGGGCCCACGTGAGAGATACCCTCCCTCCCTAAGTGTGTACCTGACGCTAGTTCTGGGTCTAACGGCAACATTCTAGTTCTAGGTCTAGTTCTAGGTCTAGTTGTAGAGGGTCTCCTGGATGATACAAGTGAGTGTCCACTGGCAAGGCTCCTCCCCAGGTAAACTTGTGACAGAGTTCTCCAGCAAAGAAACACCAGTCCCCCAGACACGGGAGGTCGAGCCGCCGCCACTACCAAGGGAGGTGCAGAGGGACTGGGGGCTTCTCGAGTCTCAGCTTCAACCAAGGCCAACCAGATGGCCCCATTCCGGGTTTCAGGGTCCCATTCTTCCCACATCACTGCCCACGATTCACGTGTGAAATGTGGCGAGGCTGGAAATTCATCACTTTGGGAATCTGTAACTGGCACAATAAAATGTGTTTGATTGTCAGAACTGTCAGCCCTGCAAGTACAAGGAGTAAGGGAACTTTGAGGCCTTTCCTGGAAGCACCCTGGTTCTGTTACTGTGGCTTGAGCTGAGAGTTAGGGAGCCTGAGCCCATTGTGTCTTCATGGTACATAGTCAGGGCCACTAAGGATCATCCCATACCACAGCCCTCATAGCCATCCGTGACCACCATGACAAGTCAGGTGCAGCAAGGACTTGAGCTCCCTGGTGCTTGTTTCAGTTGGCCCATCATCCCAAGCAACCGAAGTGACAGCTAGATTAATTGTGAAGCCACTGCAGGCCATGGATGGCTCATGCCCCACTTCCCACTGGGAAAATGCTCAACCCTGCACTCCAGCCCAAAGGCAGGACCAGACCAATCGCCAGATTCCATGTGCATAGGCCTTTTCTTCCAGAACCTTACCCAGGGCCAGTTCTGGATTAGTCAGGAACCAGTTAGGAGACAAAAATACATACCTAGTATCTCAAGAAAGGGAAGTGAAAGCGTATTTACTTGGGGTTTGAGGGCTGAAAGTGCAAAAGGGATACTGAAGTAACAGAGTTGGTGAAGGAAGAAGCTACAACCCCCAGAGCAGGGAGGCAAAAATAAAGATGTTGGGGTGACCAGGAGTCTAGTACTGAGCCTGGGAGCATGGAAGGCCTAGGGCTCTGGACCTCGAGGAGGGGCTGCTGCAGTGCGTCACAGAAGGAGGAAGCCACATCATCTGCTAAGAACGGGGCAGGAGGAAGTGTCTTTGGCATCGTCTTCCAGGTCACTCATTCTGTGTTCAGGGGCATCAATTTGCTGTTGAGTCCATTGGATGAGATTTTCATTGCAATGACTAGGCTTATGTACGTGCTGCTTTTCAAATCTCCCTGGATTTCTAACTCTTCTCTTTTGTATCTCTTTCTTTCTACCCTTAGGTTGTTGTGTCAGAGAGACTATTAGAGATCTGAGAAGTCAGTAGCTTTACATCACAATAATGCAAACATCTATGAGAACTGCTCTGTGATCTGCTGAGAATTCTAAGCTGGTCAGTCTGTGCTTGCAGAGTTCAGCCGATCAGGCCCGAGAGGAGAACAGCGGTTCTCATTTTACCCTCCTCTGTTTTTCGCGTGATGACCCGAGGCCTGGGAGATACTGAGCCAGACTTGCCTCCGACTCCTTCCTTCCACATGCATCACACTCCACACACCACACACCACACACCACGGGGAATCTCCAAAGGGCAGGAGTGGGAGGGAGTGCAGCAAAGCCGAGAAAGGGCTCAGGCTCTGGAGCCCAACTTCATGAGTCACATTTCCCTCCTGTTTTTGTCTGAAAATGGGGGTAACACTGGCACCGACATCCTAGGGCTGCTGTGAGGAGGGGGTGGATGCTCCCAGCCATTGCTGACAATGATGTGATTGGGGATCTTTGAGGATTCCACCCCGGAACCCTGACAGGTCCAGCCTTACTCTTTGACCTGCCCACTGACTCTACTCTCCATGACGGTGGCCAGTGCTGTCATCGTGAGGCTGTGGGCCCCACTTCAGCTTTACCTCCAAAAGTCCTGTGGCAGAATCCTGGGGTGACGTGTCCCCTCTATGGAAGGTAGGTTGTCTCTGCCAGGATCCCAGCAGTATGACCGCACTAAGGAGGCAAGGTGATCTATCAGCCAGGGCTCACAGAGACCTGAGCCTTTTCCCCGTGCCTGTGGGCAGGCAGGCCGTGCTGGAGGGTGCTCAGGGCACCTGCTGGGAGGCAGGCAGATTCCTTCTCACCTGCTCACGCAGACCCAGGCTGACATGGACCTGCTATCCCTGAGCTCCCTGTGCTGAGGCAGCGCTCACCTCATCTTTCCTTTATCCCGGAAGTAACCTTGCAAAAACACTGGGTTGAGCTGAGGGGTTCCGTTCGGCACACTCACCTGAAGGCACAAGGCCTCCTGACCCAGAGGCCATCAAGACCAAGTGCAGCAAGCTGCTTCTGCACGGCCCCAGCGTCAGGTCCTGCTTAGGCCTGTTTTTTTTTGGTTGTTTCTATTTTTTTCTCTGTATTTAGAGATGGGGTCTCACCTCGTTGCCCAGGCTGGTCTCCAGTGATCCTCCTGCCTCAGCCTCCAAAAATTCTGGGATTACAGGTGTGATCCACCGAGTCCCGACCCCTCTGTGTTTTCATTTGCTCTTTGTTTCCACCCAGGGACGGCCCTCACTCACCTGTGGCCCAGGTATGCTTGAAATGACACAACTACAAGTTGTATCATTGCTCCTTTCCTTGCCTTCTCCCAAACTCCACTAAGGATGCATGGAGGACAGGCGATGGGGTCTAACAGGTGTGATGCTCATCCCAGCCTAGTTAGCACTGGCTCATGTAACCTAGACCACAGGCCATAGCTGGACAGGGGTGGCGGGGCGACCTGCCCAGCTTGGGTCAATCAGGAATTTGTAACGGGCACTCAGAAATCTCACCTACAGCTGGGTGAGGTGGCTCACGCCTGTAATCCCAAGACTTTGGGAGGCCAAGGTGGGCAGATCACGAGGTCAGGAGTTCGAGACCAGCCTGGCCAACATGGTGAAACCACGTCTACTAAAAATACAGAAATTAGCCGGGCATGGTGGAACGTGCCTGTAATCTCAGCTACCCAGGGGGCTGAGGCAGGAGAATCTGGCTTGAACCTGGGAGGTGGAGGTTTGAGTGAGCCAAGATCACACCACTGCACTCCAGCCTGGGACCACAGAGCAAGACTCTTCTGTCTCAGAAAAAAGAAAAACAACAAAGAAATTGCACCTACAGTCTCCTCACTCTCTAGTGGGCATTAAAATGAACTTTCTGTAGCCAGTTTGGGCAGAGGGAGGATACAGCCTAATCCTGGGTGCCCTAGAAGGTCGTGCAGGCTGTTCTCGGCACAAGGACACCTTCCTGGGGAGCCAGAGGGCTGAAATCCCTCCCGTGTCCTCGCCTCCAGCCGAGTACCTGCCCCGAGAGCAGAGTGCCTCTTGCTGATCCGCACATAAGCCTGCAGGGGTGGGTGGGGGCCCTGGAGCCCAGACAGGCACCAAGGAATCTTGCAGCCCTACAAGGTGAGGACGGGGGAACT
Source organism: Homo sapiens (assembly GCF_000001405.40). Classification (NCBI taxonomy): domain Eukaryota; kingdom Metazoa; phylum Chordata; class Mammalia; order Primates; family Hominidae; genus Homo; species Homo sapiens. Next base: position 154,336,550 of record NC_000023.11, read on the forward strand.
GTCGGAGTTCCACCTGTTGGCTCCTCTCCCTCCTGACCTTCCCACGGGAATCCTTCCAACCGTTGGCTCAAAGAAATTGAAGTGGGTTTCTCCATTGCTACCCTCGCCATCTAGGACTCCACTGTCCTTTTTTTTTTTTTTTTCTGAGATGGAGTTTCGCTCTTATTGCCGAGGCTGGAGTGCAATGGCACAATCTTGGCCCACCGCAACCTCTGCCTCCCGGGTTTGAGCGATTCTCCTGCCTCAGCCTCCCGAGTAGCTGGGATCACAGGCATGTGCCACCATGCCTGGCTTATTTTGTATTTTTAGTAGAGACAGGGTTTCTCCATGTGGGTCAGGCTGGTCTCAAACTCCTGACTTCAGGTGATCTGCCCGCCTCAGCCTCCCAATGTGCTGGAATTACAGGTGTGAGCCACCACGCCCGGCTTTTTTTTTTTTTTAATTGAGACAGGTTCTTGCTCTGTTGCCCAGACTGGAATGCAGTGGCATGATCAACACTCACTGCAGCCTCGAACTCCTGGGCTCCAGAGATGCTCTTGCCTCAGCTTCCCAATCAGCTGGGACTACAGGCACACGCCACCATGCCTGGATAACTTTTTTTTTCTTTTGTAGAGATGGGGCCTTGTTAGGTTGCCCAGACTGGTCTTAAACTGCTGGAGCCAAGTGATCCTCCTGCCCTAACCCTAACCCAAAGTGCTGGGATTACAGGCAGGAGCCAACGTGCTTGGCCAGACTCCATGGTCTCTTACCTGGACCAGGACGATGGCCCCACCCAGGCCCTCAGAACTGTGGGATGAGGTGTTTGCTTCTGGCTCACCCACGAGAAAGAAACTCCCGGAAGGAAGGGACCGTGTCTGGAGCGCTCCAACTCCAGGCCCCAGACTGCAGGTATCCCTTGCCAACAGAGCTGAGGCCAGCAGGGGAAACCATTCCTGCCACCTGGACTAAGAATGAGATCCTCTTGAAAAAAAACAATGTTAAGAAGTGGGCTCTTCCCATCACGCCACCAGAGTCCCAGGAAGCCAGGGATGTGGGTGTCTAATGGTCCGGGACAAGATGATGGGAAACTTCACATGGAGAAGAAAATGCCCAAGAATGACTGAAACTGTCTGCAAGGTCCTGCTAAGGGAGCTGGCAGGTGCACCAGGTATGGCGAGATGCAAAGCAAGGAGCCCACTGCATCGTTCCCTGGAAGGACAAGTGCAGAGGAGACCACAGATGCCTGCGCATTTAGCAGGAGTATGGCAGTGCCATCATGGGGGAAAGGCTGTGTGACAAATGGTATGGAGGAGACTGACTGTCCCTTAGAAAATGGGAAAGGAGCCAGGCGCGGTGGCTCACGCCTGTCATCCCAGCACTGTGGGAGGCCGAGGCGGGGGGATCACTTGAGGTCAGGAGTTCAGGACCAGCTTGGCCAACACGGTGAAACCCCGTCTCCACTAAAAATACAAAAAGTAGCCAGGCATGCTGGCGTGCGCCTTTAGTCCCAGCTACTCGGTAGGCTGAGGTGGGAGAATTGCTTAAACCCAGGAGGTGAATGTTGCAGTGAGCCGAGATCGCGCCACTACACTCCAGCCTGGGTGACAGAGTGAGACTCTTTCAAAAAAAAAAAAAAAAAAAGAACAGAACAAACATAAGAAAATGAAACATCAGTGTTCTTGAACCCAGCAATCCTACCCCTTGATAACCTCAGCAAGAGCAATTCTCCCTTCTCGCTAAGGCCACATTCCGTGCCATGGCCTTCGTGGCATGGTTTGTGGCACACCAGGAGCTGAAGCCCTGGGGTTGCATCACTCAGGGTGGGAATGATCAAATGTGTTGCATCCAAGCTCTGAAATCCTCTGCAGGAGCACAGGAGTCAACTGTACGTCTCCAGGGCCACAGACAAAGAGCTGAGAAACCCTGTTGAATGACGGAAGCAGTCAGCAGAATAGGAATGCAGCACAGGGACAGTTACGGTGGGCAAAACCATACACACAAAAAATCCACAGGTGCAGGGCAGTGGCTCACGCCTGTCATCCAAGCACTTTGGGAGGCCGAGACGGGCAGATCGCTTGAAGCCAGAAATAGGAGACCAACCTGGGCAACAGGGTGAGACCTCGTCTCTACAAAAAAATAAAATTAGCTGGCGTGGTGGCACATGCCTGTAGTCCTAGTTACTCCAGAAGCTGAGGTGGGAGGATCACTTGAGTCTGGGACATCAAGGCTGCCGTGAGCTATGATCACACCACTGCACTCCAGCCTGGGTGACAAAGCGAGGCCCTGTCTCAGAAAACTAAAATACAATTGAACAAACACATTCCAAATGACACCACATTTTAAATGACCCCTTTGGGAGGGAGGGGAACAGGACTAGGAAACAGGGAAGAAGGAAAAAGCGAAAAGCTACAGTTCTCCCATCTAATTTTCAGCTACCTAAAAAGCTGTTAGCCCAAAAGGTGCTGGTGAGGCTGTGGGTAAACGCTGAGGGTACAATGCGAGGGACGGACAGTATCAAAGGTAGGGTCTTTAGGGGAGGCAATTCCCTAGTGTCTCTTACAATTTTAAATGCAGGCCACACAAGGTGGGACACATCTGTAAAACCAGCACTTTGAGAGGCCAAGGAGGGAGGACTTGAGCCCAGGGGTTCAAGACCAGCCTGGGCAACACAGTGAGACCCTGTCTGTACAAAAAGAAGTTTTCTAAAAAAGCCAGGGATGGTGGCACACACTTGTGGTCCCAGCAGCTCAGGAGGCTGAAACAGGAAGATCACTTGAGCCCAGGAGGTTGAGGCGGTGGTGAGCTGTGATCGAGCCACTCCACTCCAGCCTGAGCGACAGACTGAGATCCTGTCTCAAAAAAAAAAAATTTTTTTTTTTAATGTACATATATCTCGACCCAGCAATTCCACTTACAGGTAATTATTCTAGAGAGAGATGGATGCACGTTCAAGGCTGTGTTCATAGTAAATGCAAGGTAGAAATAATAATGCTTTAAAAGTACATCAAATGGAGGCCCGGTGCAGTGGCACATGCCTGTAATCCCAGGTACTCGGGAGGCTGAGGCAGGAGAATCACTTGAGCCCAGGAGGTGGAGGTTGTGGTGAGCTGAGATCACGCCATTGCACTCCAGCCTGGGCAACATGAGTGAAACTCTCTGTCTCAAAAAAAGAAAAAAAAAAGTTTAAAGTACATCAGGCCGGGCGCGGTGGCTCATGCCTGTAATCCCAGCACTTTGGGAGGCCGAGGCTGGTGCATCACTGAGGTCAGGAATTTGAGACCAGCCTGACCAACCCAGGTGAGAGGTGAGAGGATCCCTTCAGCCTGGGAGGCAAAGGTTGCAATGAGCCGAGATGGTGCCATTGCACTCAGCCTGGGCGACAAGAGTGAGACTCTATCTCAAAAACAAAAAAGTTGAAATTATAAAAAAGCTAAAACAAACAAAACAAAATCACTACAAAACGTGTAGCATAACGGTTTTTTTTTGTTTTTGTTTTTCAGACGGAGTCTCACTGTGTCACCCAGGCTGGAGTGCAGTGGTGCGATCTCGGCTTGCTGCAACCTTCACCTCCCGGGTTCAAGCGATTCTTCTGCCTCAGCCTCCCGAGTAGCTGGGACTACAGGCACACGCCACCACGCCCAGCTAATTTTTGTATTTTTAGTAGAAACGAGGTTTCACCATATTAGCCAGGCTGGTCTCGAACTCCTGACCTCGTGATCCACGCGCCTCAGCCTCCCAAAGTGCTGGGATTACAGGCGTGAGCCACCGCGCCCGGCCGCATAATGGGTCTTAACTTGGCTAATTATGTGGGTGATTGCACAGAAAAATAGTATAAATAACTTCATGCTTTTTTATACATGGGATAACTTGCTTCAAGTTGTTTCAAAAACGTTTTTTTTTTTTTTTTTTTTGAGACAGAATCTTGCTCTGTCACCCAGGCTGGAGTGCCGTGGTGCGATCTCGGCTCAGTGCAACCTCTGCCTCCTGGGTTCAAGCGATTCTCCTGCCTCAGCCTCCTGAGTAGTTGGGATTATAGGCGAGGGCGCCACCACGCCCGGCTAATTTTATATTTTTATTAGAGACAGAGTTTCACTATGTTGGTCAGGCTGGTCTCAAACTCCTGACCTCAAACGATCCACCCGCCTCGGCCTCCCGAAGTGCTGGGATCACAGGCGTGAGCCACCGCGCCCGGCCTCAAACACCTCTCAATGATTCGCTTGAGTATGTGTAAAGTGATGCACAGGCCACCCTGAAGACCTTGGTGGTTTCTATTGAAACTACACATCAAGCCGGGCGCGGCGGCCGGTGCGCGGTGCCCAGAATCCCAGCACTTTGTGAGGCTGGGGTGGATCACCTGAGCCCAGGAATCCCAGACCAACCTGGGCGAAAAAGCGAGACCCCATCTCTACAAAAAGTAAAAAATTAGCCGGACATGGTGGTGGCGTGCGCCTGTAGTCCCAGCTACACGGAAGGCTGAGGCTGGAGGTTGAAGCCCTCGCTGGGGTGGAGAGGTCAAGGCTGTAGTGAGCCCTCATCGCGCCACTGCACTCCAGACTGGGCGCAGAGTGAGACCCTGACTCAAAAAGAAAGAAAAGGAAAGAAAGAAGGAAAGAAAGGAAGAAAGAAAGAGAATTACAAATAAAGCTACACATCCACTTCTACACTTCTGCGTGGACTCGAGCGTTCAAGATGGGCGTGGCAACCCGATGACAGGAAACCCTACACGGGCGTGCTCCCAGCAGGCTCCTCCGTGAGGGCCACCAGCCACGGGAAACCACGACCTTGTCCCTCACCAGCAAAAGCTCAGCCTGCGGCTCCGCGAGCGTGGACCGTTCCGTGGCCATGAGCGGGAAGAACCACGGGCCCCCGCCAGGGGCTGGGATGGATCTCGCGGGCGGGAGGCGGAGGGTACTCGGCCCACCCCAGCGGAGGACACCGCGTGGGTCCGCTGAGATAACGCTCCGCGGTGATGGACTCCATGACTCCCGGAGCAGAGCCCTGGCTGCGCTGCACCGCGGGAGGGAGGGGCTGCGTCTACTGCGGGGCCACGAGAGGGAGGGGCCGGGGCCGGGGCCGGGGCCGGGGCCGGGGCCGGGGCGGGACAGGAACCCGCGCAAGCGCGGAAATGCCCACGGCCGCGCCCTCCCGCGCGCACCGCGGCGACACCCGGGCCGCCCTCGGAAGGCACGGACGTCGCGCCGCGCTCCCGGGGCGCTTCACTTGCGCCCACGGCCGACGCCCCGGCAGCGGCGGGCAGGTGCCACGACCTCTGGACGTTTGTCGCCCCTTCTCGGGAATGGAACGCTTAGAGAAGCGCAGGTCCACACCCAAAACACAAGGCGGCACTGTTGCGTGTGCACCGGCGACTCTGCGGCCAGCGCCCTGGGTCTCGCCCCGGGAACGCCTAGGAGCCTGAGAGCGCCGCGCCACACCCGGCAGGGCCGCAGCGGCGCGCACGCGACGGGGTGTCGTCCACTGGGCAGCAGGAGCGTCAGTCAAGGGCGAGGGGCGGGAATTCCGTGCAATCTGAGCATGGTCATTGGCGAGGACAGGCGAAGAGGAGGACGGATAGGCGGGGCTGGGCGGGGCTTCCCGTGGGCGCCTGGAGCTTACCAGGAGCGACCGAAGCGGAGGCGGGGAGCGAGGCAGCTGTGGGCCCCGGCGGGCGGAGACTAGGGCTGTCCCTCCACGCCCCGCCCCCGCCTCGGCACCGCCTTCCGCGCCTGCGAGTCCTGGGCCGGCCCTGCGGGGCATGCGCCGAGTCCCCTTCCTTTGCAGACCGGTGGTCACTGTCTTCCCCCGGGGACGAGGCGGACAGGCGTCGCCTGAGATCAGGGCCCGGGAAGCCCCGTGAGCCGCTCTCGCCTCGGCGCCGTCGAGGGGCCGCCCCGCCCTTCCCACTCCACTGTGCTGCGAAAGTGCCTCGGGGCGCGTCTGGGGGGTCGTGGGGAAGCAGGGCCGCGCCCACCCGGCAGCGTCCAGGGAGAGGTGGGCAGAGCGGGGCGGGCGGCCGTCTTGGGGGAAGTGGCGTCTGGAGGTGTCTGTGCACCATTCCGCGGTGGCGCGCGGTGGGGTAACAAAGTCTTCCCCGTCCCTTGACAGCGGCGGCCGCCGGGGAGGGAATCCTGCTCTGCTGCGGGCGGTCGTGGGCTGGGGCGCTTCCTGGCCTGACTGTCTCCTGGGGGAGGTAGGAAAGGCGAGCCCCGCAGAGAAGGCGGTGGCTTCCCTCGACGTGGGTGCCAACAGGAGCCATCCCTCCAGCCGGTCTTCCCGCGGGAGGGTGCCTGGGAACACCCGCAGGGCTGGTTCCAGCACCCATGGGACCGCTGGGTCCAGCCCAGTGTTTCCGGGGAAGCCCCGCCTTACCCGCCAACCTTCCCGCACCGGGAGGGTTCCCAGCTGCTGGTGATGCTGCTCAGGCGACTCCCCGCAGCGCCACCACCCACCCCCCCGGGAGCCGGCCGCTGGGTTTGGCCCGTCCGCCCTGGTTCCTCTTTGCTGGGCTCTGAGGCCCGGCGGGACTTCTCCGCGGCGGCTCTGGCGACCCAGCATCTCTTTGCCCTGGGGTCAGACGGGCTCCCAAGGAATTGCATCCCGGTGGAGAAGACGCTTCCTTCCCTCTCCCTTCCTCTCCTCCGCCCCCTTTTGCTCTCTTGTCCTTGCACTTTGCCTTGTCCGTGTGTCCGGCTCTGTGTGTGTGTGACTGACGCGAGCCCTTAGTCACCTCTTGCTACTATTTTCTCCCCTTATTATCACTTGTCTCTTGACTGTGTGGTTTGCGGGTTGTGCTTGGTCACAGAGGGGATTTTAGTTTTCGTGTCATCAGAATCTCCAGGCTTTCCTGATGGCTTCTGGGGGTTCTTGTCGGTTTGTTTCCTTCTGGCTCACGCCGTGTCTTGCCCCCTGGACGCTGGGCACCAGTTCCGACTACTGGGTAACAGACGACTTCACGTTTCGGTCCTTCCCCACCTAGCACTCGTCTCACCCCCCCAGCACTCGTGTCACCCCCCCAAGGGTTCTGAGGGACAGGCTCTGGGAGGGCTCTCGGGGAGCCAGGACTGTGGCTCAGGGTCCCTCTCAGGCTGCGGTCAGGTGTCCACTGGGGCCCAGCCATCCTATCTGACTGGGTGGGGAGCCCTCGTGATGACTCTCCCTCTGGAGGCTGTGGCAGGAGGCCTCAGTTCCTCCCCACCGGGCCTCCTCCCCAGGGCTGCTGGGCTTCCCCCGGACCTGCAATCCAGTCGAACCAGCAGGAGAGGGCGCCCCAGACCCGGCCACAGTCTCTTCATGGCCTGGTCTCCTAAGTGACTCGCCTCGCCTCCGCTGTGGTTTTTATTGGTCTCACAGGTCCACCCTGGCGCGTGCTGGAGAGGGCGCCACGCTCAGGGTGGAGGCTGTTCCTGAGTGCTGCGAGTCAGAAGCACCCTTGCACGTGTAGACCTGCGTCGGCTGCTGGAGATCCCGAGCGGGCCGCCTCAGGAACATGTCCTTGGTGTCAGCGGGAGCAGCAGGCCACCTCCTGGGGCTGACACTGGCCGGGGCCTGCATTTCTGAGGGCGGGGCGTGCTTTGACATCCTGAAAGGGTTGCAAAACCCATCACAGAGAACCCCAAGAAGGGAGACTCTGCCACCGAGACCCCGTGTGCCCCGCAGGGTCTGCGCCGTGTGCTCTCTGGCTCTTCATGGAAGCCTTTCCCAGCCCTGGTCGGGGAGCCCCGGTCCAACATCCCCAGGAGCCGGTGGGAAGCCCGTTCTGGTCTGCATGGCATGAGTGCCCCACGCCAGCCCGGGTGGCAGGATGTGCCCCCCACCTCCAATGCCCCCCTCCCAGGGGCTCATTCCTGCCCCTGTCCCCTCTCTGCCCCAGGTGGGGCAGCCTCTCTCTGCAGACAGGGGAGGCCTCTCCTCCCCGCATGCAGCCCTGAAGGGGAGGGGCCGGGGCAGGGAGGGGGTGTGCCGCGTCGTCATGGTGAAGGCAGAGCAGCTCCTTTTCTCCGTGATGTGTCAGGTTGCCGGATACTGGGCTCCGGTCCCTGGCCTGGAGGGTGGGATGTGGAGGGCCAGGTGGGTCCTGGAAGGAGCTTTCCACTGGGGCCCCAGGAAGACCTTGGTGTCTCGTTTCCCTGGAGACGTGCCCCATCCTTCCCACTGGGACTGGCAAGTGACTTGCTGATGACGCTCTCCGTGGCTCTGAGTTTGTCACAGAGGTTCCGTGGGCGGTGAGTGCTTTTCCTGTTGGCCCGCGCCGCCTCTGGGCAATGCGGGGGCCCTTGGTGACAGCTCCTGGCCCCTTCCAAAGCCGCCTGGCCCTTCTTGAACCCGACGAGAGCAGGTTGCCGGGCCTTCCCTGAGGAATGTGTTCCTGGCAAGTGGGGACAGCCCCTCCCCCAGGGTGTCGGGTACAGGGTCCTGGGGTGCTTCAGGACACGGTCAGGCCCACCGACCCCCCACACTCCTGGGCCACCTGCCTGCTGGCTGTCCTCTGTGACCCTCTCTCCCCTGAGCCGAGGTGCCGGCCCGATCCCGCGGGAAGAACAGCGAGGAGGGCCGGCTCTCCCTGCTATGGGGGCCTCGGGGGCCTGGACGGGGACTGTGTCCTCCCTCCCCGGGCTGCCCGGCGCCCTCGCTCAGGGAGTGCTCTCCTAGCGACCTGTTCGGCAGATGGGCACAGCCACGACAGCAGCCAGACCCTGTCCCGGCCCATGCACCCACCTGGACGGATCGGCGCCCTCCTGGACTTACTGGCTCCATTGAGGGTCCCAAAGGAGCTGCCCCAGAGCACCCTAGGGGCGTCCGGACCCCTCGGCCCGCAGCAGCTACCAGCAGCCCAGGCAGGACCCAGGGGCTTCCGGGCACAGAGGCGCCGCTCCCTGGCTCGTGAGCCCAGGGCCTCTCCAGCCGTCCCCTGTTGGGGGCCTCCACTCCTGCTCTGGATCAAGGTCCTGCCCCTAGGGAGAGCTGGTGCCTTCGGGGGAGCGGGCCCTGGTTGCAGTTGGAGAGTGGGTCCAGGGATGGTGTTCTGCTTGGCTGCCGCCCTGCCTCCTGGGGGCCTCCCCAGATCCCCCCCGGCTGCTGTCAGCTGGGGCTGAGGGGTCCTGTGGCCTAGGGGGCATCCTGGTTCGGGAGTGCCCTGCCCTGGACACCGTGTCCAGGAAGGATACATGCTCACCCTTTGTTGGGGGCCAGGCACAGGGTGAGGGGGCACTCGGCCCCACCACCCGTGTCTCTGGGAACCCTGGCTGGGTACGGCCCCTCTTCCGAGAGATCCTGCCCGGGACTGGTGCCGCCTGCCTCGGGCCTGCCCCCCACACAGTTGGGGACCCTGGCGGGGCACCTCCTGCCAGCCACCTGCTGCTGTCCTAGCCTCAGCCGGGCCCTGCAAGCTGTCCATGTGCCTGGGACACCCGGTCCCTCTGCAAATGTTTGCAAACACCCCTGCCCCCACAGGCATGTCTGGGGGCCTCTCTGGGCCTTTGTGTGCCGAGTTGGGCGTGGGTGGCGGCGGGGGTCTTTCCATAGTCACCTACTTCCTGTCCTCCTCGGCCCCAGGTCCAGCGGTGCCCTGTCTGCTCGGTTTCCAGCCTGAGCCCTTTCCTGAGCTGGCCCGGTCCCCTAAGCTTCTGCAGCAGGTTCCCAGGTCCACCCCGAGGGACTCCTGGCCAGTGTTCCCAACAGTGTCTGAGTGCTGGCCTCAGTCCCTGGCCATGGATTTTGGGGAACCCCGCTCTGAGGGGCCGTTGCTTCCCTTTCCTCTCCAGGTCCCCTCCCAGTTTCCTCGGAGAGCGGGGATGGGGCTGTTGGGAGGCGGAAGGGAGGGTTGGGGTGCAGAGGTGTGGCTTGGGGGAGGGAAGGTCAACTGGGCTACCGCCCCTCCCTGCCCTCCCTGGACTCAGTCCAGACACAACCTGCGGGTTGGAGGCCTGTGCACCCTTTATCTCCTCCTAGTAGCCTGGCGGGTCCTCCTGGGTCTTCCTCAGTGTGTGTGAGTCCCCAGGCCATAGGACCCGGCAGGGTGGGGGCCCGTGCTCTGCTCTTGTTTTTGCTCCTACTTGCCCGCCCTTCCCGGGGGGGGCCCTGGCCAGGACCGTGCCAGTCTCTTTCCCTGCTGCCTGCCTGCCTGCCTGGGTGGCCTCCAGCTCACCACCCTGTGAGGCCTGTGGCCTCCCGCCAGGGCTGTCCTCAGGGGCCCGGATCCCCCTAGTTTATCTTCTGCCCTTGCCGCCCCACATGTGTCCCTCCCTGCAGCCTGGGGACGATCGGCAGGTTTGGGGGACCGGTGCCCTTGGTTCACCTAGCCCAGCCCTAGGGCGGTGGCCCTGCCAGGCATGGGGCTTGAGAGGGGATGTGATGGAGCAGACACAGGGAGGGGGCAGGAGACCCTGGGTGACTCGGGACAGGAGGGAGTGCCCCAGAGGTTCAGAATCCTGGGCACACAGTGGGCTGAGCGGACAAGTCGCAGCCTCAGGGGGACCTCCCGTCCTCCCAACTGGCACTGCATCTTTCTGGGCCTGGCTCTGCTGCCTCACAGCCCCGTTCAGCTGGTGGCTTTTAGAGGCTTCCAGAGTGTGCTTGGCCCCTTTACCTCTATGCCATTGGGCCCAGGGGGAGCAGTAGAGTGGCTGCGGCTGGGGGTGGGACTTCCCCTTTCTGTGTCTTGCTTGCCCCGTGTCTCCCAGTGAGTGGCCGCCCTGAGCCTGGGGCCAGCAGCCCAGCCCCAGTGAGAAATAAAAGTAGCCATCCTGCCTGAACTGCCGCTGCCTTTTCTACTTTGCCCTCTCAACAGGGGTCAAGGAGGGTACGCGTGGTGTTGAGGTCTCAGAAGGTCTGGGTTTGACGTGTGCCATGGCTGCAGGCTACGGCCTGGTCGTGTCAGACGCTGTGGAGCTGAGGGAGGATGTGGCGAGAAAGCTGAGCGTTGCCCCCGAGAGCCTTGCTTCCTGGCCCTTGTCTGCAGATGTCTGAGGTGGTGGTGTCCTTGTCAGGGGTTTGATCGAGGGCCAAAGCCTTTGGCCCAGGGAGCAGGCAGCTTTGGGTGCTGCAGTTGGGATGTCCCGATAGCATGCAGGCAGCACCAGGAGCCAGGACGACTTGGGATGTTATGTGTTTGGGGGCAATCTTTACAGTGGGAGACACATAGGTTGGTGTGGGAATCCACGGCAGGGGTACCAATGAGGGGATATTCAGCAGGGGGCCCAGGGTACCTGGGATTGGCACCTTGAATGCATCCACCTCCTGCCACCTGTTAACTAAAGGGCCCTGAGGCCCAGAGCCTGGGGGAGGGGGCCTCATCCCAGTCCCTTGTTTGGGGGAATGGTGGCATGGTGGCATGTTCAAGTTACCTGGCAGATGGCCAGGGCCTGCTGTGATTTTTTTTTTTTTTTTTTTTTGAGACAGAGTCTCGCTCTGTCGCCCAGGCTGGAGGGCAGTGGCGCGATCTCGGCTCACTGCAAGCTCTGTCTCCTGGGTTCGCACCATTCTCCTGCCTCAGCCTCCCGAGTAGCTGGGACTACAGGCGCCCGCCACCACACCTGGCTAATTTTTTGTATTTTTAGTAGAGACGGGGTTTCACCGTGTTAGCCAGGATGGTCTTGATCTCCTGACCTTGTGATCTGCCTGCCTCGGCCTCCCGAAGTGCTGGGATTACAGGCGTGAGCCACCACACCCGGCCGGGCCTGCTGTTGATTATCTGGCCACCTCCACCAGGGAGCCTTCCTGACACCACCCTACCCAGTAATGGGCTCTCCTGCCCAGCTCTTTGCCTCCTTGCTGCCTGGGCTCCATTCCAGGTTGCTACATGTTCCTCTCCTTACGTTGGCTTGAACTCAGGGAGGCAGAGGAAGCAAAGATAGATGGTGCCTTCTGGAGTCAGGGTGGGGTGAAGCAGGAGCCCTGGAGGGAGGTGACCTGTGCTCAGCCCATGCTTTGATCTGCTCATTGGCACCCCTGTCAGGTTGGCCTTGACTGGTCCCCCAACCCCAACAAAGCTACAGCCACGCAAAGGAGAATGGAAGCAAAACTTTATTCCTCTTGGCTGGAGAAGAGAACTAGTGGGTGGTTGTGTACAGGACCCCCATCCCTCACCCCTCCCAGAACCAAAGAAGACAAGCAGCGCCACCAAATGGCTCCCTCTGCCCAAGTGAAAGCCGAGAGGTCAGCGGCTGGCTGGGGAGGCAGGTGAGCGCAGCACGGCACAGGGCAGGGGCGGCTGCAGTGACAGGCGGGCGGCCAGGGCGGCCTGGGCCGGGGTTGAGGGGAAGAGGGCGGGGCTGCTTGGGTAGCGGGGCAGGCTTGGGGGCTGCCGGCTGGCACGGGCCCCAGACTCAGGGCACCACAACGCGGTAGGGGCTGCCTGGGATGTGCTCGTCCCCCCATTTGACCACCAGTGTGTACTCCCCCTTGTCCTTGAGCAGGTAGGACACGCTGTAGAGCCGGCTGCCCACGTGCTTCACCAGGATCTCCTCGCAGGGGGTCCTTGGGCCATGAACCCCCACCAGCAGCATGTTGTTGCCTGAGGCAAGAGGGGTCCTCAGTCCCAGGTCCCAGCCCCCTTCCTCCCGCTGGTGTCCTGCTCTCCTCTCCTGTCCCTAAGCCAGTTCTGGGGTGACAGTTCTCTCTTCCTAAAGAGCTGCCAGCACCTCCCCAACCCAGGCCAGCTTAGCAGATTCCAGCTCCTCCCTGGTCTTTGTTTGAGGGGTCCAGGAGGTGGCAGGGAGGTGGCTCTAGAAGTGAAAGCCACGCCCCAAAGGCGGTCCCTGCTCTCCCAGACACTGGCCATCCTGTGATTTCTGGCCTCATTTTGGTGGGAAGGTGGGCCGGGGGCCCAGGTTGCCCACCTGCTTTGCTGCAGTCTACTGTGAAGCTGCTCTTCTGGCCTACGTAGGCCTTGCTCAGCCCCAGGCCCTTGGCCACCACCTTGCTGGCGTCAGCAGGCCCAGGACCCGGGGCCCCATGCTGGGGGGCACAGGTGGCCTTGGTCAGAGAGTCTACAAACACTGATGATGTCTCGTGGAGGCTGTGGTTGCTGACGAGACGGGGGCCTGCAAGGCAGAGTGGGTGGGGCTAAGAGGTGGCTGTGGTGCCGGGCGTTGGGCAGATGCCAATAGCTTGGCCCCAGGCTCACCTGTGACTTTGGCCTTGAAGGGGCTGCCCCCAATGTGGTAGGGGCCGCCGTACTTGATGGAGATGAGGTAGCTGCCAGGTGCCATGGGGGTATAGGTGACGCGGTAGCCCTCAGGGCACTCCTGGCAATCCATCTTCACCTTGGAGGGGCCGTCAATGGTCACCGACAGGGCACCAGCTCCCGCATTGCTCGTGTTCACGACGAACTCAGCTGGGTTCCCTGGGAGCACAGGAGGTCAGGCAGAGCCAGACTGGCCTGCCTCCCTGTCCTCGGCCACCCAGCACAGGCTTGTCACCTCCAGGTGCCTCCTGTTGTCACCAAGAGCTTGGAGGCAAGGGCCTAGCAGCTGTGTGCACACGTGCAGCCGCACCGACAGACTTACCTGTGACACCGCCTTCCAGACCTGCTCCGTAAGCAGACACCAAGCCTGGGTCCCCTCCATGCCCAGGCTCCCCAACTCGGATCTTGAAGGGGCTTCCAGGGATGTGGGTGCCGTTGAACTTGACGTCAATCAGGTAAACGCCATTCTCCCGAGGGATGAAGCGCACAGCATACTTATCTGAGGAGCAGGGAGTCATGCTGTGGGCCTGGGGCCCCTCCTCAAACCAGCAGATGGTGTCTGTGAGGAACAGCCTCAACCCTGGCCCTCCCCATTTTGCCGGTCCATCAGTGTGAGCCCAGCCACGCTGGGCACCTGCACCCCGCAGCAGACCTCCTGAGGGCCGAAGGTTTAGACACTCAAGCTGCCCACCGTCAGGGTGCATTGGGACGGAAATCTTTTACAAGCCAAACCCAGGCCTTGCTGCCTCCTAAGAAAGGTTACCGTGAACACCATATCCCCTGCATGTTAACAGGCTCAGAGACGGGCAGGAACTTGCTTCAGGTCATGCAGCTGGGAAGGGCAGGACTAGGCCGTGAAATGAAGCCCACTGGGCTCCTCCTACCCACAAGGCTGCCCCAGGCCTGTGCACAAGTACCATGGCCGTGGCTGAAGGGCCGGGCAGCACTGAGGCTGGACTTTGAGTCTTTCCCTGTGGAGATGGCATGGTACTGCAGGGTAGAAGGCCTTCCTAATAGCTGTGGGTGGCGAGCCACATCCCCAGCGGCTTGGGTCACCAATTGGGAAAGGGTTGCCTGGCTTAGGGGGCCCAGGAGTTGGGGCCCCGTCTTGGCTGCTTACAGAAGCGGTACCTTCCTTTTGTACTCTCAGCCTGCTTCCAGCCAGCAGGGCAGGGCGGCCGGGCAGGGACAGGGCCTCACCTTGGTCAATTTCTGTGACATAGCACTCCTCCAGGGCTCCTGAGGGGCTGTGCACCTTGGCATCGATCGCCCCCTTGGCCCCGTTCAGGCTGACTGCAAAAGAGGCTGGCTGGTTGACCTTTAGCCCTGACTCCTGGAAGCACAGCAGACATGGTTAGATGGGGGTGCTTGAGCCAGGGCAAGGGAGGACGGAAAGGCCCCAGGAGCAAGAGGCCCGCGGGTCGCACTTACCCATCTGGCGTCCAACTTGGTTTAAAGAGGGAGAGCCACTGATTTGCAAGGGGCAGCAAGCCACAGGCGCACATCCCCGCCCCTGCCCCCACACTCTGCCGTCGCACACACCCAGGTGGCAGGAAGGGAGGGCTGCCCCACCCTGTGGGCAGCACCCAGCCTTGGCAGGCTGTCCCTCTTTAAACCGCAGCCCTGGTGCTCAAGGGGCACAGGCTTCTGTTCAAAGCCTTTAGACCTGAGACACGAGAAAAACTCCACGTGGTGGGCAGGATATTTCCTGCCGACCCCAAGCGTGGGCTGCACCCGGCCAGAGCAGAGGCCTGGAACCCAGAGCTGGGCCAGGGGGGTCACTGAACACAGGGCCAAGGCCTGGTCTCTGCGGTGGCTCTGGTCTGTCCGGGCCCAGGAGCCCCAGGTGGGCGGTTTCTCTCGGTGCCTCACCTGAAGGCTAGAAACAGTGAGGCGGCGGGCGTCGCCAGACGGAGAAGCCACAGGCACCACGAAGGGGCTGTCGGGAATGTGTTCCTCGTTGAACTTGACTGAGACTTCGTAGTCACCTGGGCAGGGAAAGAGTGTAAGACCGGCTCATCAGCCTTTGGGCCTCCCACCTCCCACGAACAGCCTGGGTGGCCCTGTGACCTCAAAGTGAAGAGTGAGTGCCAGGCAGGGCTATCTGTGCCAGCCCTGGGTCCAATACCCACACTCAGGCCCCACCTCCTCCAACCCCAGCCGGGTTCCCAGTACCTGGCTCCTGGACCACATAAGCCACACCACAGGAGCCGTCCTTGCGGTCCTCAAAAGAGATCTCAGCCTTGCTGGGGCCCTCGACAGCAATGGCCAGGCCTCCAGCACCAGCTTCCCGGGTCCAGATACTGAATTCGGCTGTGGGAGAACAGTTTGTCCTCACTGAAGGCTGCTTCACCAGCCTCGGCCCCCTCCAGGCATAGCCAAGGTAGACATGCCTGCCGGCTCTTTCCTCCACCCCCAACCCCACCCTGGCCAACGCAGGAGAGCGAGCACTCGGGGTGTGAGCAGGCCTACCTGGCACTCCAGCTTCAGCTCTCTCCAGGCCAGGGCCCCCAGCTCGGACCTTGTGGGCTCCCCCTTCCCCTAGGGGCCCCACGGTGAACTGGAAGGGGCTCCCAGGCACGTGCTGGCCCTTGTACTTCACGCTGACTGTGTGTGTGCCCATCTCAGCGGGAACAAAGCGGATGCAGTAGGTGTGGTTCTCCCCTTCCACGATCTCGGCCTCATGGGTCTTGCCCGATGGGCTGGTCACCTGGGCTGTCATATCCTGGATGCTAATTTCTGCAGGGTGGGGATGGGCTAGTGAGCAGCAGCCCTGGGCTCCACCCCTCCTCTTGGGGCTGCTTGAGCCCCAGGACCCCTCCCCAGGCTTCCCACAGCCCCTACCAGGGATTTTCAGGCTGAGGTCACAATGACTACCAACGTTGGCCACTGAAGGAGCCCGACGCCTGCGGGTGATGCTCTCTTTCACCCGGCCCTCGCCTGTCACCTTCACAGAGAAGGGGCTGCCTGCAGGAAGAAAGCACGGCCCACGCCCCTCCAGTCACATACTGCCTGTGGGCCCTGGTGTAGTGAGGGGGGCTGCCGAGGCACTGCTGCACTCACCAGGCACGTGCTGGTCGGCAAACTTGATGTTGATGATGTAGTTGCCTGGCTCTGTGGGGCAGTAGGTGACCCTGCACGTCCCGTCCTCCAGGTCCTCTGTGTTGATGTCCACCTTGCTGGGGCCCTCAATGGACAGGCTGAGCCCACCATAGCCTAGGGGATGGATACCCCTGAGCCTCGGTGCTATGCACAGTGCTCCCGCCCCAGCTGGTGGGCAGCCACTGCCTACCTGCATCGCGGGTATCAATGATAAACTCTGCAGGCTCAAAGGTGTGGCCTTCGTGAAGGCCCTGACCAGAGACCCGAACACGACTGGCATCCCCAATTTCCGACTGGCTGATCACCACCGGGATGGGGCTGCTGGCCACGTGCTGGCCATTTTTCTTCACATGCACCAGGTGCTCCCCCGTCTCCTTGGGCACGAATGAAATCCCTGGACACAGGGCATGGCTGTCAGTCAGGGAGGGCATGGCTCCCCACAGGCTGCCTCCTTTCTGAACCCCCTGGACCCTTCAGCCGCTTACCCACGTGGCCATTACGCAGCCGCTTCAGCAAACAGGGCTCCTCCCGGCCCGAGGGCGGGACCACAGTGGCCGTCAGCAGGCTGAGATCCGTCTCTGAGATGTTGATGGGGATGTCGGCAGCAGAGCCGACCTTTAGGTGGGACATACGCATGGAGTCGTCACCTGGTGGGGACAGGCCAGCCATCAGTGTGCGTCCAGCCATGGGAGACCATGCCCACCCTGCCACCCGTTTCTGTCACTGCTCCCAGTGCCACCCACCTGTGACCCGAGCAGTGAAGGGGCTGCCTGGGACGTGCTGTTCATTGTACTTGACTAGAATGCTGTAGTCCCCCGGCAGCACAGGCAGGTAGGACACGCTGCATGTCCCATCCTGGTTGTCAGTGCAGCTGATTTCTGCTTTGGACGGGCCCTCAATGGCCAGAGACAGGCCCCCTGGAGAGAGCCGTGGGTGAGCATGGGAACTATGCTGGGGACACTCCAGTTGGCCTGCACTGAGGAGCTCCGATGGCCAGGGCAGCAGGGCAGGGAGCCCCATTCAGGAGTATCTCCTGAGTCCAGCCCTTACCCCGGTGAGGGCATCCCGGGCACAGAGCAGGTCAAGACCAGAGCTATTGCTCACCCTCTCCTGCATCCTTGGTGTTGACGGTGAAGGTGGCAGGCTTGTTCACTACTCCATGGGTGAGGCCAGGCCCATAGGCAGTGACATGGCCACAGTTGACGTAATCCACATAGAACTGCAAGGGGCTTCCTGAGGCAGGAAGAAGGGCCTTGTGGAATGGCAGCCTCGTGTGTCCCCCAGCCCCATCTCTCTGTGAGGTGGTGGCGGTGGAGTGGGCAGAGGCAGGGCAGGCCCACCTGGGATGTGCATGTTGTCATAGCGGATGTCCATCTCGTGCAGGCCAGCCTCGCTGGGTGCATACCGCACGGTCACGGTGCCGTCTTTGTTGTCAGTGATGGTGGGCTGCGCCACCTTGCCTGAGGGCATCCGAACCTCCCCTGTGGGGCAGTGGGGCTGAGGTCAGGGCAGCTCATTGGCACAGTCTGGCCTCCTTGGCTCCCGAGCTCCTTCCCAAGTCCCCACTCACCTGTGATCTCGCCCTTCTTGATGGTGAAGGGGATGACAAGGTCAAAGGGCCTCAGGCTGGTCACATCCAGCCCATTGACACCCACCAGGGGCCTCTCCGGGGCCTGCAGTGGAGACACAGGGCATGGGTGAGGGACAGTGGGAGGATCTGGGGTCCCTCCTCACACATGGTAAACTAGGGGCTCACAGAACACCCAGCTGGCTAGCCCCAGTGTCCCTAGCTGGCCAGGCCGTACCCAAGTCTGCTGGCCGCCCTGGGCGTAGGTGTACTGTGGGGCCAGCTGCTGAGACCGTAGAGGGGGCTGCACCGAGGGCTGGTCCCCAGCCAGAGCCTGCAGGGCAAAGCAGAGAGCTGCTGGAGAGTCTGTTGTCACAGAGGGGCCCCAGGGGAACAGGCCGGGACCTGCCAGACACCCCTGCTGACCTACCCCCCACCCCTCCTCACCGTCACTTGGAAGGGGCTGTTGGGCACGTGCTCGCCACCAAAGCGCACACAGATGACGTATTTGCCCGGCTGGGGGGCCGTGTAGAAGATGTCGAAAGTGCCGTCCTCATTCTCCACCACGTCCACATCCACCTCTGAGCCATCAGGCGTGCACACGGTGCACGTCACTTTGCCTTTGCCTGCCGCCTTAGTGTCCACAGTGATCACCGTCTCCTCCCCAATCTGAATGGTGGGGCCGATGCCAGCACCTGGTGGGGCAGGGTGGGTCCCCAAAGGGGGGCCAGCGTGTGAGCTCGGGTTCAGGTTGTTCCCGTCCGCCTGCCGCCCACACAGGCCTCTCATTGCCACCACCAAGCACAGCCAGGCCGCCAGGCCTCCTGCCCCGCCCTGCCCCTCCAAGCTGGGATGGCGAGTGGTTTCTCAGAAGGCAGGAAGGTTTCTCCTGACCACCTCAAGTGCCCATGTGGGAGAGGCCCGACAGTAGCACCCAGGTGCCTGGGAGGAAAAGGAAGGGCCCACTCCAGCCTAAGTGTTGACAGCCACTCCCTTGCCTACTCAGCCTCGTCCAGCACCATGGCCCACACTGCTGAACGCCAGCATCTGGCTGGGCACACGGCTGCCTGCGCCCTTCTGGCCTGGCCCCGGCCCCCATTGCTGTGTGTGGACGCGGTGAGGCGGAGTCCTGCTGCAGCGTGGGGGGATGTGACACTTGCCTCCCCACCCCCCAGGCCTGATGGTGAAACCGGAGTTTCCTGACAACTGAGAAGGCTCGCGGTGAAAAGCAGCCCGGTGCAGACAGGAGTGGGAGCGGGGAAGCGGGAGGCAGCGGGGTTAGCACCCGAGTAGCGCAGCGCAGCAGGCTTGGCAGAGCGGGGATAGCACCCAGGGAGACAGGGAACAGGAGGCCCAAGCTACAGCCACCACTGCTGGGTTGCGAGGGCAGAGCAGCTGAGCAGGCTCCAGGGCCCCAGAGTGCCCGAGGAAAGGGGAGAGACAGTGACGTTATGATCTGGGTCTCCGCCGTGGAGGCTTGGGGGGCTGTGGGCTGTGAGGCCTGGCAGTGAGAGTGCCCCCTGCAGCCTGGCCTCCTGCCAGGGAAGCAGCCAGGAGCACGAAACCTACTTGAAGGCCAAGCTCGAGGGGCCCTGCCACCAAGTCCCACTATCGGCCGAGGGCTCCTGCTGCACTAGGCTCCATGCTGGCCTGCCGCGGCCAGGCAGCTCTCCCAGGCTCCAGACCTGGCTGCCGGCTGCCCACGCTGCCCTGGGAGGCTTCACTCATGTGCACCCCATGCCATCTAGTTAGTGGCTTGGGCCCCAACCTCACAGGTACCCGACTGCCCCCACTTTCCCTGCCCGGCTCCCAGCCAACCGCAGGTCTCAGCCACTCCATCCTCAAAGTATGCCTCCTAATTTGGCTCTCACTGAAGCCCCGTGGCCGTCAAGCTTGCCAGAGAGCAACTTCAGCGCCCCCTTCCCCACCCCGGGCTCCCTGTCTCCATTCTGCAAACAGTAGCCAGGGAAACTGAGGTTACTGAGTCTTGCTCCCACCCTCAAAGCCCCCAAGGCCCTGCAATCAGTACTCCCCAGCCTCCCCCGCCCTGCGCACACACGCCTGTCACACACACATCGGATCCTACGGCCTGCTCTATAAAGCCATCTCGCTCCTGCCGCAAAACTCTAGCCACCCTCTCACCCTTTCCTTAGCCACCTCGCCCAAGTGCCAGGCCTGTAGCCTCTCATCAGCATCCCTGGGTGTCCCTGGCTGGGGCAGGTGACCCTCCATGCCTGTTGGGGAATGTCTGAATAACGTCACTGCTGGGGGATAGGGGAAGGGGGAAGGAGGGAGACGGGCCACAGAATGCACTTTGGGGCTCTGAGGCTGGGCCGGGCCCCGCCATGCTGGCCGCCCAAGCAGTCGACACTGGCGCTACTGCACTACCAGCCAGCCCCACCCGCTCATGCACCTCCCCCGGCCCGGGACGCAGAGGCCCCTGGAAGGTGGGGATGGGGGTCTGTGGATCTGGCCAGGGCTGGGGCTCCCATTGAGTTGGGGAGACCCCTTGTTCCCTCAGCCCACGCAGGAGCCCTTGTGCCTCCCTGGGTGCCAAGATCCCGAGACCCCAAAGTCCCCAGTGGGGTGCCTCTCAGGATGCACCTCACCCCAAAGCTCTCAGCTGCAACCCGAGTTCTCAGATGGGGAAATAAAGGCCCAGAGAGGGGAAGAGCTGGAGCGGTCATGCTCAGCTCCGGAAGCCTCCCTGGGCCCTCGCCCTCCAGCCCACGGCCTCATCTTCTGCACCCCACCCAACTCTGTCCCTGCCTAGAGCTGCAGCTGGAACTGTCCTGGGAATCGGCCCCAAGAGGAAAGGAAGCTGCCCCTCTGGGCAGGAGGGGCATTGGGAGTGGCCCCAGCAAGCAGCTTACCTAGCCCGTGACCTCCGATTGACACTGAGGTGAGAGGGCAGAGAGCAAGGAGAAAGGTCAGGTGAGTCACTCAAGGGGGCGGCCCCCACTCCCACACGCCGCCCCAAGCAGCGAGCCCTTGCACACAGGCACAACCCAAGCCCCGTGCCGAGCGCCGCAGCGGCCAACAGCGGGCGGGCTCACCTGTGACAGTGCACTTGCTGGCGTCCCCGGTGGGCACGGCACGCACGCGGTACGGGGAGAAGGGGATCTCGTCACCACCGTACTTGATGAGGATGGTGTAGCGACCTGTCACGTCTGGCACGTAGGCCACTGTATACGTGCCGTCATGGTTGTCTTGGATGTGTGTCTTCTTCGGCTTGCCTTCGGGATCCTGTGTGGCAGAGGCAGGGGAGGCAGTTGGCCCAAGCCCGAGTAGCCCCGGGCCTGCCTCAGGCGCTCCCAGAGTGCCCAGCGCTGCTGCTACAGGGACAGTCTCTGGGCCTCAGGCATCTTAACTGCTATGGCCCAAAAGGGCTGCCTGCACCTGGCAGAGTCCAGAATGGAGACTAAAACATCCCACACTTCCCACATGACAACAGGCGCGGCCAGCCAGCTTGGCACCCATCCTCAGCCCCAGGGCCTGGCCAGCACTAGGAGGAGCTCACCGGGGTGATCTCAAGCTTCTATCCTATACCTGCCCCATGAGAATATTACAGGTGGGGAAACTGAGGCACAGAAGGCTTTGGTGACGTGCTCAAAGTTAGCAGCAAGTGCACGTCTGGGGAAGCCTGTGCCTGTCACCACCATCCTAAGGTAGTCACAACCTTAGCAAACCAAAGACAGGGGCCCTGTCCTTCCCTGCCCTCCTTGGTGCAGCTCCGCAGGGAGATCAGACACCAGCCACCCGCAGCCCACACTCCAGCCGCCCAGGCCCCCCTGCCTCCCCTGCCTGTGCCCGGAGCTCACCGTGATCTGGACAGCCAGCAGGCCCTCCCCGGCGTCCTTTGCATCGATGGTGAACTCCACGGGCAGGCTGGCAGGCACGCCAGTGGTGTTGAGCCCGGGGCCACTGGCCTTCACCTTGCTGGCATCATGAGTAGGCAGCACCTTGACCTTGAAGGGGCTGTGAGGGATTGGTGTTGTGAGCAGTCAGACAGGTTCTCAGCATCCAGCCTGGGCCACTCCCCACAGGCAGCAGGCCCTGCCTCTTACCTCCGGGGTACCTCTTCATCTCCATACAGTACTGAGATGCTGTAGGGCCCTTCTCGGCTGGGCACATAATTGACGGTCTGGGTGCCATCAGCGTTGTCTACCACGTCCACTGGCTCCACCAGGCCTGGCCCCAGCCCCAGGGACAGAGCATCAGCTAGTCTCCTGGGCCTCCATTCCTACCCCACCACACTGGACGGCCAGGACCCAGCCCCAGGCCTAGACCTCGCTTTATCCTCATCCACCCGACCCTGGGAATGGCCTTGACCCCCTCTGGCACGAAAGACACCCATCTGGGTGCCAGCTGGGACCCTTGCCTGCCTGCCTTCCTGCCACATCTGCTCAGTGACCAGTCCCATCTGCTCTACCTCCTCCAAGTCCCCCACCTGGCTGCACTGTCACCTGAGGCTCTTCCAAAAACACCTACACACTTGCACCACCTCTGCACTCTGGTCCTCACTTTGGGCCTCCAGTTTCCTTTCCCGGCCCTCAAACAGGACACTGCCCTCCTGACCCCTGGCTCCAGGCATGCAAACACTCACCTTTGGGCCCTTGCACTTTGACCTGCAATGGGGCCACACCAGCCTTGCTTGTGTCCACCTGGAAGGACTGAGGGAGGTTGGCACGAACCATGCCTGGGCTCAGGCCGGGCCCAGAGCACTTGACCTTGGACGCATCTGTCACATCATGCACAGGGACCTTGAAAGGACTGCCTGAGGGTTGGGGCAAAGGGATGGCGGCTGTATGAGACAGGGTGGGGACGAGCAGACAGTCCCAGCCCTGCCCTGGCCGCCACCTCCTCACCTGGCACTTGATGGCCACCATAGGTGACGTTGAGGCTGTAGGTGCCAGCCTCATAAGGGATGTACTCGACCGAGCAGCTGCCGTCCTTGTTATCCATGCAGGACATCTTGGCCTCGGAGGGGCCCTCTACAGCCAGGCCCAGGCCGCCCGTGCCAGCTCCCCTGGTCCAAACAGACAGCCGGTCATTCCTGGGGTTCCCAGGCCCACCAGCCACACGGGCTCCTGGGGGCTCCCTTACCTGGTCTCCACAGTGAACTTGTTGGGCTTGTTGGTGGTGCCACTTTGGATGCCTGGCCCGTGGACACGCACCCGGGAGGGGTCGCAGCCCTCGGTCACGGGCACCTGGAAGGGGCTGCTGGGCACGGGACTGCCGTCATAGGTCACGTCCACGGAGTGCAGTCCTGGAGGAGTGCAGGCCAGGTCAGGAGGAGCCCGGGCCACCCCACCCACCCCGTCTGCCAGCCTGTGGGAGTCCCCAGCACGCACCCTCCTCGTAAGGCGTGTACTCCACTTTGTACATGCCATCGCCACGGTCCTGAACGTAGGTCTCCGTCAGGTTGCCTGAGGGGTTGGCCACACGGGCCTTGACGTGCGGCCCTCCGGTCTGTGTCAGAGCCCGGGCGTCCACACTGAACTCAGTGGTGGCCTCACGGAAGACACCTGCAAAGGCACAGAGAGGAGGCTTGGGGCTCGGGGGTTCTGGTCCCTGTCCCCCGTCACATACCCCACGGCAGGGCAACTCACCCTGGCCCTCAATACCAGGCCCATAGCACTGGACACCGGAAGTGTCCACCGCAGGTTCCACCTGCAGCTTGCTGGGGAAGTTGGGCACGGGCTGGCCGCCGTACTTGATGGTGACGGTGTAGGCCCCGGGGCAGAGGGGAATGTAGGTAATGGTGTGCGTGCCATCACCGTGGTCCTGGATGTACACCTCGGCCGGAAGCCCCGCCTCCGAGCAGATCTCAATGGTCAGCTCCGCGCTGCCCGCGCTCGAGCAGTCCACTTGGAATTGGCCCACCTCCCCAGCGGTGGCCCGCTCCAGCCCGGGGCCTGAGCACTTGACTTTGGATGCGTCAAAGCAGGGAACCACGTGGGCCTTGAATGGGGAGCCAGGGATGTGGGTGTCAGCGAAGAGGATGTTGATGTTGTAGTCCCCGGGCTCGGTGGGCACGTAGGACACGGAACATGTGCCATCCCCATTGTCCAAGCACTCGAGCTGCGCCTCACAGGGGCCCTCCACCGTCAGGCCCAGGCCACCTGTGCCGGCGCCCTTGGTGTCGATGGTGAAGCGGGCGGGGGAGCCCGCACTGCCTCCCTGCAGCCCCGGCCCAAACGCCTTCACCTGAGGGAAGAAGGGGTCAGGAGCCAAGGCCACACTATGCCCCGATCCCAGACCTCCTGCTTGACTTTCCACCTGCCTCCCCTTGCCCTGGCTTCCTGCCCTCACCAAACAGGGACACGGGCGGGCCCAGGCTGCCTGCCAGATGGGCCATCCATCAGTCATAAGGACAAAAAGGAGGGCAGGGCGCGGTCACTCACGCCTGTAATCTCAGCCCTTTGGGAGGCCAAGGTGGGTGGATCACCTGAGGTCAGGAGTTTGAGAACAGCCTGGCCAACATGGTGAAATCTCGTCTCTACTAAAATTACCAAAATTAGCTGGGCATGGTGGCGGGCACCTGTAATCCCAGCTACTTGGGAGGCTGAGGCAGGAGTATTGCTTGAAGCCAGGAGGCGGAGGGTGCCGTGAGCCAATATCGCGCCACTGCACTCCAGCCTGGGCGACAGAGTGAGACTCTTTCTCAAAAAAAAAAAAAAAAAAAAAAAAAAAAAAAAAGAAAGAAAAAAAAAAAAAAGAAATTCTTCAACCCTGATGACTTTTTGTGGGTTTCTATTTCCCTCCTCCCCTTTACTCTCACTTAAACAGGGTCAAGGTTGACAGTCTGTCTCAGGAAAAAAAAAAAAAAAAAAGGATTTAGGGCAGGTCTGGAGAAGATGGGGTACCTTTGGGGCCCTCAGAGAGCACAGTGGGTTCTACCCTTAGGGCCTCCCATACCCCAATTACCTTGCTAGGCTTGGTGGGGGCCACAGCTTCCAGAGGAAAGGGGCTGCCAGGCACGGGCACGCCGTCATAGGTCACCTCCACCTCATAGGGCCCTTCCTCACGGGGCAGGAAGCGCACCACACTGTTGTCAGCCCCCAGGCCTGGCTCCACCTTGCAGGGCACCGCTGCACCCGAGGGGCCCACAATCTTGGATGCCACTTTGCCTTGACCACCAGCACCCTTTGATTTGACTGTGAACTCCTGGTCTTTGCCAACGTCCACCTCTGTGGAAACGATGAAAGGAAGGAGAGAGACATGACACCCAGCTCAGCCAATCCCTGGATGTGACAAAGGCCTTTGCGACAAGGGCCCCAACTACTTACTCTCTCCCAGGCCAGACACCTTGATCTTGCTGAGGTCCAGGCTTGGAGATACTGCCACTGAGAAAGGGCTCTTAGGGATGGGATCCCCTCCATAAGTGACATTGACGCCTACTGGACCCTGGGAAGGGTGCAGAAGGGAAGGGGGTATTTAGAGACACCAGAATTGCTCCCCAACCCCCTCCTGGACCTCCATGCCTGTCCTCTCCCAGGTAAGGAATGAGAGTGGGCAGAAAGTCCCTCGGAGCTGTCCCCTAGGCTGCTGCATGAGGAGGCTGGGGACTCGGTGACTGTAGTGGAGGGTGTGGCTACCTGCTGGACAGGCGTGTACTTGACTGTGTAGGTGTTGTCATGGTGGTCGATGATGTCCACATCTCGCACTGCATCCCCCTTGGTGAGTCCTGAGAACTGGACGTCCAGCTTGCCTTTGCCAGCAGCTTTGGCATTTACTGTGAAGTGGGTGGGCTTGCCAAGCTCGACACCTGAGGAACACACAGGGACCATGTAGGGGCACCCTGCCCCAAGCCCTCCTACCCTTGATGCCCCGCAACCTGCCATGGGGTACCTGTCCTCACCAGTGCGACTGAGGCCAGGGCCCTCGGCCTTCACCTTACTGGCGTCATGAGAGGGCTCCACCTTGACTCGGATGGGGCTGGTGGGCGTGGCCTGCAGGCAGTGGGAGGAGAAGGCCTTAGAGGAGGGCAGACGTCATCCGCAATGACATCTTAGCGGCCAGGAGCGCAGCACCCACCTGGTCAGCAAAGAGGACCATAATGGTGTAGCTGCCAGCCCCCCGGGGCGTGTACTTGACCGTGAAGGTGTCATTGTCATTGCGGATGATGTCGAAGTCGATGTCAGCTTCGGCGGGGCCTACCACTCCAGGGGCACACTTGATGCCGATGCTGACGTCCCCTGCGGCGGGGAGAGGAGCGGAGGCTGAGACCTCGCAGGGACACCCCAGCCACCTGCCCTCCCACCCACAGCCAGGCCTTACCCTGGCCAGCCTCGGCGCAGTCCACAGTGAAGTAGGTGGGCTCGTGGGCCTTGAGCCCTGTCTTGGCTACTCCGGGGCCGTATACTTTGACCTTGTTGGGGTGGCTGCCAGCTCCCACATTCACCTGCAGGGCACAGGGGCAAGGGCAAGGGCATGAGCAGCCTGGAGGAGACTCAGAAGCTCCCTCAGCTACACTGGCAGGCACACAAAATGGTCCAGCTGCCTTGGGAAGAGTCTGGCAGTTCCTCAGTTGACCACAGAGGGACTGTGTGATGCTCCGGTTCACTCCGAGGCAACTACCCAAGAGAAATGAAAGCAAATGTCCACGCAAACACCTGGACTCACTGTTAACAGCACTGTTCATGATCACCAAAGGCAAGCTCATCCTCAATATCTGTTAGCAAGTGAACGGAAAAATGGAATGTGGTCTGGCCACACAATGGAGTATTATGCGGCCATAAAAATAAATGAAGCGGCCGGACGTGGTGGCTCATGCCTGTAATCCCAGCACTTTGGAAGGCCAAGGTGGGCGGACCACCTGGGGTCAGGCGGTTGAGACCAGTCTGACCAACATGGAGAAACCCCGTCTCTACTAAAAATACAAAATTAGCTGGGAATGGTGGCGTATGCCTGCAATCCCAGCTACTCAGGAGGCTGAGGCAGGAGAGAATTGCTTGAATCTGGCAGGCAGAGGTTGCAGTGAGCTGAGATCACGTCATTGCACTCCAGCCTGGCAATAAGAGCAAAACTCCGGCTCAAAAAAAAAAAACCAGGATGGGCGCGGTGGCTCATGCCTGTCATCCCAGCACTTTGGGAGGCCGAGGTGGGCAGATCACAAGGTCAGGAGATCGACACCATCCTGGCTAACACAGTGAAACCTTGTCTCTACTAAAAATACAAAAAATTAGCCGGGGGGGTGGCGGGCGCCTGTAGTCCCAGCTACCCGGGAGGCTGAGGCAAGACAATGGTGTGAACCTGGGAGAAAGAGCCTGCAGTGAGCCGAGATCGCGCCATTGCACTCCAGCCTGGGCGACAGTGTGAGACTCCATCTCAAATAAATAAATAAATAAACAAAATAATTATAAAGGAACAAAGTGCCAAGACATGCCAAACATGAACGAAAACACGGAAAACTTCGTGGTGAGCGAAAGAAGCCAGACACAAAAGGCCACATGGCACACAGTTCCATCTATAGAACATGTCCAGGATAGGCAAAGCCACAGCAGAAAGCAGGTTAGTGGTCACCAGGAGCTGTGGGACAGGGGAGTCAGGATGGTGTGCCACAACCACTTGAAATGGACGAATCGTGTGCTACGTGAATGCTATCGAGATGGACTAAAGGCCGGTGGAGGTTGGCTCACCCTGAAGGGGCTGTTGGGGATGCTGACGCCTCCCCAGGACACCATGGCTGTGTGCTTCACCGGCTTCCTGGGCACGTAGGAGCAGCTGTAAGTGCCATTGCCGTTGTCCTTGACCAACGCCTCCACAGGGCAGCCTTCATTGTCCTGTCAGGCAGATAGGAGCAGGTGGCCTGCTGGTCAGTGCCCAGGCCTGGGTGCCCACACCTGCCCTGCCCCCAACACCCGTGGGTGCTCTACCTGGACTTGGACCCGAAGTGGGGCCTTGCCACCGTGCTTGGCATCCACTGTGAACTCTGCTGGCTTGTTGACGGCCACACCTGTCTTCTCCAATCCAGGCCCACGTGCCTTCACCTAGCGGGAGACCACCCAGCTGTCAGGGGGCCAGGTCCAGGCTGCCAGAGCTACAACCCAGGCAGGGTGGCCAGGGACACAGAGTGCCATCCCCACCAGACCCCAAGCAGGAGCAGCAGGGCGAGACTTAGGCCATCACAGCCTGCTCTTTACCCTGTCTGGGTGGAAGTCCTGGGGCGCGTCACGGATGTCAGCCATGAAGGGGCTGAGGCGGATGTCTTCGCTGTTGCACAGCACGTGAACGGCATACTCGCCAGCCTCCTGCGGCCAGTAGCGCACATCACAGGAGCCGTCGCCCTTGTCGTCACATTCGATCTTAGCCTGCGATGGCCCTTCCACCGAGAAGCCTGACAACAGCCACCAGTCCCCTCAGTGCCCTGGAGCCTCAGGGTGGGCCGTCCTTGCCATCGTCTGTCCCCAGGTGCCCATGCTGCAGCCTCCAACTTACCCAGCGTGCCCACGTCGTCCCCGATAGCCTCCACCACAAAGTCTGCTGACTTGCCAACGACGCCGCCCTCCAGCCCAGGGCCCCAGGCCCGTACCTTCTGATTGCCACACTCGGTGCCCACCTTCACTTCGAAGGGACTGCAAATGCGAGAGCCACACAGGGAACACCGAGGATCACCACATGAGCCAGCGTGGGCCCCACTGTGGCGGCCAGGCAGGAAGAGCCCATGTGGCCCCTCATCATCAGGTGGGGAGGCAGAAGGAAGAGAAGAGGCAGAGTGTGCAGAGCTGGGAGAGGGATGCCTGGGGGCCTCACCTGCGCCCGATGTTCTGACCACCCCACGTGATGGTGACGATATAGGTTCCAGGGACCATGGGGTAATACTCGAAGCCATACACGCCATCCCCCAGGTCCTTCTGCTTCACGCGCTCCTCTCCCTCTGCCAAGACAAGGAGGGCCTCAGGCCTGCCCAGCAGTGAACCCGGGGGCTGCCGCCACCCATCCTGGCCTGGCTCCAGGCCAACTTACTGGGGCCCTTCACGGTGACCTTCAGCTCCCCACTGCCAGCGCCCTTTGTGTACACCTTGAAGTCAGCTGTCTCCTTCACCCGCACACCCTTGGGCTGGAGGCCCCGGCCAACCGCCCGGCAGGCACTCGGGTTACAGGCTGCAGGCAGAGGGGCCAGCTGAGCACCAGCAGCTCGGCTGGGCGACCCCTCCCTTGCCTCCCACAGGGCCGGGCTGTCAGGATTGGTGGGTCCCTCAGAGCTTGGCTGGAGGGGGACATGCAAGACAGAACTGGAAGGGACTGTGACCCCAGGAACTGTGGCCTGGGCCAGGACATGGCAGGCCTCCTCCCACCTGCTCCACACCAGCCCAGAGCCCCCCACCCTCCCCCTTCCAAGAAGAAGACAGATCCAAGTACCGTTGACCCTGTGGGCAGAGCAGAGAGCAGCAGGTTTCTAGACAGCTGGAGCGAGCTCTTCCGAAGGTGAAAGCGTGAGGAGAGAGATGGAGAGGGGCGAGGAGAGGAGAGGAGGAAGGGCCCCAGCAGGGGAGGAAAAACAGCATGTGCCCAGACAGTAGAAGCTCAAAGAGTAGGGGCCCCGGGGCGGGCTGCAGCGGGACTGGCCCAGGGGGTCCCCCTCCTGTGGGAGGCCCAGACTGCAGTGCCACAGCAGAGGGCAGTCAGGGCCGGGCCTACCTTGGCCAACAGTGACAGTGTAGGGGCTGCGAGGGATGGGCACGCCGGCAAACGTGACGTGCACGGTGTGGACGCCCTCCATGGTGGGCTGGTAGCTGCAGCGGTATGTGCTGTCGCCCCGGGCCTCCAGCTGAGGCTCTACCGTGCCCTTCTGTCCCATGGGGTCCTGGATCACAACCTCGACCTCGCCCGTGCCAGCTCCTGCCACGAGGCACCTGCTCAGCTCCCAGGCCCCAGTGCGGCTCTCCCCACAGACCAGCTGGGCCTTGGCAGCCTCCCCTCACCTGCCGTAAAGATCTCAAAGTAGGTGGTCTTGTTGGCGATGTTGCCACTGGGCTCCAGGCCGGGACCTTGGGCTGTCACTTTGCTGGCGTCACCCTGTGACTTATCCACGTACACCTCGAAGGGGCTCTTGGCGATGTGCTGGCCAGCAAAGAGCACAGTAACCTGTCCCCAGAAGGGTGGGCCGTGAGGGTAGGGCTGGGGGCCTCCAGCCACTGCCTGAGGTCACAAGCCTCCCCCCTGGCCAAGGGCTCACCTTATGAGTCCCCGTCACCTCGGGGACGTACCAGACGGAGAAGGTGCGGTTCTTGTCGTTATTGGCGGTCACTTTTGCCTGCAGTGGGAAGGAGCCTGTGAGCCTTTGCTAAGAGCAGCCCCACTGAAAGGGAGCGCTGCGGGGCCTCTGCTGCCAGCAGCTGGCCCTACCTCCTCCTGGTGTCCGGCCGGGTCCTCCACGTACACCAGCACCTCTCCCTGGCCAGCACTTCTGGTCTCCACAGTGAACTCTGCCCGCTTCTTCACCATGTTGCCTGTGGGCTCGATGCCTGGCAGGGGAAGGCGAGCCAACCACGGGCCAGCTGTTAAGGCCACAGCCTCACCCCTCCACCCTTCAGCCCTCCCTGCTGGCCCCTAAGTCAGGCACATTCCAAACTGGGCAAGTTCATTCAGTGTGAGCTGTGGCACAGAGCCTGGCCTCGGGACCCAGCTGTGCTCTCGCTGCTGGGACAGGCCCAGCCTGTTTTCTGGAACATTCATTCTCACCGCACTGGGCCCTTGTTCCTGTGTGAGCCTTGACTGGGTTTTAGGTCCCTGTTACTGAGACCTGGTTCATCTCCATTTATAATAAAGACCGCTGGATGCTACCTCCCCGAGGACCCCACGCAGCAGGCTTCTGTGACTGGAGGAACCTATTAGCATTCTCTTGTCGTTTTCACTAGTCCCAAAAACCCACTCTTGTCTGACTCTTGGGTGGCTTGATCACCTAGCCGCCATGTAACCCAAGACCCCTGGGGACCGCCACGTTTAGATGGGACACTGTCTTATG
Organism: Homo sapiens; assembly: GCF_000001405.40. Lineage (NCBI taxonomy): Eukaryota > Metazoa > Chordata > Mammalia > Primates > Hominidae > Homo > Homo sapiens. Next base: position 154,367,351 of record NC_000023.11, read on the forward strand.
GGGAAGACGTTGGCACACGGGTGCACCCCTGGTGGGGCTCCCTCACCTGGCCCGTAGGCACGGGCTTTCTTCGGGTTCAGTTTGGGCCGCAAGGGAGCCCCTGGCTTCAGCTTGGCCTTGGGGAACTGGGACAGGTAGGTCATGACAGAGTGCTCGTCCACGTTGGGGTCCACAATCTCCTCGGGGGTGATCACCTGTCACAGGCAGAAAACAGGAGCCATCGGGCCTCCGAGTCTCTCCCAACTGCCGATCCGGTCCCCTACAGCTGTAGCCAGGCCGGGCGGGTGTACCTGGGGGATGCCCAGCCAGTCATCCGCCTGCTGCATGGCCTCTCGCGCATTGGTAACGGGCTTGCTGGCGTCCCAAGAGTCCCAGTCAGGACACAGGCCTGTGGCGCAAGGGAGGCTGTGAGTCTGGGGGCCGCAGAACCCCCTCAAGGGCCACCCATGGGTGACCCCAGCCCAGTCTCTCCTGCCTCTGCGCCCCCTCACCCGGGGCACAGCTGTCCACCAGGGCGCCCAGGGCCCGGCCGCTCTGCCAGTCCCGGCTGAAGTTGGTGATGGGCAGCTGCGGCAGCTTGTTCTGGATCCAGCCCAGGAGCCTCTGCTTGGGGGTCTGCTTCTTGGCCTCCTCATCCTCCTCCTCGTCCCACATGGGCATGGAGATGGAGTAGTGCAGGATCAGGGTCCAGATGAGGCCCAGGATCAGCTTCAGGTTCCCGTCCACGATGGCCTTGCTGTCTGTGAGTAGAAGAGTGGCCACGCTGGGCACACGGCTGTGCGGGAGGGGCCGATCCCAGGCTTTGGGGTCAGGGTCTGGCAGCACGGGGTAGCAGGGGCCAAGGAGGAGGTAGACACCCCCTCTTGGCCAGTGGTAGGATGTGGATGAGGCCCTCTCTGCCCAGGGTCCCAGGGGGTGTTCAGAGGTGAAGGAGACTTTGGGGTGAGGGCAGATACACACAGACACACACACACGATGCCAGCAGGGTATGATTACTGCCAGAAGCCCTGGGCCCAGAGGAAGGGCAGAGGGCAGACCCAGCCTGCAGATGGGCAGCTCTGGAGAACAGCTGGACAGTGTCCACAGCTGCCAGAGCAGGGGTCCGCCACACACCTCAGGGGCCTATGGGGAACCAGGAGGAGGAGGCTGACTCCAGCTGGCCCAGAATCCAGGGCCCATGACCTGGAGTGGGGCTGGGGCTGAGGAAGAGGAAGGTGGGTGGCCCTGGGTGGTTGGGAAATACAACTGTTGTTCCAGGGTGGGTGGGGTGAGGCAGGGGAAGTGGGGGAGTTGGGCAAACGCCCTTTGGGTGAGGGATTGTGACCCCCGCCACCACCCCCACTTCCTCTACCACCTCGAAGACTCAAGCTTGGAGTTGGGAGGCCACAGGCCTAGCCAGGGGAGGGGCCCAGAGCCCAAAGGAACCAGCAGTTGGGCCACATGGCCCTGACTCACTGGGGCCCATCGGGAGATGCCGGGGTGGCAGCAGGAGACACTGGGAACCCCCTTGCCACCCACTGCCTGACCCACTTGCCACCTAACGGGCCTCTGGGCCTCGGCAGGCTCGCCACAGGGGAAGTGGTTAGGGCGGGTCCCTGACACCCCCCATCACCATGGCAACCCTGCTGGGCTCTGGGCCCCACCCAAGGCTACTTCTGGGTCTCAGGCTCAAGGCAGGATGGCTCATCTTTAGAAGCCCTGTCAGCCTCCCCCATAATCAGACAAAATACTTCTCTGGTGAGTCAACTAGGGGGCGGGCCTATGAGGAGGGGCTGGGCTGTCCATGGCAGCTGCTTCCCAGCCCAGCAGGCAGCACCTGGAGGGCCAGGTGAGCCGCTCAGAGTGGCCTCCCCAGTTCCCAGGTTGGTCCTGGCCCCACGAGGCTGCCTTTCACTCTCCCCAAATGGCAGCAGGGAGGGGGACTCGGAGAGGACCAAGGGTGCAGGGCCAGGGAACAAGGCCAGCCAGGGCTTCCCATCAGGCCCCCACCCCAGTCCAGCCTCAGACCCCTCAACGACCCCCACACGGGGAGCAACCAGGCCCACCAGGTCCATGTTAGGCCAGCCTACTCCGTCCCCATCCCCCTCCCAAAAGAGAGAGGGAAGGACCAGGGCCCAGGGCTGGGAGACTGTCTGGCTGGATGGCCCCGCCCCATCCCACCCCCCTTTCCCCAGCCCCTGGGCCAGCCAACCCCTCCCTCCCCTAATCACTGCTGCTTTCCAACATTTTTTTGCCTTATATGGCAAAGCTCTGGGAACTAGGCCTGCTCCAGCCAGCTCACAAGGAGGAGGGGAGCTGGGAGGAGGGAGGAGACCCCCCCTAAAGAGCTGGGGTGTGGCCCGCCTCCCCACATCCGGTCGCCCCCCCTACCATCCAGGACTGAGATGACTCAGCTTGGCTAGACTGAGGCTGGGACTTGTGGGGGTGGGCCTGCCCCTCGCCTCAACTGGCATTCCAAAGAAAGAACTTTGGTTCTTGGGATCTGCCCTCTGAGTGGCTGGGGGAACCCAAGTCTTGGTCCCTCACTTTCTTGGGTTCAGCAAGGGCCATTCCAGGGCTGCAGGGTAACTGGAAGGCCTCTCAATTCTGAAGAAGAGAAGACTCATCATCCCTCTCCTCTCCCTGTTCCACATCACCCCCGAGTCACCCATTCTGGGGCCTGCCCTCTCATGCAGCCCCTATCTTGAGAACGAATTGGGCTGCTGCAGCAGGCCTGGTCAATGCCAGCCTCTCCAGTCCAGTGACACAGACACTGGGCTGGCACAATGCACGCTGGAGCATCTACCAACCAACTCCTGCGTGCTACACGCAGAAAAGCAAGGCCTACATGGAAGCAAGAGTTTGGCCCAAGATGAAGAGAAAAGTTGGCGTCCAAGTAGTCTACAAGCCAGGTCTCTCAGTCAACCACGCCCAACTCACCCCGGGTGCAGTTTTGCTAACTATGCTTCTTTCTGGCCCCCAGGTTGCCTGTGTGTGTGTGGGGGGGTAGATCTAAACTGGTGGTTGGAGCCATCTCCGATGGGCGACCCATCCTCCAGGGACACAAAGAGCCCAGAGCCCCAGACAATGGGACGCACGAGCTCCAACCCACACTTCAGAACCAACGGGCCTCTGAAGGCCAGAGGGCCCTCTCTAAACAGCTGTGGGGGGAGAGCCCGGGCCTCCTCCTCCTCGGGGACGGGGCGCAGGGCCAGGAGCCTGCCCAGTGCCCGACCCCCCAGGCCCACTCCCACCGCGAGCACAGCCGCGGAGGCGCGGCCTGCGGAGGATGTGAGTTCAGCCTGGGCGCCGGCCAGCCGGGGCGCAGCGGGCGGGGGCGCGTAGCGGTTCGCACGCCCGGCCGGCCAGCCAGCCAGCCCGCGCGCCTTTGTTCTGCAGGCCCGCGTGGAGCAGAGCAGCCGGAGGCCTCGGGAGTTGCGCTGCGGCCCGGAAGGGGGTGGTTTGGAGGGGTCCGCCCGGGGAGATGGAAGGACGCACGGAGTCCCCGCCCCCGCCCGCCCGGCGCTTCGGGGCGTCCCTCACCGATGGACACCAGTTTGATGCTCTCGCGGTCCAGGAACTCGAGCGCCACCGACACGTTCTCAAGCTGCATTTGGCGGAAAGTGGGCCGCTGGTTGTGCTTGCGGTGCATCTTCTTCTGGCTGAGCACCTCCAACAGCGCGATAAGCCGCAGCCCGTCGCTCAGGTCCGTCTGCAGGTTGGCGATGCGCTTGCTCACGCACTTCAGGTGCTCGTTGCACCAGCGCGTGAAAGTGTTCTGCTGGATCTTCTTCCACGGCGCGTCCTCCGCCAGGTCCTTCTCGGTGGCCGGCATCTCGGCGTCCCGCGTGTCGACGCCGCCGCCCGGAGCCGCGCCTGCTGCGCTCTGGCCCGCCCGAGAGTGGGAGCTACTCATTTTGAGGCGCGAGAAGCCGGGGGGGCGGTGCTGCAGCCTCGGCGAGGGGACGGCCCTTTAATTAAAGTCGCAGGCACCTAGGCGCGCGGGAGGCGAGGCAGGGAGCAGAGGTTGCGCTGCGGAGAGAGCGAGCCCTTTAAATGCGGGAGGAGGGCGGGGCCAGAGGGCGGGCCTCCTGCGGGGAGGGGCCGTGGGGTGGGGCTTCGAGGGCGCGCCTGCCCCACCCCGCCCCGCCCGTTGGAATGCCCCCACTAGGCCCCCGGGTTCGGCTGATCAGACGCGAAACCCGGGCTCCAGGGTGGGTCGCTGGGCAGTGGGGTGGGCAAGGATGCTCCCAGCCCCGCAGCCTCGCGTTGGCGCTGCAGGAAACGCGCCCTAGAGCGAGGAAAGGCTGAGCAGTGTCTGGCGCGGGACTGCTTGGCCTGCAGCCGGCGCGCCTTACAAGGGACTTTCCTTCCCCAGGGCCCCTGCGGGGGGTGGGGTGGCTCTCTTCCCTAAGTCACTTGGGCTCTGCCCCGTCCCTGCACATCCCTACCCCCCGCCGTCATCCCCCTTCCCCGGGCCCCCAGGGCCTAGGGTTCCCCGGCGGCATCCCCGTCCGCCGGCCCGGCAGCGGCGGGAAGGGGCCAACCCTAAGAGCGAACCCCTGGAGAGCGGCAGCCCCGGACCAGGCACTGCCGAGGGCGCTTTGTGTGCTCATCACCTGGGAAGCGGCTGCAGGGCAAGGCCTGCGCCTACGCGGTCCCCGCAGACCCCCTGCCACGGGCCCGCCTTCCCAGTCCGTAGGGCCCTCGCCCGCGCACCTGTGCCCGCTGCTTCCCACCGCCTCCCTCTCTGCTTCCCTCCACCCGGGAGGATATGGGGCACTGGGCCAGGAGGCCGCCGGCACTCCAGGAGCAAGCAGCCTTCGAAGGGGTCCGGGCATGCCCACGGGCACGCCAGTGGGCGCGGGCAGAGGGCGCCGTGCGATGCATGCAGAGACGTGTGCCCGCCTAACCCTTCATGCCAGTTCACCCGGGGCACTGGGGGGAGCTGAAGCGGGGGGTCCTCTCCTGTCGGAAAGTCCCCTCAGCCCAGCGTGGCCAGGGCAGGGGGCAAACACGGGAGTGGCATTCCAGACCCAGAGGGGCCTGCTCAGAGGTTCCCATAAGACTTGTCAGGCTCTGAGCACCTGGGTCTGGGTGGGCTTCAGGTGTGGTGGCAGGTGCAGAGGAGGCCTGAGGACAGGGATCAGGGGCCTGGGGGGTTGTGTCCCCAGAGCTGTGGGGGCTCTTCACTCAAAATTTTCTGGTAGATAACTCTGGAGATGGTGCAGTGGCTGCTGTGCCGAGATGTAGACTGGGACCAGGGGACGGCTGGGGACGCTCACTGCTACTATCTTCAGTCAGAAGCCAGCCTGCCTATGGCTTCCTCCCCATTGTGCACTCCCCTCCCTCTCAGTCCTCGGTACCTCCCCTCTCCAGAATGTTTCCTCCTCTGAGTGTTTTTTTTTTTTTTCTAGGAAGGCAGGTATCTGTCCCTCCTGTTCAATTCTAGTAATAATTAATTTATCTGCTAAAGACCAGTGAGAGATGGAGGCCCTGGGTTGGCCAGCACGTCATGCCCAAATATGGTTGACTCTCCTGTAGCCCTGGGTGTCTACATGACACGTGGTGGGGCTGTGATCCGCCCAGCACATTCACTTCGGGGCAGCCTGTGGCCCCACTGGTTTTTCCCACTAGTAGTGGTGTTAGGGGGTGCAAATGGCATTTTCCAGTACTGAGGCCAACCCCTGTATATTGTCCCCTCTCCTGACCACTTTGAGACACACCTGCACCAAGTGCGCCTGGGCGTCTGGGAGCTGGGGTGGAGGTGGGAGGGAGGGCTGGGAAGGGGGAACCCATACAGACCCCTCCCTGCACGGGCCCCATTCAAGACGGGCTTGAAGTTGTCCTTCTGGTCCCCCTGCCCCACTGGAAAGCAAGTTCCCAGGCACGGAATTCCATCAATAATTGACTCTCTCTCCACTAAGGGCCATTGAGCTGGGTTGTCTGGGTTCATTCCTTAATCTTCAGAGCTCAGGGAAACTGAGTCAGAGTGACCAGTGGTCAATTCCAGCAGAAAGAGTGTCAGGAGGTGGGTGCCGTGTCTTCCAGCCCTAGCTTTTCCCTATTTAGAGGAAACAAGGAATGGGCGTGTAGAGGGTTCTTGTCCCTAGAACATAGTATCAACCGCCAGATGTCGCCCGATCCCAAAGCCACCAGATCGGGCAGTCCTGGGAAGCCAAAATCCAGCTCTTTCATATTTTCCCTTATTTGGAGTAGATTCTTGGATGTTAGGCACACCCCGCCCACCACACCACCCCTGGCCCTCAGACCCCAGGCCAGACCCTCCCACTGGGAGGTATAGCCCAAGCCCAGGAGCTGTTCAGCTGGGATCCCTAAGGAGCTGTTTCCAGGCCTGCGTAGCCAGGGGGCGCAGGAGGGAAGGAAGCCGCAGACTGGCAAGGTGAGAAGAGACCTGTGCTGGCAAGTCCAGGTGCGGCAGGTGAGGTCGCCCATTCCCAAGCTCCCACCTTGACGGTGCACTCGGAGCACTTACAAATGGGTCTGCCAGTGGATTTTAACCTATTTTGCCTGGCCCCAGGTGGCACGGGAATCTGGGGACATTGTTGGTTATATCCTGGCTGGCAGTGCGCATCCAACTCAGAGCCAACCTGGCATAGGGCCCAGGGCCCAACCAAGGAACCTGGCCTGGTCTCATCCTCACCATGGCCCCCATGGAGTAGAGCAGCCCCAGAACCAGCTCCCCTGTGCCCAAAGCAGCTGGTGCCCTGTGGACTCGAGCCAGCAAGGGACACGCTGTCCCCCTCCCAGTGGGCACACTGGCTGAGAAGTGTCCTTCCAGGTGGCCACTCGCCCTGAGTCCACACAAGTTCCTGGTGTCAGGGCCCTTCTCTCTCAGGCATGCAGTGGTCCGTTCATGGGCAAGTGCCCAGACACCCTCTCTCTCTCGGGGACCCCCCATGGCCTCAGGCTCCCACATTCGTGGGCACAGACATGGCTCGTGGGTCAACTAGGGAAGCTATTCTCTGGACACTCACTCCCAGATGCCAGGGGAGCCTCCATCGGCTCACGCATCCCAGCTGAACCTGGCCCGGACCTGGGCGCGAGCTGGCGCCTGCGTTTTCCGGCCTCTCTGCCCGCCTTCTCCAACCCCGCCCCCGGCCGACGAGGAGCGCGGCGACCCTACGGCGCGAAGCCGGGCCGCGGAGACCTCACCTGCTGTTCCTGAGAGCGACCGGTGACCGATGACCGCGGGGTGGCGCCCGGATCGCCTTCGCGCCCGCGCCCGCGCCAGGCGCCTCGGGGATTCTGTCGGCGTCCGCTGCGCGCGACGCGCCTCCACGCGAATGGGCCGCCGCCGCCCGCCTTCTTGTTGGCCGCACCCCCGCCCCGCGCCCGCCCCGCGCCCGGCCCGGCCCGGCGAGAAAGCCTTAATTGGTAAAATTGCCCAGGAGCCCGGGACGGGTGCGTGGGGGGCGGGGGTGCGGGGGCACGCCGTGAGCTCCAGCGACCCGCCGCCGGGCGACGCCGCCCCCCGAGATGAGCTCACCGCCGGCGAGGGCCGCCAGGCCCTGGGGGAGGGAGGGCTTCGTGGGGGAGTCGCCTCCAGCGCCCACAGGGACTGCAGGGCTCGTGTCTAGGCCCAATCACAAGGATCCTGCGTGTCTGAGTCTGGGGGAGCCAAGCGCACCCCAGGTGGAAAGGCCGAGGCCCAAGGCCACCTTCTCCAAGGAGCCACCCACAGTCACAGCCCCTGGTGTCTGTCCCAAGCCGGGATTGTTTCCTGGGGTGGGGGCAACAGGTCGTTGCAGGTGTTGGCTGGGCGCCTACGTCAGGCAGGGCCCCGGGACGGGACTGCAGGGCTCCGAGCCCTGGGATGAACCTGACTGCCATGGATCAGGCGCTGCCAGGTCTGGCCTGGGGTGGGCAGCAGAAACAGGATCGCTCAGGGGGACGAGAAAGTTAAGTTTGTTTAGTATTAAGAAGATTCTGATCTTAAAGAAAACATTGGCCGGGCATGGTGGCTCATGCCTATAATCCTAGCACTGTGGGAAGCTGAGGCAGGTGGATTAATTGAGCCCGGGAGTTTGAGACCAACCTGGGCAACACAGCAAGACACTATCTCTACCAAAAATATAAAAATTAGCTGGGCGTGGTGACGTGCACCGGTAGTCTCAGCTGCTCAGGAGACAGATGGGAGGATCGTTTAAGCCCGGGAGTTTGAGGCTGCAGTGAGCTATAATTTCACCACTACACTCCAGCCTGGGTCACACAGTGAAACCCTGTCACTAAACATAAAAAAAAAGGCCAGGTGCGGTGGTTCATGCCTGTAATCCCAGCACTTTGGGAGGCCGAAGTGGGTGGATCACGAGGTCAGGAGTTCAAGAACAGCCTGGCCAAGATGGTGAAACCCCGTCTCTACTAAAAATATAAAAACTAGCCGGGCGCAGTGGCAGGCGCCTGTAATCCCAGCTACTCGGGAGGCTGAGGCGGGAAAATCGCGTGAACCCGGGCGGCAGAGGTTGCAGTGAGCCGAGATCACGTCACTGCACTCCAACCTGGGTGATAGAGACTCCGTCTCAAAAAAAAAAAAAAAAAAAAAAAAAAAGGCCGGGCGTGGTGGATCCCAGCACTTTGGGAGGCTGAGGCAGGTGGATCACGAGGTCAGGAGTTTGAGACCAGCCTGGTCAACACAGTGAAACCCGGTCTCTACTAAAAATACAAAAATTAGCTGGGCGTGGTGGCAGGCGCCTGTAATCCCAGCTACTCGGGAGGCTGAGACAGGAGAATCGCGTGAACCTGGGAGGCGGAGGTTGCAGTGAGCTGAGATTGCGCCACTGCACTCCAGCCTGGGTGATAGAGCTAGACTGTGTCTTGGAAAAAAATAATAAATATAAAAATAAAAATACAAATAAAAAAATAACGTTAACAGCTCAGTGAACAATCATCTACTTGTCATAGACACTGAGGAATGTTTCCATGTTGATATTTTTTCCTCGTAACTCAATCATGTTGGGATTGTAAGTTATACAGCATATACTGCTTGCAAGCCATTCCATCCTTAAGGAGCAACTCAGTTTTCTTATTCTTGACTTAGAATTGGTTGCATCCCGATGTCTCCTCTGCCTGCACTTCCCAGGAAGAACCCCCTGAGGCCCTCAGATTTTCCTGCACACGCCCTTCCCAGACCCTCTGATGACTGCAAATCCCACCCTACCCTTGACGGGAAACTCTCTGAGGCTGTCCAGGTCATCACCCCCAGGGACCAGGTACTGGTGGGGGAATGTTCCATGAATTAATTGCTGTACTCAGGGCTCTTGGACAAGTCTCCCCTGATCGCAGGGTCCTGACTCTCCCTGTATAAGATGGAGGCTCTGCTGCTCAGGAGCCTGCCTGGCTTCCAGTGGTCTGGAGTGGAGCTGCACTGCAATGGGGCTGGACTTAGGCTCCAGGTACCCACAGGGTGGGTGCAGGGGGACCATCACAGTTCAGCTTCCTGGTGCCATCTGTGGTGGGACCTGATTGTGGGGCAAAGGGGTGGGACATAAAAGGCAGAGTGTCGAGGCAGGTACAGAACGGGTGGGGGGTGCTCCTTAGGGAGAAGGCAAATCTAGAATTCCTTGACCTCATAAGGAAACAGCTTGGATCCGTATGGGGAGGGGTGGCATGGGGGAGGATGGAGCAGCACTTAGTACACAGAGGCCTCTGGGAGAGGGGCCAGGATTGCAGAAGGCTTGCAGAGGTGCTGGGGAATCTGATTTTGTCAAAACTAAAAAATCCACAAGGCAGCCTCTGAGCAGCCCAGAGTCCAAACTGCCATCTGTCCCCTCAGCTCTGAAAGATGAGGTGCAAACCCCTGCCCTACCCAAGGCTCTCCTGCTGCACACTGCCAGGCACTGTCTTCATGGACCCACACTTCCTTCCATATTGCTGGGGACACAGTGGGGCCTTGCCAACAGTGATTCCTCTTTGTTAGGATCTTTGCGTGTAGTCAAAACAGGGCCCCATCTCCTCATTACTCCCCCAGGTGTCTACCTCTTCCCACCCCATGGGCAAACCTCCATGGATGACTGGTCTGTGACCCTCACCAGCCAGGCCAGCCATTCTGGACATGACCAGAGCCCTCCCCTCTTCTTCCCTTGTCACCAGCCCTCAACTGTGAAACTACAGATGGCATGTCACCTCTTCATGCTCCCAGTTTGGGGCCTACCCAGTGAGGGGCACACTAGTTGATTCCATACACCCTCAGCTGGCTTTGTTTAGAATGTGAATGTCACAGCCAGGCGCGGTGGCTTATGCCTGTAATCCCAGCACTTTGGGAGGCCGAGCCGGACTGATCACTTGAGGTCAGGAGTTCGAGACCAGCCTGGCCAACATGGTGAAATCCTGTTTCTACTAAAAATACAAATACTAAATACTAAAAATACAAAGCCAGGCATGGTGGCATGTGACTGTACTCCCAGCTACTCGGGAGGCTGAGACAGGAGAATCACTTGAACCCGGGAGGTGGAGGCTACAGAGAGCCAAGATTGCACCACTGCACTCCAGCCTGGGTGACAGAGCGAGACTGTCTCAAAAAAAAAAAAAAAAAAAAAAGAATATGAATGATGAATGTCACCTCCTTTCTCTTCTCCATGAGACAGCCAATATCTGATCAAGGCCCTGGGAATGGGAATCCATAGCTCGCCACCCACGTCTGCCCCCTGCCTAGCCACGCTGCGCTCAGGGACCATTCCGACAGGAGAGGACGCCCCACTTCAGCTCCCCCCAGTGCCCCGGGTGAATGAACGGCATGAAGGGTTAGGCGGGCACACGTCGTCTCTGCACGCATCGCACGGCGCCCTCTGCCCGCGCCCACTGGCGTGCCCGTCGGCATGCCCGGGCCCCTTCGAAGACTGCTTGCTTCTGGAGTGCCAGCGGCCTCCTGGCCCAGTGCCCCATTTCCTCCCGGGTGGAGCGAGGGAGGAGGAAGGGAAGCAGAGGGGTAGGCGGTGGTAAGCAGCAGGCACATGTGCGCGGGCGAGAGCCCCGCAGACTGGGAAGGCGGGCCCATGGCAGGGGGTCTGCGGGGATCGCGTAGGCGCGGGCCTTGCCCTGCAGCCGCTTCCCGGGCGATGCGCACACAAAGCGCCCTCGGCAGCGCCTGGCCCGGGGCCCGCGCTCTCTTAGGGTCCGGGCCCTTCCCGCCGCTGCTGGGGCGGCCGACCGGGATGCGGCCGGGGAACCCTAGGCTCTGGGGCCCTGGGAAGGGGGACGACGGCGGGGAGTAGGGATGTGCAGGGATCGGGCGAAGCCCAAGCGACTTAGGGACCAGAGCCACCCCAAGCGCCGACTTCGCCCGCTCGCACGTCCCGGGTCCCTCGCGCGCAGGCCCCGCCCCTCTCACCCCGCCGCACGCCACAGGGTGACGTCTGGGCTCCCAGCCGCATCGCCCTGACTCCCGCGCGGGCCCCGCCCCCTGCCGCTAGCCAATCTGTGCGTTTGTGACTTTTGGGCCCGCAGCCCCGCCTGCTCCCACAGCGATACCGGTTTGCATTGCCCTGACTCCCGCGCGGGCCCCGCCCCCTACGCCGCTAGCCAATCCATGCATTAGTGGCGTCCGGGCTCGCAGTACCGCTCGCTCCCACCGCGAGACCTTCTGCTCCGCGCCCGCGCGGGCCCCTCCCCCTCCATCGCTAGCCAATCCCCGTTTTGTGACGTATGGGCTCGCGGCCCCGCTCGCTCCCACCGCGAGACCTTTTGCTCCGCGCCCGCGCGGGCCCCGCCCCCTCCATCACTAGCCAATCCCCGTGCTTGTGACATATGGGCTTGCGGCCCCGCCCGCTCCCATCGCGAGACCGGTTCCCACCGCCCTGACTCCCGGGCGGGCCCCGCCCTCTCCGCCGCTAGCCAATCCTCGCGTTGATGACGTTTGGGCTCGCGGCCCCAGCCTCCCAGCTCTCAGGGCACGGCCGGTCTGTGCCGGCTGCTCCCGCGGTTAGGTCCCGCCCCGCGCAGCGCGCGCAGCCTGCGGAGCCAGCGGCCGTGACGCGACAACGATTCGGCTGTGACGCGACAACGATTCGGCTGTGACGCGAGCGCGGCCGCTCCCGATGCGCTCGTGCCGCCCCCGCCGTGCTCCTCGGCAGCCGTTGCTCGGCCGGTTTTGGTAGGCCCGGGCCGCCGCCAGGCCTCCGCCTGAGCCCGCACCCGCCATGGACAACTACGCAGATCTTTCGGATACCGAGCTGACCACCTTGCTGCGCCGGTACAACATCCCGCACGGGCCTGTAGTAGGTACGCGGCGGCGGGCGGGACCCCTTCCGGGCCCCCTCCTCGTGCTCCGCCTCGCGACCTCCCCGCTGCCCTCCCCGCGCGCCTTCCCCGGCCCGCGGCCCTGACCGCCCCGTGTCCGGCCAGGATCAACTCGTAGGCTTTACGAGAAGAAGATCTTCGAGTACGAGACCCAGAGGCGGCGGCTCTCGCCCCCCAGCTCGTCCGCCGCCTCCTCTTATAGCTTCTCTGGTGAGAGCCTCGCCTGTGGGGACAGCCTGGGACGCGGGGAGGATGGGGTCGCGAGGGTGTGGCAGGGGGGCCGGTCGAGAGCGGCACTGGAGAAAGGGGAGGGAAGTCTGGGGGGGCAAACAGTTCTGTCTCCTCCTTTCAATCCAGACTTGAATTCGACTAGAGGGGATGCAGATATGTATGATCTTCCCAAGAAAGAGGACGCTTTACTCTACCAGAGCAAGGGTAAGGCAGGGGTTGGGTGGGCACGCTGGCACCTTCACCCGACTTCGTCAGGGACCCCGCTCACAGGGAGGACCTGAGACCTCAGTCCCAACCACTCCAGCAGCCTTAGGAGGGAGAAACTGTTACAGGTCCCGAAATGGGATTCAGATTAGGGCCATCAGGCCAGGCGGGGCACACCGATGCCCCCTCTGCTACCGCTGCCCCCCTTCCCAAGGCTACAATGACGACTACTATGAAGAGAGCTACTTCACCACCAGGACTTATGGGGAGCCCGAGTCTGCCGGCCCGTCCAGGGCTGTCCGCCAGTCAGTGACTTCATTCCCAGATGCTGACGCTTTCCATCACCAGGTGAGCTGGCTGGCAGGCGTCCTGTACTTGGGTACAACCTAGGGGATCGCGGCTGTGTTTGGATAAATCCAGGGGGGCACTGGGTACAAATGGTGGCTCTTGGGCCTCCGGGGAGACTCTGTGTGACTAGAGCACCCTGGTCTGGGATCTAGGCTCAGACTCTTCCTGAGAGTCCTGGGGGCAAAAGGGGATGCTGGGGCATGAGCACAAGTGGCAAGGCCCCATGGATAAAGGGCTGAACACCCAGAGCCATTCAGGAGGGTGTGGGTTCCTGGCCTCTAACCAAAGGTCAGAGGGGACTGGCTGGGGAAGTTTGGACTGAGGGACATGACAGGGCCATGGTGGCCCTGCCAGCCAGTCCCCTCGCCCTGACTCTCTTCTGCAGGTGCATGATGACGATCTTTTGTCTTCTTCTGAAGAGGAGTGCAAGGATAGGTGCGTAGTGGGGGAGCCCAGGGACGGGCTGGTTCTGGGTCCAGGCTCCTGGCCCACTTGCTCCCCTCTTTTGCCTCAGGGAACGCCCCATGTACGGCCGGGACAGTGCCTACCAGAGCATCACGCACTACCGCCCTGTTTCAGCCTCCAGGAGCTCCCTGGACCTGTCCTATTATCCTACTTCCTCCTCCACCTCTTTTATGTCCTCCTCATCATCTTCCTCTTCATGGCTCACCCGCCGTGCCATCCGGCCTGAAAACCGTGCTCCTGGGGCTGGGCTGGGCCAGGATCGCCAGGTCCCGCTCTGGGGCCAGCTGCTGCTTTTCCTGGTCTTTGTGATCGTCCTCTTCTTCATTTACCACTTCATGCAGGCTGAAGAAGGCAACCCCTTCTAGAGGGAGCCATGAGGGTCTGGGCTTCAGAGCTAGGTCTTTGGGGAAGTCCTGGCTGACTGCCTTAGCAGTGGGGGTGGGGGTGGGGGCAGGGGCAGGGGCTTTATGTGTTTTTGCTTGGGGGGCGCTGGGCCTAGCCCAGAGTAGTGCTTGCTCCCCCTGCCTTGTCCCACCAGGGAGGCAGCAGACTCAGGCCCTCCATGGTCCTCTTTGTCATTTTGTTGACATGCATTCCTCCTTTTGTCATCTTGTTGGGGGGAGGGGATTAACCAAAGGCCACCCTGACTTTGTTTTTGTGGACACACAATAAAAGCCCCGTTTATTTGTAATGCGTTGGCTCTTCCTGGAGGAGAGGGTTGGGCTCCCATGGCAAGGGCCTCTGCGTCTTGGGGCTCCAGGATTGCAATCCGGCTTTGTTGGGTCCGCATTTTTGCTTTAGTCTGGGGATAGGAATCAAATGTTACCCAGAGATGTTTGTGTTTTGTTTGGGAGTTTTATTCCCTAACTCATTCCCCAAAGCACGTGTAACTGCTTATACATATAATCGTGGTACAACAAGGTATATACAGAGAACCCACTTGGAAATTCAGGCAAAGCTGCATGCACGCTACCAGCAGTCTGCGGGTGTTTTAACTGGAAAAAGCTGAAGTCCACCTCGGTGTCCAATGGCATGGGGATGGAAAGAAAATGAGGCGTCTCTGGCACATCATTCTCAGCTCCTGGAACTGCTGCTTGTTTAACATGGGAGAAAAGCTCCAAAGGCTGAAATGCCCCATCATCCCTGGGTGATTGAATTCACCTGCCTATATTCTCACTTAGCTCCCAGGTTTTCTGCCCTGGGTATGTATTTCATAATCTTCAAAGTATATATATATATAATTTTTTTTTTTGAGACGGAGTCATGCTCTGTCACCCAGGCTGGAGTGCAATGGCACAATCTTGGCTCACTGCAACCTCTGCCTCCGGGTTCAAGCAATTCTTCTGTCTCAGCCTCCCTAGTAGCTGGGACTACAGTCGCGCACCACCATACCTGGCTAATTTTTGTATTTTTAGTAGAGACGAGGTTTCACCGTATTGGTCAGGCTGGTCTCAAACTCCTGACCTCAGGTGATCCACCCATCTTGGCCTCCCAAAGTGCTGGGATTACAAGTATGAGCCACCGTGCCCAGCCGAAGTTTACTATATATATTATATATTTATTTATTTTTTTGAGATGCAGTCTCACTGTCGCCAGGCTGGAGTGCAGTGGCGCAATCTCAGCTCATCGCAACCTCTGCCTCCTGAGTCCAAGCGATTCCCCTCCCTCAGCCTCCCGAGTAGCTGGGACTACAGGTGTGCACCACCGTGCACGGCTATTGCTTTGTATTTTAGTAGAGACAGGGTTTCACCATGTTGGCCAGGATGGTCTCCATCTCCTGACCTCATGATCCACCCACTTTGGCCTCCCAAAGTGCTGGGATTACATGTGTGAGCCACCGTGCCCAGTCTACATATATGTTTTTAAGTGGAAAGTGGGTACTAAAACCCAAGACAATGCCACGTGTTGCTGTGCATGCCTGGCTCTATGCTGCTGGCAGAGGGCGGGAGAGCACAGAGGGGCTGCCGTCCACTGCACACGGGCAGGTGGGAAGCAGAGGCCCAGCAAGGGGTGGGGTGCTGGCATTAGTCACCCAAGCCTTTGGCTCCTTGCTGCAGGTAGTGGGACAGCCCAGCCTCCCACACTTGGCACAGCTCCCATGTAGTGCCTGCACATGCATTTGTGGAGGCAGGGCTGGGGCTGGGACCCTCCCTGGCTACTCCTGACCATTTATCTTGGCTGCATCCTCGTCTCTCCTCACGTATATTTTTGGTCCTAAAATAGTACATGGTCCTTGTGTGTTGCAAACATGCAGAAAAGAGTGAATCACTTCTAATTTTCTTACCACTCACAGTTTCAGCCTTTCTTGTTTCATTGCTATGAGCTCCTCTTACCTGGCTCACCCCGCAGTGCCCAGCCACTTGCTGTGTGGATTCCCCAAGCCCCTGCCCTCTGCCCCTCACCATCCCAAGCCCAATGCAAAGACTGATGGCTGGCCCTGCAGCAGGCGAGACCTGGATGGTCCATGGCGGGTGGTAGGCATGGGCAGGGGATGCCACCTCCTCACAGGTCCACCTTAGGGATTCAATGGTCCCATTAATGAGCCTGTACATGGGGGGCAGAACAAACAGGTTGCTACTGCCAGGACCCTAGAAGGACGCAGTGACAGAGCCTCCTGTTTCAGCAGCTGATAAAAACCAAGTACACTGACAGGAAGAACCGAACTCACCTCAGTCCAGTTCCCCCAGGAAGCACTCACTACCTGGGATTGGGGCTGGACTGCAGCCCAGTGTGGCTGGACAGAGGCAGATGGGGCCTAGCAGGAACCTACATGGGACCTGGGGTGGTGGCAAGGTTGACATCCCAAAGCTCTGGAGTAATAGCTGGTGTCAGGGAGATGGGGGATGTGGAGCTGGGCTTGGGGCATCCCAAGGAGGGAAAAGATATCCAGATATCGGGACGAAATGGTGCTTTCTAGGCCTTAGGTCAGGTCCTGGATCTGTTCCAGGTGGGGAGTAAAGAGGAGGTAGCTGGGTGTACTTGGCAACCACTGTGGTGTCTGGCGTGAGGGAAGAGAGGGAAGGAAGGAACAGCGGCCACCCCTGACGTAGCTTGCCCCTTTTCATTCATTCCAAAAGAGCTCCCAAGATTGGATGGAAGAGGGCTCCCGGAGTCCCCACCCCAGTTCCCCAGGGAATGAAAAGGGCTGCGAGACTCCCTGCTCCTGAGGGCTCATGGCGTTCCCCAGGGCTCTGCTCCCACCACCTCCCTGAGCTCCCTCTGGATTCCTGAGGCCTCCCACTTGGGCTTGGTCACCAATCCCCAGGGCTCCATGGGCCTTGGAGTACTCCCCCCACCGTTTCAGGGCTCCTCAGGGTTCTGCCAACCCCATCCTGTGATCTGTCCAACCCCCAGGGCTTCGAACCCCATGAAGGATCCTGACTATTCTGGACACACCGAAGTGCACTGGGTGCCCCAGCCGGAACCAGAGGATTAGGAAGGTTCCATGGGCCTCAAGAGCCTCCAGGCCTCCACTTACATGTTCTCCAGAGCTCTGAGAGACCACTGTGGCCCCACTTTCCAAAGTTCCCAAAGAATCTGGGGCCCCCCGCAGGGCTCCAGCCATGCTCAGACATACAGCAGGGGGCAGCAGCTGCCCAAGGTCCAAGCGAGAGGCCACTCTGGGCACTGTCCAAGAAGATACTGGATTTTTTTCCTCCGCTACCACCAGGCCCTGCCAGACCAGGGAGGAGAACCACCTGAGGGGGCTGGGAGAGTGTCAAGGCAGCCAGTGGAGAAGGAGACTGTGGAGAGGGACTGCAGGGCCAGGGTCCAGAACCCATGGTCCTGGCAAGGCCCTTGACCTTGGCCCCAGACAGGTCCAAAAGAGGTGACAGCGCCAAGACCGGCCAAGAAGGACATTTGCCTTGACCCTCAGCTGGGTTGGAGGTACGAAGGGTGTCTGCGGGGCTGCTACCACTTTCAAGAAGAGAGTGCCAGGGGTGTAGGACCTGTGGCTTCATGAGCATGGCACACTCCTGACTCTGATGGCATAAAGGAAAGGAAAACGGCAGAGGAACCCTGCCTGACTTCCACCTGGGGCTGGGCTGCTGGCCCCAGGCTCAGGGCGGCCACTCACTGGGAGACACGGGGCAAGCAAGACACAGAAAGGGGAAGTCCCACCCCCAGCCGCAGCCACTCTACTGCTCCCCCTGGGCCCAATGGCATAGAGGTAAAGGGGCCAAGCACACTCTGGAAGCCTCTAAAAGCCACCAGCTGAACGGGGCTGTGAGGCAGCAGAGCCAGGCCCAGAAAGATGCAGTGCCAGTTGGGAGGACGGGAGGTCCCCCTGAGGCTGCGACTTGTCCGCTCAGCCCACTGTGTGCCCAGGATTCTGAACCTCTGGGGCACTCCCTCCTGTCCCGAGTCACCCAGGGTCTCCTGCCCCCTCCCTGTGTCTGCTCCATCACATCCCCTCTCAAGCCCCATGCCTGGCAGGGCCACCGCCCTAGGGCTGGGCTAGGTGAACCAAGGGCACCGGTCCCCCAAACCTGCCGATCGTCCCCAGGCTGCAGGGAGGGACACATGTGGGGCGGCAAGGGCAGAAGATAAACTAGGGGGATCCGGGCCCCTGAGGACAGCCCTGGCGGGAGGCCACAGGCCTCACAGGGTGGTGAGCTGGAGGCCACCCAGGCAGGCAGGCAGGCAGCAGGGAAAGAGACTGGCACGGTCCTGGCCAGGGCCCCCCCCGGGAAGGGCGGGCAAGTAGGAGCAAAAACAAGAGCAGAGCACGGGCCCCCACCCTGCCGGGTCCTATGGCCTGGGGACTCACACACACTGAGGAAGACCCAGGAGGACCCGCCAGGCTACTAGGAGGAGATAAAGGGTGCACAGGCCTCCAACCCGCAGGTTGTGTCTGGACTGAGTCCAGGGAGGGCAGGGAGGGGCGGTAGCCCAGTTGACCTTCCCTCCCCCAAGCCACACCTCTGCACCCCAACCCTCCCTTCCGCCTCCCAACAGCCCCATCCCCGCTCTCCGAGGAAACTGGGAGGGGACCTGGAGAGGAAAGGGAAGCAACGGCCCCTCAGAGCGGGGTTCCCCAAAATCCATGGCCAGGGACTGAGGCCAGCACTCAGACACTGTTGGGAACACTGGCCAGGAGTCCCTCGGGGTGGACCTGGGAACCTGCTGCAGAAGCTTAGGGGACCGGGCCAGCTCAGGAAAGGGCTCAGGCTGGAAACCGAGCAGACAGGGCACCGCTGGACCTGGGGCCGAGGAGGACAGGAAGTAGGTGACTATGGAAAGACCCCCGCCGCCACCCACGCCCAACTCGGCACACAAAGGCCCAGAGAGGCCCCCAGACATGCCTGTGGGGGCAGGGGTGTTTGCAAACATTTGCAGAGGGACCGGGTGTCCCAGGCACATGGACAGCTTGCAGGGCCCGGCTGAGGCTAGGACAGCAGCAGGTGGCTGGCAGGAGGTGCCCCGCCAGGGTCCCCAACTGTGTGGGGGGCAGGCCCGAGGCAGGCGGCACCAGTCCCGGGCAGGATCTCTCGGAAGAGGGGCCGTACCCAGCCAGGGTTCCCAGAGACACGGGTGGTGGGGCCGAGTGCCCCCTCACCCTGTGCCTGGCCCCCAACAAAGGGTGAGCATGTATCCTTCCTGGACACGGTGTCCAGGGCAGGGCACTCCCGAACCAGGATGCCCCCTAGGCCACAGGACCCCTCAGCCCCAGCTGACAGCAGCCGGGGGGGATCTGGGGAGGCCCCCAGGAGGCAGGGCGGCAGCCAAGCAGAACACCATCCCTGGACCCACTCTCCAACTGCAACCAGGGCCCGCTCCCCCGAAGGCACCAGCTCTCCCTAGGGGCAGGACCTTGATCCAGAGCAGGAGTGGAGGCCCCCAACAGGGGACGGCTGGAGAGGCCCTGGGCTCACGAGCCAGGGAGCGGCGCCTCTGTGCCCGGAAGCCCCTGGGTCCTGCCTGGGCTGCTGGTAGCTGCTGCGGGCCGAGGGGTCCGGACGCCCCTAGGGTGCTCTGGGGCAGCTCCTTTGGGACCCTCAATGGAGCCAGTAAGTCCAGGAGGGCGCCGATCCGTCCAGGTGGGTGCATGGGCCGGGACAGGGTCTGGCTGCTGTCGTGGCTGTGCCCATCTGCCGAACAGGTCGCTAGGAGAGCACTCCCTGAGCGAGGGCGCCGGGCAGCCCGGGGAGGGAGGACACAGTCCCCGTCCAGGCCCCCGAGGCCCCCATAGCAGGGAGAGCCGGCCCTCCTCGCTGTTCTTCCCGCGGGATCGGGCCGGCACCTCGGCTCAGGGGAGAGAGGGTCACAGAGGACAGCCAGCAGGCAGGTGGCCCAGGAGTGTGGGGGGTCGGTGGGCCTGACCGTGTCCTGAAGCACCCCAGGACCCTGTACCCGACACCCTGGGGGAGGGGCTGTCCCCACTTGCCAGGAACACATTCCTCAGGGAAGGCCCGGCAACCTGCTCTCGTCGGGTTCAAGAAGGGCCAGGCGGCTTTGGAAGGGGCCAGGAGCTGTCACCAAGGGCCCCCGCATTGCCCAGAGGCGGCGCGGGCCAACAGGAAAAGCACTCACCGCCCACGGAACCTCTGTGACAAACTCAGAGCCACGGAGAGCGTCATCAGCAAGTCACTTGCCAGTCCCAGTGGGAAGGATGGGGCACGTCTCCAGGGAAACGAGACACCAAGGTCTTCCTGGGGCCCCAGTGGAAAGCTCCTTCCAGGACCCACCTGGCCCTCCACATCCCACCCTCCAGGCCAGGGACCGGAGCCCAGTATCCGGCAACCTGACACATCACGGAGAAAAGGAGCTGCTCTGCCTTCACCATGACGACGCGGCACACCCCCTCCCTGCCCCGGCCCCTCCCCTTCAGGGCTGCATGCGGGGAGGAGAGGCCTCCCCTGTCTGCAGAGAGAGGCTGCCCCACCTGGGGCAGAGAGGGGACAGGGGCAGGAATGAGCCCCTGGGAGGGGGGCATTGGAGGTGGGGGGCACATCCTGCCACCCGGGCTGGCGTGGGGCACTCATGCCATGCAGACCAGAACGGGCTTCCCACCGGCTCCTGGGGATGTTGGACCGGGGCTCCCCGACCAGGGCTGGGAAAGGCTTCCATGAAGAGCCAGAGAGCACACGGCGCAGACCCTGCGGGGCACACGGGGTCTCGGTGGCAGAGTCTCCCTTCTTGGGGTTCTCTGTGATGGGTTTTGCAACCCTTTCAGGATGTCAAAGCACGCCCCGCCCTCAGAAATGCAGGCCCCGGCCAGTGTCAGCCCCAGGAGGTGGCCTGCTGCTCCCGCTGACACCAAGGACATGTTCCTGAGGCGGCCCGCTCGGGATCTCCAGCAGCCGACGCAGGTCTACACGTGCAAGGGTGCTTCTGACTCGCAGCACTCAGGAACAGCCTCCACCCTGAGCGTGGCGCCCTCTCCAGCACGCGCCAGGGTGGACCTGTGAGACCAATAAAAACCACAGCGGAGGCGAGGCGAGTCACTTAGGAGACCAGGCCATGAAGAGACTGTGGCCGGGTCTGGGGCGCCCTCTCCTGCTGGTTCGACTGGATTGCAGGTCCGGGGGAAGCCCAGCAGCCCTGGGGAGGAGGCCCGGTGGGGAGGAACTGAGGCCTCCTGCCACAGCCTCCAGAGGGAGAGTCATCACGAGGGCTCCCCACCCAGTCAGATAGGATGGCTGGGCCCCAGTGGACACCTGACCGCAGCCTGAGAGGGACCCTGAGCCACAGTCCTGGCTCCCCGAGAGCCCTCCCAGAGCCTGTCCCTCAGAACCCTTGGGGGGGTGACACGAGTGCTGGGGGGGTGAGACGAGTGCTAGGTGGGGAAGGACCGAAACGTGAAGTCGTCTGTTACCCAGTAGTCGGAACTGGTGCCCAGCGTCCAGGGGGCAAGACACGGCGTGAGCCAGAAGGAAACAAACCGACAAGAACCCCCAGAAGCCATCAGGAAAGCCTGGAGATTCTGATGACACGAAAACTAAAATCCCCTCTGTGACCAAGCACAACCCGCAAACCACACAGTCAAGAGACAAGTGATAATAAGGGGAGAAAATAGTAGCAAGAGGTGACTAAGGGCTCGCGTCAGTCACACACACACAGAGCCGGACACACGGACAAGGCAAAGTGCAAGGACAAGAGAGCAAAAGGGGGCGGAGGAGAGGAAGGGAGAGGGAAGGAAGCGTCTTCTCCACCGGGATGCAATTCCTTGGGAGCCCGTCTGACCCCAGGGCAAAGAGATGCTGGGTCGCCAGAGCCGCCGCGGAGAAGTCCCGCCGGGCCTCAGAGCCCAGCAAAGAGGAACCAGGGCGGACGGGCCAAACCCAGCGGCCGGCTCCCGGGGGGGTGGGTGGTGGCGCTGCGGGGAGTCGCCTGAGCAGCATCACCAGCAGCTGGGAACCCTCCCGGTGCGGGAAGGTTGGCGGGTAAGGCGGGGCTTCCCCGGAAACACTGGGCTGGACCCAGCGGTCCCATGGGTGCTGGAACCAGCCCTGCGGGTGTTCCCAGGCACCCTCCCGCGGGAAGACCGGCTGGAGGGATGGCTCCTGTTGGCACCCACGTCGAGGGAAGCCACCGCCTTCTCTGCGGGGCTCGCCTTTCCTACCTCCCCCAGGAGACAGTCAGGCCAGGAAGCGCCCCAGCCCACGACCGCCCGCAGCAGAGCAGGATTCCCTCCCCGGCGGCCGCCGCTGTCAAGGGACGGGGAAGACTTTGTTACCCCACCGCGCGCCACCGCGGAATGGTGCACAGACACCTCCAGACGCCACTTCCCCCAAGACGGCCGCCCGCCCCGCTCTGCCCACCTCTCCCTGGACGCTGCCGGGTGGGCGCGGCCCTGCTTCCCCACGACCCCCCAGACGCGCCCCGAGGCACTTTCGCAGCACAGTGGAGTGGGAAGGGCGGGGCGGCCCCTCGACGGCGCCGAGGCGAGAGCGGCTCACGGGGCTTCCCGGGCCCTGATCTCAGGCGACGCCTGTCCGCCTCGTCCCCGGGGGAAGACAGTGACCACCGGTCTGCAAAGGAAGGGGACTCGGCGCATGCCCCGCAGGGCCGGCCCAGGACTCGCAGGCGCGGAAGGCGGTGCCGAGGCGGGGGCGGGGCGTGGAGGGACAGCCCTAGTCTCCGCCCGCCGGGGCCCACAGCTGCCTCGCTCCCCGCCTCCGCTTCGGTCGCTCCTGGTAAGCTCCAGGCGCCCACGGGAAGCCCCGCCCAGCCCCGCCTATCCGTCCTCCTCTTCGCCTGTCCTCGCCAATGACCATGCTCAGATTGCACGGAATTCCCGCCCCTCGCCCTTGACTGACGCTCCTGCTGCCCAGTGGACGACACCCCGTCGCGTGCGCGCCGCTGCGGCCCTGCCGGGTGTGGCGCGGCGCTCTCAGGCTCCTAGGCGTTCCCGGGGCGAGACCCAGGGCGCTGGCCGCAGAGTCGCCGGTGCACACGCAACAGTGCCGCCTTGTGTTTTGGGTGTGGACCTGCGCTTCTCTAAGCGTTCCATTCCCGAGAAGGGGCGAGAAACGTCCAGAGGTCGTGGCACCTGCCCGCCGCTGCCGGGGCGTCGGCCGTGGGCGCAAGTGAAGCGCCCCGGGAGCGCGGCGCGACGTCCGTGCCTTCCGAGGGCGGCCCGGGTGTCGCCGCGGTGCGCGCGGGAGGGCGCGGCCGTGGGCATTTCCGCGCTTGCGCGGGTTCCTGTCCCGCCCCGGCCCCGGCCCCGGCCCCGGCCCCGGCCCCGGCCCCGGCCCCGGCCCCGGCCCCGGCCCCGGCCCCGGCCCCTCCCTCTCGTGGCCCCGCAGTAGACGCAGCCCCTCCCTCCCGCGGTGCAGCGCAGCCAGGGCTCTGCTCCGGGAGTCATGGAGTCCATCACCGCGGAGCGTTATCTCAGCGGACCCACGCGGTGTCCTCCGCTGGGGTGGGCCGAGTACCCTCCGCCTCCCGCCCGCGAGATCCATCCCAGCCCCTGGCGGGGGCCCGTGGTTCTTCCCGCTCATGGCCACGGAACGGTCCACGCTCGCGGAGCCGCAGGCTGAGCTTTTGCTGGTGAGGGACAAGGTCGTGGTTTCCCGTGGCTGGTGGCCCTCACGGAGGAGCCTGCTGGGAGCACGCCCGTGTAGGGTTTCCTGTCATCGGGTTGCCACGCCCATCTTGAACGCTCGAGTCCACGCAGAAGTGTAGAAGTGGATGTGTAGCTTTATTTGTAATTCTCTTTCTTTCTTCCTTTCTTTCCTTCTTTCTTTCCTTTTCTTTCTTTTTGAGTCAGGGTCTCACTCTGCGCCCAGTCTGGAGTGCAGTGGCGCGATGAGGGCTCACTACAGCCTTGACCTCTCCACCCCAGCGAGGGCTTCAACCTCCAGCCTCAGCCTTCCGTGTAGCTGGGACTACAGGCGCACGCCACCACCATGTCCGGCTAATTTTTTACTTTTTGTAGAGATGGGGTCTCGCTTTTTCGCCCAGGTTGGTCTGGGATTCCTGGGCTCAGGTGATCCACCCCAGCCTCACAAAGTGCTGGGATTCTGGGCACCGCGCACCGGCCGCCGCGCCCGGCTTGATGTGTAGTTTCAATAGAAACCACCAAGGTCTTCAGGGTGGCCTGTGCATCACTTTACACATACTCAAGCGAATCATTGAGAGGTGTTTGAGGCCGGGCGCGGTGGCTCACGCCTGTGATCCCAGCACTTCGGGAGGCCGAGGCGGGTGGATCGTTTGAGGTCAGGAGTTTGAGACCAGCCTGACCAACATAGTGAAACTCTGTCTCTAATAAAAATATAAAATTAGCCGGGCGTGGTGGCGCCCTCGCCTATAATCCCAACTACTCAGGAGGCTGAGGCAGGAGAATCGCTTGAACCCAGGAGGCAGAGGTTGCACTGAGCCGAGATCGCACCACGGCACTCCAGCCTGGGTGACAGAGCAAGATTCTGTCTCAAAAAAAAAAAAAAAAAAACGTTTTTGAAACAACTTGAAGCAAGTTATCCCATGTATAAAAAAGCATGAAGTTATTTATACTATTTTTCTGTGCAATCACCCACATAATTAGCCAAGTTAAGACCCATTATGCGGCCGGGCGCGGTGGCTCACGCCTGTAATCCCAGCACTTTGGGAGGCTGAGGCGCGTGGATCACGAGGTCAGGAGTTCGAGACCAGCCTGGCTAATATGGTGAAACCTCGTTTCTACTAAAAATACAAAAATTAGCTGGGCGTGGTGGCGTGTGCCTGTAGTCCCAGCTACTCGGGAGGCTGAGGCAGAAGAATCGCTTGAACCCGGGAGGTGAAGGTTGCAGCAAGCCGAGATCGCACCACTGCACTCCAGCCTGGGTGACACAGTGAGACTCCGTCTGAAAAACAAAAACAAAAAAAAACCGTTATGCTACACGTTTTGTAGTGATTTTGTTTTGTTTGTTTTAGCTTTTTTATAATTTCAACTTTTTTGTTTTTGAGATAGAGTCTCACTCTTGTCGCCCAGGCTGAGTGCAATGGCACCATCTCGGCTCATTGCAACCTTTGCCTCCCAGGCTGAAGGGATCCTCTCACCTCTCACCTGGGTTGGTCAGGCTGGTCTCAAATTCCTGACCTCAGTGATGCACCAGCCTCGGCCTCCCAAAGTGCTGGGATTACAGGCATGAGCCACCGCGCCCGGCCTGATGTACTTTAAACTTTTTTTTTTCTTTTTTTGAGACAGAGAGTTTCACTCATGTTGCCCAGGCTGGAGTGCAATGGCGTGATCTCAGCTCACCACAACCTCCACCTCCTGGGCTCAAGTGATTCTCCTGCCTCAGCCTCCCGAGTACCTGGGATTACAGGCATGTGCCACTGCACCGGGCCTCCATTTGATGTACTTTTAAAGCATTATTATTTCTACCTTGCATTTACTATGAACACAGCCTTGAACGTGCATCCATCTCTCTCTAGAATAATTACCTGTAAGTGGAATTGCTGGGTCGAGATATATGTACATTAAAAAAAAAATTTTTTTTTTTTTTTGAGACAGGATCTCAGTCTGTCGCTCAGGCTGGAGTGGAGTGGCTCGATCACAGCTCACCACCGCCTCAACCTCCTGGGCTCAAGTGATCTTCCTGTTTCAGCCTCCTGAGCTGCTGGGACCACAAGTGTGTGCCACCATCCCTGGCTTTTTTAGAAAACTTCTTTTTGTACAGACAGGGTCTCACTGTGTTGCCCAGGCTGGTCTTGAACCCCTGGGCTCAAGTCCTCCCTCCTTGGCCTCTCAAAGTGCTGGTTTTACAGATGTGTCCCACCTTGTGTGGCCTGCATTTAAAATTGTAAGAGACACTAGGGAATTGCCTCCCCTAAAGACCCTACCTTTGATACTGTCCGTCCCTCGCATTGTACCCTCAGCGTTTACCCACAGCCTCACCAGCACCTTTTGGGCTAACAGCTTTTTAGGTAGCTGAAAATTAGATGGGAGAACTGTAGCTTTTCGCTTTTTCCTTCTTCCCTGTTTCCTAGTCCTGTTCCCCTCCCTCCCAAAGGGGTCATTTAAAATGTGGTGTCATTTGGAATGTGTTTGTTCAATTGTATTTTAGTTTTCTGAGACAGGGCCTCGCTTTGTCACCCAGGCTGGAGTGCAGTGGTGTGATCATAGCTCACGGCAGCCTTGATGTCCCAGACTCAAGTGATCCTCCCACCTCAGCTTCTGGAGTAACTAGGACTACAGGCATGTGCCACCACGCCAGCTAATTTTATTTTTTTGTAGAGACGAGGTCTCACCCTGTTGCCCAGGTTGGTCTCCTATTTCTGGCTTCAAGCGATCTGCCCGTCTCGGCCTCCCAAAGTGCTTGGATGACAGGCGTGAGCCACTGCCCTGCACCTGTGGATTTTTTGTGTGTATGGTTTTGCCCACCGTAACTGTCCCTGTGCTGCATTCCTATTCTGCTGACTGCTTCCGTCATTCAACAGGGTTTCTCAGCTCTTTGTCTGTGGCCCTGGAGACGTACAGTTGACTCCTGTGCTCCTGCAGAGGATTTCAGAGCTTGGATGCAACACATTTGATCATTCCCACCCTGAGTGATGCAACCCCAGGGCTTCAGCTCCTGGTGTGCCACAAACCATGCCACGAAGGCCATGGCACGGAATGTGGCCTTAGCGAGAAGGGAGAATTGCTCTTGCTGAGGTTATCAAGGGGTAGGATTGCTGGGTTCAAGAACACTGATGTTTCATTTTCTTATGTTTGTTCTGTTCTTTTTTTTTTTTTTTTTTTGAAAGAGTCTCACTCTGTCACCCAGGCTGGAGTGTAGTGGCGCGATCTCGGCTCACTGCAACATTCACCTCCTGGGTTTAAGCAATTCTCCCATCTCAGCCTACCGAGTAGCTGGGACTAAAGGCGCACGCCAGCATGCCTGGCTAGTTTTTGCATTTTTAGTAGAGACGGGGTTTCACCGTGTTGGCCAGGCTGGTCTTGAACTCCGGACCTCAAGTGATCCCCCCGCCTCGGCCTCCCACAGTGCTGGGATGACAGGCGTGAGCCACCGCGCCTGGCTCCTTTCCCATTTTCTAAGGGACAGTCAGTCTCCTCCATACCATTTGTCACACAGCCTTTCCCCCATGATGGCACTGCCATACTCCCGCTAAATGCGCAGGCATCTGTGGTCTCCTCTGCACTTGTCCTTCCAGGGAACGATGCAGTGGGCTCCTTGCTTTGCATCTCGCCATACCTGGTGCACCTGCCAGCTCCCTTAGCAGGACCTTGCAGACAGTTTCAGTCATTCTTGGGCATTTTCTTCTCCATGTGAAGTTTCCCATCATCTTGTCCCGGACCATTAGACACCCACATCCCTGGCTTCCTGGGACTCTGGTGGCGTGATGGGAAGAGCCCACTTCTTAATATTGTTTTTTTCAAGAGGATCTCATTCTTAGTCCAGGTGGCAGGAATGGTTTCCCCTGCTGGCCTCAGCTCTGTTGGCAAGGGATACCTGCAGTCTGGGGCCTGGAGTTGGAGCGCTCCAGACACGGTCCCTTCCTTCCGGGAGTTTCTTTCTCGTGGGTGAGCCAGAAGCAAACACCTCATCCCACAGTTCTGAGGGCCTGGGTGGGGCCATCGTCCTGGTCCAGGTAAGAGACCATGGAGTCTGGCCAAGCACGTTGGCTCCTGCCTGTAATCCCCGCACTTTGGGTTAGGGTTAGGGCAGGAGGATCACTTGGCTCCAGCAGTTCAAGACCAGTCTGGGCAACCTAATAAGGCCCCATCTCTACAAAAGAAAAAAAAAATTATCCAGGCATGGTGGCGTGTGCCTGTAGTCCCAGCCGATTGGGAGGCTGAGGCAGGAGCATCTCTGGAGCCCAGGAGTTCGAGGCTGCAGTGAGTGTTGATCATGCCACTGCATTCCAGTCTGGGCAACGGAGCAAGACCCTGTCTCAATTAAAAAAAAAAAAAAGCCGGGCGTGGTGGCTCACACCTGTAATTCCAGCACATTGGGAGGCTGAGGCGGGCAGATCACCTGAGGTCAGGAGTTTGAGACCAGCCTGACCACACGGAGAAACCCTGTCTCTACTAAAAATACAAAATAAGCCAGGCATGGTGGCACATGCCTGTGATCCCAGCTACTCGGGAGGCTGAGGCAGGAGAATTGCTTGAACCCGGGAGGCAGAGGTTGCACTGAGCTGAGATCGTGCCATGGCACTCCAGCCTGGGCAACAAGAGCGAAACTCCATCTCAGAAAAAAAAAAAAAAAAAAAAAAAAGACAGTGGAGTCCTAGATGGCGAGGGTAGCAATGGAGAAACCCACTTCAATTTCTTTGAGCCAACAGTTGGAAGGATTCCCGTGGGAAGGTCAGGAGGGAGAGGAGCCAACAGGTGGAACTCCGACAGTTCCCCCGTCCTCACCTTGTAGGGCTGCAAGATTCCTTGGTGCCTGTCTGGGCTCCAGGGCCCCCACCCACCCCTGCAGGCTTATGTGCGGATCAGCAAGAGGCACTCTGCTCTCGGGGCAGGTACTCGGCTGGAGGCGAGGACACGGGAGGGATTTCAGCCCTCTCGCTCCCCAGGAAGATGTCCTTGTGCAGAGAACAGCCTGCACGACCTACTAGGGCACCCAGGATTAGGCTGTATCCTCCGTCTGCCCAAACTGGCTACAGAAAGCTCATTTTAACGCCCACTAGAGAGTGAGGAGACTGTAGGTGCAATTTCTTTTTTCTTTTTTTTCTGAGACAGATGAGTCTTGCTCTGTGGTCCCAGGCTGGAGTGCAGTGGTGTGATCTTGGCTCACTCAAACCTCCACCTCCCAGGTTCAAGCCAGATTCTCCTGCCTCAGCCTCCCGAGTAGCTGAGATTACAGGCATGCGCCACCATGCCCAGCTAATTTTTTTATATTTTTAGTAGAGACGTGGTTTCACCCTGTTGGCCAGGCTGGTCTCCAACTCCTGACCTCAATTGATCCACCCACCTCAGCCTCCCAAAGTGCTGGGATTATAGGCGTGAGCCACTGCACCCGCCCTGTAGGCAGATTTTTTTTTTTTTTTCTGAGATAGTTTCTCTCTGTAGACTAGGCTGGAGTGCAGTGGCATGATCTCGGCTCACTGCAACCTCTGTCTTCCGGGCTCAAGCAATTCTCCTGCCTCAGCCTCCCAAGTAGCTAGTATTACAGGTGTGTGCCACCACACCCGGCTCATTTTTGTATTTTTAGTAGACAGGGTTTCACCATGTTGGCCAGGTTGGCCTTGAACTCCTGACCTCAGGTAATCCGCCCGCCTCGGCCTCCCAAAGCGCTCGGATTACAGGCGTGAGCCACAGCGCCCGGCCATACACGAATTTTTTTGAGACAGTCTTGCTCTGTCGCCCAGGCTGGAGTACAGTGGTGTGATCTCAGCTCACTGCAATCTCTGCGTCCTGAGCTCAAGCGATCCTCCCACCTCAGCTGGGATTAGAGTGTGCCGCCACGCCTGGCTAATTTTTAAATATATATATATATATATATTTTTTTTTTTTTTTTTTTTTTTCTGAGACGGAGTCTCGCTCTGTCACCCAGGCTGGAGTGCAATGGCGTGGTCTCGGCTCACTGCAACCTCCGCCTCCCGGGTTCAAGCGATTCTCCTGCCTCAGCCTCCGAAGCAGCTGGGATTACAGGCACCAGCCAGCATGCCCAGCTAATTTTTGTATTTTTAGTAGAGACGGGGTTTCACCATGTTGGCCAGGCTGGTCTCGATCTGCTGACCTCATGATCCGCCCGCCTCGGCCTCCCAAAGTGCTGGAATTACAGGCGTGAGCCACTGCGCCCAGCCAATTTTTAGTTTTTAATTTTTGTAGAGGCGGTTTTTCGCCATGTTGTCCAGGTCTCAAATTCCTGGGCTCAAGTGATCCGCCCACCTCCGCCCCTCAAAGTGCTGAGATCACAGGCGTGAGCCACGGCACTCCGCCGCAATTCCTGACTTGTACTGCCCCAGTGGTGTTACAGCCTCGAACCCAGTTTCCAGACCTAAGTCACCGCCGGCATCCAGAGTCCCATGATGGAAAGGGAGGCTAGGTTCCCCTGGGAAGGACCTTGCACCACTGCTGCAAGTGCACCCCAGAAATCGTCCCAAGCTTTTCTCAAAGGGACCTGCAGCCATTTATAAAAGCGACATATCATCCTGGAAAACAGGTGCGCTCGAGCAGGATTTCCTCCCGTCCTTCCTGTCAAAGGACGGGAAGACTTTGTTACCCCACCGCGCCCCACCTGCAGAATGGTGGACAGATACCTCCAGATGCCACTTCCCCCAGGACGCCCGCCTGCTCTGCGCACCTCTCCCCGGATGCTGCCCCGTGGGCGGGTGGGGGCGGCCCTGCTTCCCCACGACCCCCAGACGCACCCGGAGGGACTCTTGAGCACAGTGGAGTGGGAAGGGCGAGGTGGGGCGGTGCCCAGGCGAGAGCGGCTCATGGGAGGCGGCGCCCGAGACGCAGCTGGTCGGGACGGTGCGGGTCAGGGTGGGCGGAGCGGGGCTAGAGATGCCCCGGGGTTTCCCAGGCCATGAGTCTCCGTGGAGATTTCTCCTCGACCTCTTCCCCGCGGCAATGTGCGAACCCTGGGTCTCCAGGAAACGGGGATACGGGGCATGGCTCCCAGCAAGGCCTGGTCCAGCCTCTCCGGTAGGGGAATGGGTCTCCCCCTCCGGCCTCCCGGGTTGACAAAGGAACGCGGGCCCAGATCCCCGTATGGCGCTTCACCGCCGGGGCCTCTAGCCTAGAAGGAGGCACGGAGCGCGTGTCCGAGACCCGTGCAAGCTCAGGGACACTCTCGCGGTCGCCGGGAGGCCCACCTAGGGTACTTTCCTTTTTTCCACTCTCAGAAATATACGTCTGTCACAGTTAACGGCAAAGCCTAGGGCAAGAGTTCTACGCCCAAGATGGCCAGCCGGAAGCGGGCTTCTCGCGACCATGTGGCGAAGCCCCATTCGTCAGCTGGCCGCCCGCGGCCCTGGTACCCGGTCACCTCTCTGATCTGCGCATGTGCTGGGCTACGCCCGGGCGCAAGCGCCAAGAGCGGCTGCGTCTATGGTCATGACGTCTGACAGAGCGTCCACCCGTCTTCGACAGGACTCTATGGTTCTTACGCGCGCAGACAGACCGCCTATATAAGCCATGCGCAGGCGGAGGAGCGCCTCTTTCCCTTCGGTGTGGTGAGTAAGCGCAGTTGTCGTCTCTTGCGGTGCCGTTGCTGGTTCTCACACCTTTTAGGTCTGTTCTCGTCTTCCGTTCCGACTCTCTCTTTTTCGTTGCAGCCACTGAAGATCCTGGTGTCGCCATGGGCCGCCGCCCCGCCCGTTGGTGAGTCTTGAATCCGTGTACTTTCACTGCTGGGAAACGGGCGGGGAAAGAAGTGCCTATGGCCGCTGAAAACAATTGTGGGGTGGAGCCTCCCCCGTGCGGCGGCCCTGTCTTGGGAACTGACCCTATGTTTTACACCTCCCGGCTATTTTTTAGTCTGCAATATTACTGTCTGTTCCTTCGTTCCCGTGTCGGTGTGGAAGCGACGGTTCCCTCGTATCTCTGCCTGTGTCCTGCAAGCTCACCGCATTTTCGGGCGCTAGATACGCTCTTGGGGCCTTTGTGTGCGTTCTCTGTCTTATTTCCGGGCGACGTGCCGCGTGCGTTGTCGGACGTGAAGGGCAGTCCGGGAAAAACGGGTGCGGCCGCCTCCTGTGTCCTACAGGGGGCGCCAGACGCATTTCCACTCGGCTTGGAGGTGGATTTAGTGCCACGTGCCCGAAAGTCTTAAATTGGGTGACCTGAGCTGTGCAATGATAATGCGGCGATTTTGTAGTACGCAGTGTCTTGAAGAGAGAATTTTTAACTAGGAAAGTTTGTTGCAAAGTGTTTATAGGAAGCGTAAGACAAAGTAACGGAAGATGGTGTCTGTTGTTTCTAGTCTTGGGTGTTGTCTGTGTTGCAGCAGCCAACTGTTGCTTTGTAGTTTATTTCCCCGAATGGAAACGGTTTAGAAGTGGACGTGCATTCCCCACCCTTTTCCCGTCCCTCGTTTGGGTTGTTCCTTGAGGGGCAAAGTGCCTGTTGGGCTTTCTGTGAACCTCACCTAACCTGTGTTTTTTCACTCCCCTGCAGTTACCGGTATTGTAAGAACAAGCCGTACCCAAAGTCTCGCTTCTGCCGAGGTGTCCCTGGTAAGTAGTGGAAGAGCCCCTGCACTGGTTGGCTCTGCGGACTCCGCGTCCGTCTGTGACACCCCCTGCACACTTACCCAATCCTTTTAGATGCCAAGATTCGCATTTTTGACCTGGGGCGGAAAAAGGCAAAAGTGGATGAGTTTCCGCTTTGTGGCCACATGGTGTCAGATGAATATGAGCAGCTGTCCTCTGAAGGTAAGGCAGGATTCTTTGTTCGTCACCCCCCAGTCCTTCCTCCGTGCTCCCTCAACCCCACCCACATACACTGCACTGGAATTGGGAGTTGATGAAACATGAGCCTTACAAAACTCAGCCAACACAGTTCCCCTGAGCTGGAGATAGTCGTGGTGAATGTTTCTCTATTATCTTCTCTCACTTTGCTGCTTTTCTTCTCCCTACCTAGCCCTGGAGGCTGCCCGAATTTGTGCCAATAAGTACATGGTAAAAAGTTGTGGCAAAGATGGCTTCCATATCCGGGTGCGGCTCCACCCCTTCCACGTCATCCGCATCAACAAGATGTTGTCCTGTGCTGGGGCTGACAGGTGAGCTTGGTCTGGGCCTTTTAAGGCAGTTGGAGTCTCTACATTATTAGGCTTGCATTATTTTATCAGAGCATAGAGGTGGCCCCAGTGACTCAGCCACTATGGCTACTAGAAAAGCCAGGCTGGCAAGTGACTTTCAGTGGTCACTCAGGACCCCTTCCTGCAGATACAAACAAAGCATGAGTAAGTCTTAGCAAGCTCTTCCCCACAGGTTAGGGGAAACACTGGTGATGGGAGTAGCTCTTCTTGCTTTTAGCTGAATGACAACCATCTTGCCAGCAGGTAGCTGAAGCTGGCAGAGGAGCCCAGTGGCGCCTTTTCAGTGGTTCTTGGGATGCTCCGCAGCCAATTAAGCCGACTGAGTTCCTTTCCTCATGGGGACCCAGTGTGCGATGGCTGCACACAGCAGCTTCCTTGGTAGTGTACGCAGCCTGTTGGTTGTATGGGTTGCTCTAAGGGACCTTGGAGACAGGCCTTTCAGGTGGATGTTCATGTTTCTGACCTTGCACTACCCCAATGTAGGCTCCAAACAGGCATGCGAGGTGCCTTTGGAAAGCCCCAGGGCACTGTGGCCAGGGTTCACATTGGCCAAGTTATCATGTCCATCCGCACCAAGCTGCAGAACAAGGAGCATGTGATTGAGGCCCTGCGCAGGGCCAAGTTCAAGTTTCCTGGCCGCCAGAAGGTATGTAGTGCTGCAGCCCCCTTCTCCCACCTTTGCCCCAGGCCTCCTGACTCAGTTCTTTCCATTGCTCCTTAGATCCACATCTCAAAGAAGTGGGGCTTCACCAAGTTCAATGCTGATGAATTTGAAGACATGGTGGCTGAAAAGCGGCTCATCCCAGATGGCTGTGGGGTCAAGTACATCCCCAGTCGTGGCCCTCTGGACAAGTGGCGGGCCCTGCACTCATGAGGGCTTCCAATGTGCTGCCCCCCTCTTAATACTCACCAATAAATTCTACTTCCTGTCCACCTATGTCTTTGTATCTACATTCTTGACGGGGAAGGAACTTCCTCTGGGAACCTTTGGGTCATTGCCCTTTCACTTCAGAAACAGGTTGACAACTCAGCCCTGCTCATGAGGCAGCAAACCCTGCAAAGGGCTGGGACTGGTGGCCTTATGTCAGTTGTCTACTCTGGAGCTTGACTTGGACCTCCCCAGGTCCTAGGCAGTAGGTTGAAAAACACTGAAGTGCTTTTCATGAAGCACAGCTGCAGCAAAGCCTTGCAATCCCAGGCTGGGGTCAGCCTACAGTTGTGTTGCTTATTACAACACATGCGGACCAAGAGGGGCTTGTGGGCTAGAGGCTGACCAGCAGCGTTTATTTAGCAAGGGTAGGTGTGCATCACATTGGGCTTGTTCTCACCCATCTGGTTTGGCCATTCCTCCTTGGTGGGAATCATCCAGGTACTGCTGAGGTCACCTGCGATTTGCCCCATTTCCTATCTCTAGCAACCTCCTGGGCCCCATGCCCCCACCCCTTCTAGAACCTGCATTCCCAGGGCCTTCACCACCTGACCAAAGGTCTAGGCTAACCTTTGGTCATTTGTAACAAGACCTCGGAACAGACACGTGTGTGGCATGGTTTGGCCTGGGGATCTTAGATGTCTGACCTGAACTATTGTAGAACAGCGCTGGCTTTTGGGGGAGCAGCAAAAATGAGAGGAGTGCTAGGTGGGTGGCCTGAGCATCTGTATCCAGGGACAGGACTCCAAAGGCTTTTGGTCCCAGAGCTGGGGTATGTTGGCCCCAGCCCCCAGCCTGTGGCTCCCAAAAGGCCTCTGGTTTTTTGTAATCTCAGTTTACAGCCATTTCTTAGGTTTTTAATTACCTTTATTTTATTTTGCCAAACATACCTGGGAATACCTTTTATTTTTTTTTTACCTTGGGGTGATGGTTCCAAACCATAAATGTGATTATAGTTAACACATGACCCTTCTAGCGTCCCAGCCAGTGTTTTTCCTGACCTCTCTTCTTTGGAGAGGAGGATGGAAGGGAGGGGTCCGGCATGCTGCTGGCATTTTGCTGTGTCCTGCAGCCCCTTTCCGGGACACCTGGGTTCACACAGCTTTTTAGCTTACATAACTGGTGCAGATTTTCTGTGTGGAGATGTTGCCTTGACCAGCCTTGGCTGGACTTTACCAGGCATGCAGAAGCCTGTACCAACACAGACTACAGCACCCAGGAGGTGCGAGTGTGGCTGCTCAGCGGTTATAACAGGCCTGACTGCATTGTTCACCGGATTATAATGAGCCAAAATGTTTCCCGGTGTTTGCTGGTTTCAGGGAAGGAGTTTGATATAGCAGATTAACCACCCTCCTTGTAGCTATTGGGGCTTAATGGTTTCCTGGTGATTCTTACCAATCCACAATAAACATGGCCCATTGGCATATCTGCTGCACAAGTGTCCTATCTCACCAATCTGGGTTTTTGTTCTCAGTAACTTTCCTTCTTGTCATACAACATCTTCATTCCTCTTTCTGAACCCTCCCTTCCCCTACCCCAACCCAGAGCCCACTTTGTCTCCACTCCTGATACTACACTACCTGGCAGGTGGCATGAGTGCAGGGCCCCTGGCTTCCTCTCCTAATCTAGGCACAAGCCCAACCAAAGAACAAGAGCCAAATCAAACAAGGCAGGCAGGGGTGGACTACAGTCACAGGGCAACTATAGTTGAAGCCCCCCAGCCCCAGGGCTGGATGGACGGGGGAGGCTGGGGTTTAAGTCCCAAAAGGCAGCAGGCCCTGGGGGGGTAGGGGGACGCTCAGGCAGCAGGGCACAGCTGAGGGGACAGGAGTGATAGCAGCAACAGAACAGTGAGGCTGAGAGGCTGGACGCTGTGCGCCTGGCTCAGCTTCAGCTCCACCTCCACGGGGTAGTGGTCACTGATGTTGAGGGCCTGGGAATGGGTGGTGGGGCAGTGTCAGTGCCCGGGGCCGAGGGGCTTCCCTGTGACCCTGCTGCTGCCCTCCCTCCTCATGCCAGCCCCATCCCTTCACCTCCTCCTCGGTGAGCTGGAAGCTCGTGGGGAAGTCAAAGGCAGCCGCAGTGTGCAGCAGACTCCGGCAGCGCTCCCCGTGCAGCACGACGCGGTCATAGGTGCAGTGGGTGCTGGCCCGCACTGTGGTGTCCTCCCCATCGGCAATCACCCAGTGGAAGCCTGGCTCAGTCCGCAGCTCCAGCTTGTCCAGGCGCTTTTTGGTCAGTGAAGCGCAGTCAGCATTGAAGTCCCCAAGCAGGATCACGTCCTAGAGACACAGCAGCCATCAGGCTGGCCGCTGGGCCACCCTATCCTTGTCCCTCCTGTACAAACTGCCCAGGCCTACCTTGCTCTGCCAGTGCTGGGAGACCTCCAGAAACACATCGTAGAGGGCGTTCAGCTCCTTCTCTACGGCCTTAGGAGTGGTGTGCAGCGGGACCAACACCAGGCTGGGAAGGACTGCAAGGCCCAGGGACCGAGGGCTGCCATCCACTCCTGGACCTTCTCCCCCTAGCCCGTCTGGGTGAGGAAGCCCCCAGTGGAGCCAGCCAGAACTCCCCTTCTGCTCCCACATACCAAGCCCACCCTTCCCTTCCTACCATTGCTGGGCAAAGAGAACTGGGCCACAAATGGCTCCCGGGCAAAGACGTCATCCTCATCGTTGTACACGTAGGAACTCAGGACCTGTGTTTTGTGTGACCTGGGAGGACAAAGGGATGGGCAGCAGTGGCCCCACGTCTTTGATTTTGGCTTGCAAGTGCCAAACGGCGCTCAGGGAGGGGCCCTCCACTAACAGCGGCAATGTGGGCACAGCCCTCCCAACCTGTCTCTAGAACTTTCAAAAATCAGGCATAATTCATATGCCATAAAATTCACCTGCTTCAAGTATACAACACGGTTCTTTTGTACATTCATAAGGCTGTGCAACTATTTCTACAATCAATTTTAAAACATTGGTATCCATTACTCCTAATAAAAACATAACATCCATTACCAGTTACTCTCCATTCTCCCCTCCCCCCAGCCCCTGCAACCATTAATCTGTTCTCTATCTTGTACATTTGCCTATTCTGGATATTTCATATGAATGAAATCAGCTCATCAATGTTTTCTGCGTTCGTCCATATGCTGTGGCACGTCTGTGCTTCATTCCTCTTTCTGGCTGAATAATATTCCACGGACTGGGTATAGTACATTTTGACATTTGGACACTTTGATGTCATTCTTTTTTTTTTTTTTTTTTTTTTTGAGACATGGTCTCACTCTGTTGCTCAGGCTGCAGTGCACTGGCACAATCATAGCTCACTGCAGCCTTGAACTCTTGGGTTCAAGTGATCCTGCTGCTTCAGCCTCCCAAAGCGTTGGGATTACAGGCATGAGCCACTGTACCCTGCCTACCCAGTAATTTTGGAGCGCATACCAGATGTCATATCATTTTATTTATATAGAGAATCAGTTCTCCTTCCCTGCAGCCTCCCTTGCCCTCTGGATCCTGACTCCAAAGGGCTCCCTGCCAGCCTGTCCTCCCAGGGACTTAGAAGATCGGGTCTACCCAAGGCCCATAAGTGGTCCCCACGGAGCCTCTTCCCAGGAGCTGCAGCCCTTGCTGGCCACTTTCATAGAGGGGGCCAGCCACACCCTGAGCCCCAGCAGCTCCCACAGGAGAGAGGAGGAGGGACCCCACATTTGTGCTTATAGAAGGAAGGCCTCCTGCTCTATGGACACTCTGGCGGGGGTCGAGGATGGGAAGAGCCCAGAATAAAAGGTGTTGAGAAGAGAAAGCATGCAAAGCAGGTGAGGCTGTCCCAGGATGGGGGGCCTGTGGCCCCGGGGACTAATGAGCCTACCTCACATTAGGGCCAAGGACCGCCCCCCACCCTGCTGCGCTGCCAGCTCCGTGCTCACCGATAGAAGTACACATACGTCTCCATGTAGGTGCTGCGCCCCAGCTGGGGGCTGCTCAGGGTGCTGTAGGGCCCAGAGCCATCAAATCTGCCAAGAAAAGGGGAGGCGGGGTCAGGGCCTCAAGCCTCTGGGTGTGCCCCTGATTAGACCCACAGAATCTTCCTCACCGATTGAGTTCTCGAAGCAGGAGCGGGATGGCGCTGCCGGAAGAGTCCACCACCTCCTGCAGCACCATGATGTCACAGCGAGCCAGTATCTGTGGGACATCAGGAAGGCCAGCCTGACTCAGTGCCAACTGCCCTGAGAGGAGGCAGTGGGCCCAGGGGACTGGCACTGTTGTGGCCCAGAGTGTTAAGGCTCACTGACTGCAGCCCACAGAAAGCAGTGGGACTGGAAATGCCCCAGGAAAAGACTCATCCCACCCACATGTCACCTGTTTCACAGAGGAGGAGACTGAGGCCAGCAGCAGGCAAGCGCCTGCGCTGCATCTCCGTGCCACACCTCTTCTTCTCCCCTCTTCTCTAGAACATACCCCTGGTCAGGCAGGGATGGGGGCTTTGGCTCATGGTGGTTAGGGGCACGGCTTCCCTGAAGTGATGAACTTACCCGAACTAAGGTGTCCATCACCTGCTCCCTGGCCACCTTGGCCAGTGTCAGCCGCTGGGCATTGAAGGCGCAGATGCGAAAGGCCTGGGCCCCATTGGCCAGGATGAGGAAGAGGAGTGCAGTTGGGTAGTGCATGGCTGTGTGTGGCTGCCGGGGACACCCCAGGAATCCAGGCTGCCCCAGGGTGCGCTCTCACTGGGCTCAGTTCTGGCTCTGGAAGCGCTGAAATATGGAACAGAGAAAGTGGCACTAGCTGCTGCCCAGCACCAGCCTCCCAGTGACCTCCCGAGATCATACCACTGCACTCCAGCCTGGGTGACAGAGTGAGACTCTGTCTCCAAAAAAAAAAATTGTTTTTGAGACAGAGTCTTGCTCTGTGAAGATCAAGCCAAGATCGCACCACTGCACTCCAGCCTGGGCGACAATAAGACTCCGTCTCAAAAAAAAGTGAAATCCTACAGTATTTGTCTTTTTGTGACTGGCTCATTTCACTGAGCAAAATGTCCTCAAGGGTCATTCATGTTGGAGCATATGTCAGAATTTTTTTTTTTTTTTTGAGACGGAGTCTCACTCTGTCGCCCAGGCTGGAGTGCAGTGGCGCAAACGCGGCTCACTGCAAGCTCCGCCTCCTGGGTTCACGCCATTCTCCTGCCTCAGCCTCCCGAGTAGCTGGGACTACAGGTGCCTGCCACACGCCCGGCTAATTTTTTGTATTTTTAGTAGAGATGGGGTTTCACCATGTTAGCCAGAATGGTCTTGATCTCCTGACCTCGTGATCTGCCCGCCTCGGCCTCCCAAAATGCTGGGATTACAGGCGTGAGCCACCGCACCCGGCTGTAGAATTTCTTTCCTTTTCATGGCTGAATCATATTCCATTGTCTGGGCATCTGGGTAGACCACATTTTGTTCATTCATTCATTCATCCATCCATCTGGTTTTTTTTTTTTTTTTTTGAGACGGAGTTTCGCTCTTGCTGCCCGGGCTGGAGTGCAATGGTGCGATCTCGGCTTACTGCAACCTCTGCCTCCCAGGTTCAAGCGATTCTCCTGCCTCAGCCTCCCAAATAGCTGGGACTACAGGCACGCTCCACCACGCCCAGCTAATTTTGTATTTTTAGTAGAGATGGGGTTTCTTCATGTTGGTCAGGCTGGTCTCGAACTCCTGACCTCAGGTGAACTGCCCACCTTGGCCTCCCAAAGTGCTGGGATTACAGGTGTGAGCCACCGTGTCCTTTTTTTTTTTTTTTTTTTTTTTTAAATAGAGACAAGGTCTCACTATGTTGCCCAGGCTGGTCTTGAACTCCTGGGCTCAAGCAATTCTCCTGCCTCAGCCTGCTAAAGTGCTGGGATTGCAGGAATGAGCCCTGGTGCCCCAGCCTCATGCATCTCTTGACCTCGTGATCTGCCCGCCTCGGCCTCTCAAAGTGCTGGGATTACAGGCGTGAGCCAGAGCGCCCAGCCCCTGCTTTCAGTTCTTTTGGGTATATACCCAGAAGTGGAATTGCTGGATCATATGGTAGTTCTAGTTTTAATTTTCTGAGGAAGTGTCATATTGGTCTCCATGGTGACTGCACCATTTTACGTTCTCGCCAACAGTGCACAAGCGGTCAAGCTTATTCTTTTATTGTTTATTTATTTGGGACAAAGTCTTGCTCTGTCGCCCAGACTGGAGTGCAATGGTGCCATCACAGCTCACTGCAGCCTCCTGAATTCTATGTTTCCCAGGCTGGTCTCAAACTGCTGGACTCAAGTGATCTTCCTACCTCAGCCTCCCAAAGTGCTGGGATTTTTTTTTTTTTTTTTTTTTTTTTTTTTTTTTTTTTTGAGACAGAGTCTCACTCTGTCGCCCAGACTGGAGAGCAGTGGCGTGATCTCGGCTTACTGCAACCTCAGCCTCCTGGGTTCAAGCAACTC
The DNA here is from genome assembly GCF_000001405.40 of Homo sapiens. Classification (NCBI taxonomy): domain Eukaryota; kingdom Metazoa; phylum Chordata; class Mammalia; order Primates; family Hominidae; genus Homo; species Homo sapiens. The sequence continues at coordinate 154,407,347 of NC_000023.11, forward strand.
CCTGCCTCAGCCTCCCGAGTAGCTGGGATTACAGGCACCCACCACCACGCCCAGCTAATTTTTATATTTTTTAGTAGAGACAGGGTTTCACCATCTTGGCCAGGATGGTCTCGAACTCCTGACTTCAGGTGATCAGCCGGCCTTGGCCTCCCAAAGTGCTGGGATTACAGGTGTGAGCCACTGCGCCCAGCCAGTGCTGGGATATTATAGGCCTGACCCACTGCGCCTGGCCTAGTCTACCTTTTTTTTTTTTTTTTTTTTTTTTTTTGAGATGGAGTCTTGCTCTGTCACCAGGCTGGAGTGCAGTGGCGTGATCTTGGCTCACTGCAACCTCTGCCTTCCGGGTTCAAGTGATTCTCCTGCCTCAGCCTCCTGAGTAGTTGGGGCTACAGGCGTGAGCCACCGCGCCCGGCCCCCCCCCTTTTTTTTTTTTTTTTTTTTGATAGTCTCATTCTGTTGCTCAGGCTGGAGGGCAGTAATGTGATCTCAGCTCACTGCAACCTCCACCTTCCAGGCTCAAGTGATGCTCTCACCTCAGCCTTCCGAGTAGATGGGACTACAGGTGCATGCTGCCACACCAAGCTAATTTTTTTTTTCTTTTTTTGAGATGGAGTCTCACTCTGTCTCCCAGGCTGGAGTGCAGTGGCTTGATCTCAGTTCACTGCAACCTCCGTCTCCCAGGCTCAAGAGATTATCCTGCCTCAGCCTCCCAAGTAGCTAGGATTACAGGCACGTGCCACCACACCCGGCTAATTTTTGTACTTTTAGTAGAGACAGGGTTTCACCATGTTGGCCAGGCTGGTCTCAAACTCCTGACCTCAAGTAATCCTCCCACCTCAGCCTCCCAAAGTGCTGGAATTACAGGTGTGAGCCACCGCGCCCGGCTACCAAGCTAATTTTTAAAATTTGTTTGGAGAGATGGGGTTTCACCATGTTGTTCCAAGACCCCAGTGCTTTTCGCCTCCATTAGCAACTACAGGAACATCTTCGTTCATCTCTGTCTCCCCACTTGTGAGATGTTCTCTTTAAGATAAACTCCCGGCAGTGAAGGGTGTGTGCATTTTAAAAGGTCTCAGATATGGCCAAATCATCCCCATTGCAACCTGTGATGGGGACTCTTTCCCATGCCCCTGCCACCACTGGGGAGCCCTTCTTGTTCATCTCACCAGCTGGAGCCCCCCTCTCTCAGTTTATCTTTGTCTCACACTCACCTGACCTTGCAGGGCTCGGCTCCTTGCTCCACGCCCTGTCCATGTGGCTTTTGCATCCTGAGGCATGAGTTCCTCTGCTCTGTCTGCCTGCTTTTCTCTATCAACCTGTCACCTTCCCTTCGGGCTCACTTCCTACCTCTCTGAGGCTCTGTCCGTCTCTGTCTCACTTTCCCTCTCGTCTCTGGTTTCCCTTCTCTGTCTCTCTGTTGCGGTGTCTCTCTCCTGGCTGGGTTTGATGTCTGTTTCTCCCTGACCACCTGCTCTGTCACTCATGCTAGTTTGGGTTCCCTACCCTGGTGCCTATTCTGGGATATACATGGGTATGTGGGCAGCCCTGGGCTGGCACATGCAGCCTTGGAGGCTCTGGCGTCAGGGACCCCCATGAGGGCTACCAGTAAGAACCAGAGAGAGCGACGGTTCCTGGCTTCAGCCCCAAACCCTGGCTGTCAATATCAGCCTTGGTGGGAGCCCTAGGCTTCCCTCTCCCTCTCAAACCCTCCCCAGGCAGAAGGCAACTTCCTCCCTTCTTCCGTCTCCCCAGGGGGCTCCCATACCTGCTCAGACCAGCTTGTCACCAAGTCTGCCTCATCCTTAAGTGGATCGCGATACCCCAGAAGAGCAGCTCCTGCCTGAATAGGGCTAGGAGGGGAAAAAAAAGAGGAAGAGGCTGTGTTCCTGAGCCACCCGGCCAGGAAGGGCCTGGCTGGGCCGGACGCCCCACCCTTGCCAACAGGCAGGCCCGCCCCGTCTCCGCCTCGCCGCCAACAAGGAGGACCAGCACCAGGCCTGGGAACTGCTGACCTGCCCGCCCACCTTCCCACCCAGACCCCGCCTTCCCGGGCCAGCGGGACATGACAGACCTGTGAGTCACTCAAGCCTGGGGCAAGGAGGGGCTGGTGCCTGAGTGAGACCCCGAGCTTCGCTCGCCAGGCCCGTCGCTCAGCTCCCGGTCTGGGTCCCCAGTCAGCAGTTGCTGGGGAAGGCGCAGGAGCTGGAAGTCATGCCTGATGCCACGAGACCGGGCACCCCAAGGGCGTGAGTCTTCTGTCCCTGTTGTTGGGTTCTGAGTCCCAGTGTGGCTGCACACTTCTGAGTTAGGGGTGTTTGATGCAAGCGCTCTGGAGACCCAAAGAGAGGGACAGTCCACACATGATCTGGCCACAGTCGTGAAGTCAAGGGAGGACTGAGGATCTGCCCCAGAGAGGAGGAGACCCAGGGAGCTGGCAGTCCAACGTCCTGGGGGTCCTGCAGTAATGCTGTTGGGACAAATGAGGTGCTCGGACAGGGTCTGTGAGCAGGAGGTGGGGCTGAATCCACTCAGCTTCTCATGGGATGGCTGTAGCTAATGGATTCGACGTGGTAATAGAAGGCTGGACAAATTTTAAAAAATCAATAAATTATGGGCTGGGCGTGGTGGCTCATGCCTGTAATCCCAGCACTTTGGGAGGCTGAGGCGGGTGGATACGAGGTCAGGCGTTCAAGACCAGCCTGGCCAACATAATGAAACCCGTTTCTACTAAAAATACAAAAAATTAGCCCGGCGTGGTGGTGGGCGCCTGTAATCCCAGCTACTCAGGAGGCTGAGGCAGGAGAATTGCTTGAGCCTGGAAGGCGGAGCTTGCAGTGAGCCGAGATCACACCACTGCACTCGCACTCCAGCCCGGGCGACAGTGCGAGACTCCATCTCAAAAAAAAAAATCAATAAATTATGGTTTAAAAATAAAAAACAGGCCAGGTAGGATGACTCACACTTTGGGAGGAGAGGCAGACAGATCACCTGAGGCCGGGAGTTCGAGACCAGCTTGACCAACATGAAGAAACCCAGCCTCTACTAAAAATACAAAAATTAGCCAGGTGTGGTGGCTTGCGCCTGTAATCCCAGCTACTCAGGAGGCTGAGACAGAAGAATCGCTTGAACCTGGGAGGCAGAGGTTGCAATGAGCTGAGATCTCGTCACTGCACTCCAGCCTGGGCAACAGAGCAAGACTCTGTCTCAAAAATAAAAATAAATAAAAATAAAAATAAAAAACTGCCGGGTGCGGTGGCCCATGCCTGTAATCCTAGCACTTTGGGAGGCTGAGGTGGGTGGACTGCCTGAGCTCAGGAGTTCGAGACCAACCTGGGCAACATGGTGAAACCCCATCTCTACTAAAATACAAAAAAAAAAAAAAATTAGCCGGGCGTGGCGACCTGCGCCTGTAGTCCCAGCTACTCAGGAGGCTGAGGCAGGAGAATAGCTTGAACCCGGGAGGCGGAGGTTGCAGTGAGCCGAGATTGTGCCACTGCACTCCAGTCTGGCGACAGAGCGAGACTCCTAAAAAAATAATAATAAATAAATAAATATAAAATAAAAATAAAAAACTGGCTGCTTAATGCATAGGGGGCTTTCTTTCCGGGTCATGAATATGTTTCAGAACTAGAGGTAGTAGCTGACATTGTGACTGTATCAGATGGTATAAAATACTGTTTCTTGTATTACATATGATACACAATATGTTTGTATATATTGCTGTATATATTGTATATTTTGCCATACAGTAGATTATACATTGCTACATACACATAGTATCATGTAGTACTGTAACTATGTCAAATTGTATATGTGGCTGGGCGGGGTGGCTCACGGCTGTCATCCCAACACTTTGGGAGGCCGAGGCGGGTGGATCAGAGTGTGATGGCGGGCGCCTGTGGTCCCAGCTACTCGGGAGGCTGAGGCAGGAGAATCGCTTGAGTCTGGGAGATCGAGGCTGCAGTGAGCCATGATCCCATCACTGCACTCCAGCCTGGGTCTGGCTGGACCCTGTGTCAAACAAAAAACAGAAACACTAGAGAGACAAAAGGCGAGCGCAGGAGGCTGCCAGGAAGCGGGAGCCCCACGGGGTGACGGCCACTTCCCGCCGCCCCGGGGCTGGCCTCGCTGCCGTCAAGCGGCCCGTGCGCGCTTTGCGACAGTCGGTCGGGCTGGGCACCGGCGCAGGTTCGCTTTCCGGCGGTTGCACCGGGCCGGGGTGCCAGCGCCCGCCTTCCCGTTTCCTCCCGTTCCGCAGCGCGCCCACGGCCTGTGACCCCGGCGACCGCTCCCCAGTGACGAGAGAGCGGGGCCGGGCGCTGCTCCGGCCTGACCTGCGAAGGGACCTCGGTCCAGTCCCCTGTTGCGCCGCGCCCCCGTCCGTCCGTGCGCGGGCCAGTCAGGGGCCAGTGTCTCGAGCGGTCGAGGTCGCAGACCTAGAGGCGCCCCACAGGCCGGCCCGGGGCGCTGGGAGCGCCGGCCGCGGGCCGGGTGGGGATGCCTCTGCACGTGAAGTGGCCGTTCCCCGCGGTGCCGCCGCTCACCTGGACCCTGGCCAGCAGCGTCGTCATGGGCTTGGTGGGCACCTACAGCTGCTTCTGGACCAGTGAGTGGGCCCAGGCCGAGGCAGGCCCGCCCGGGTACCCATGCCCGGCCGGAGGTGGGACTTAGGGTGGGGGACGCCGCGGCCCCGACCTAGCGGGCGAGCCCGGAGCGCCTGACTTCTCCTTCCCCGCCAGAGTACATGAACCACCTGACCGTGCACAACAGGGAGGTGCTGTACGAGCTCATCGAGAAGCGAGGCCCGGCCACGCCCCTCATCACCGTGTCCAATCACCAGTCCTGCATGGACGACCCTCATCTCTGGGGTACCCGGGCCAGTGTGCTGGGCAGGGGGAGGAAAGGCGAGGATTCGGGACGGGCCCAGCCTCGTCAGAACAAACCCCTTCTCGCTGCCTTTTCATGGAGCCCTGGCACTCCGGTTTCCGGGCGTTCTGCCCCAGGGCTGAGACTTGGATTTGTGGCTCCTGCAGCATCCCTGAGGGAGCATGATTTGGAGAGGGCCTTGGGCATGGAGCAGGACCAAGGAACGGCCACAGGGCATATCTTACAGCTCCTTTAACGTCAGGCCTCCAGAACCCTCTGTTCTCTAAACCATCCAGGGCCCCACAGTCTTGGGAAAAATTTGGGGGTTGGACATAGGATATCCTGTGAGGAAGTTCTGGGCCAGGGACTGGAAGCCCAGTGTCCTGGCTTCAGGTTTGCCCCTGGCTGGGCGTGTACCGTTCAGCCCTATTTGGGAGCCTGGTTGCCACACCTAGAGGTTCCTGCTCTGCTGACTTCACAGGAAGTTGCTTGGCTCTGGTAACCAGATGGCCGGGTGGAGGGGTGCCTGGGGCTTCCACTCCTGAACAGAGAGCTTAACTGTCCTAGAGTTCATGGGGAGCCACCTAGCCACACTGGAGCCCTTCAGAGCTCACCCTGGCTGCTGGGTGGAGAAAGGCCTATAGATGTCACAGGTGGATCCTGGGAGGCCAGGAAGGAGGACTTGGAGCCATCCACTAGCCTAGACTGGGCTGGTTGCAGTGACAGTACAGGGAGAAGTATAGAAGAATGGGCATTGTCCAAGTATGTTGGGGAGGTAGGCAGTCCAGGTGCAGTGATTAGTAAGATGTGGAGGGTGGGGGAGAGGGAGGAGCCAGGGAGAACTGAATGATCTGGCCTAAGGGTCTGAAAGATGCCACTTTGGGCTGTAGGGAAATGGTAGTGCTGCTGTCCCTCATTCCCTGAGATGGGGTGAAGGAAGGGCACTCCCTGGGGATATGGGAAGTTGGGGCATGAAGCCTTTCCTGTCCTCTAGGGATCCTGAAACTCCGCCACATCTGGAACCTGAAGTTGATGCGTTGGTGAGGAGGAATGGGCCCCTCGAAGTGGGCCGGGCCGGCCCCACCTGCCTCTGCCCAGATTTGCCCTCCTCCTGCTCTGCCCAGGAGGTGGCGTCCAGCAGTCCAGGCAGGGCATGGGGTGGGGCCCCGCAGGCCCTCCCCTGTGCCTCCCTTCTGCATGCTGATGCTGGGGGCAGGGTGGTGGAGCGGGGTGCAGGGGGCAGGACTAATTGCATCTGTCCCTGCTTAGGACCCCTGCAGCTGCAGACATCTGCTTCACCAAGGAGCTACACTCCCACTTCTTCAGCTTGGGCAAGTGTGTGCCTGTGTGCCGAGGTGAGCTGCTCCTCCAGCGAGTGCAGGGAGGCACTTCTGGGGCAGGAAAGCTGGTGGCCAGTGTCTCTGTTTTGGAGGGACCTATGGGGGTAGGCATCCCGGGAGCCAACATGAGGCCCAGCTCCATCACATGCCAGCAGAGGGGACAGAGGCTGTGGGAGGAGGGATGGGTCCTTGGAAAGTCCTCAACTCTCTGCAACTGCCCAGGGATCCTGTGGACCTGGAGCCTTGGCATTAGAATTCAAGGAGGCATTATCCATAACCCCTTCTCTCAGGGATGTCACTAAGAGACTCATTGAGAACAGTGCGTTGTCATTGGTCCATGGTGGCAGTAGCATGTACCTGCAGGCCAGAGGGTTTTGCTTCTAGGAGAACAAACAGGCTTGTGGGGTGAGAACCCCAGGGGATAGGGGCCATTTTGATCCCTATTCTCCAGACAGGGAGGATCACAGAGATTAAGCTGCTGGCCCAAGGTCATGGGGTAGGAGGTGGCAAAGCCAGGATTTGAATCCAGATTGCTCCTTCCTCTGCAGGAGCAGAATTTTTCCAAGCAGAGAATGAGGGGAAAGGTGTTCTAGACACAGGCAGGCACATGCCAGGTGCTGGAAAAAGAAGAGAGAAAGGTAAGCCAGGCATAGCGGTTCACACTTGTCATCCCAGCACTTTGTGAGGTCGAGGTGAGAGGATCACTCAAGCCCAGGAGTTTGAGACCAGCCTGGGCAACATAGTAAGACCCTGTCTCTTTAAAAATAAAAATATTTTAAACAAAAGAAAGGTAGAAAATATGAGTTGTATGTAGAATATGAAGGTTCTAGAATAATCCTATTAAGAATTTTGGATTCTGGCTGGGCGCGGTGGCTCACGCCTGTAATCCCAGCACTTTGGGAGGCTGAGGCCAGCGGATCACGAGGTCAGGAGATCGAGACCATCCTGGCTAACACGGTGAAACCCCGTCTCTACTAAAAATACAAAAAATTAGCTGGGCATGGTAGTGGGCGCCTGTAGTCCCAGCTACTCGGGAGGCTGAGGCAGGAGAATGGCGTGAACCCGGAAGGTGGAGCTTGCAGTGAGCCAAGATCACGCCACTGCACTCCAGCCTGGGTGACAGAGTGAGACTCCGTCTCAAAAAAAAAAAAAAAAGTGCCGGCCACGGTGGCTCATGCCTGTAATCCCAGCACTCTGGGAGGCCGAGGCGGGCGGATCACGAGGTCAGGAATTCGAGACCAGCCTAACCAACATGGTGAAACCCCGTCTCTACTAAAAATACAAAAATTAGCCGGGCGTGGTGGTGTGTGCCTGTAATCTCAGCTACTTGGGAGACTGAGACGGGAGCATTGCTTGAACCCGGGAGGTGGAGGTTGTGGTGAGCTGAGATCCTGCCATTGCACTCCAGCCTGGGCAATAAGAGCGAAACTCCGTCTGGAAAAAAAAAAAAAAAAAAAGAATTTTGAATTAGCTGGCTGCATTGGTGCATGCCTACAGTCCCAGCTCCTCAGGAGGCTGAGGTGGGAGGATCACTTGAGCCCTCGATTTTCTTTTTCCTTGAGACAATGTCTGTTTCTGTTGTCCAGGCTGGAGTGCCGTGGCGTGATGATGGCTCACTGCAGCTTCTGTTTCCTGGGTTCAAGGGATCCTGTCACCTCAGCCTCCTGAGCAGCTGGGACTAAGGAGTGTGCCCAGCTAATTCTTTTTTTTTTTTGGTAGAGTTGGGGTCTTACTACATTGCCAGGGCTGGTCTTGAACTCCTAGACTCAAGCGATCCTCCCGCCTCAGCCTCTCAAAGTGCTGGGATCACAGGCATGAGCCATTGTGCCCAACCCAGCCCAGGAATTTGAGGCCAGCCTGAGCAATATAGTGAGACCCCAGGTATAGATAGATAGGTAGATAGATAGGTAGGTAGGTAGGTAGATAGATAGATAGGTAGGTGGGTAGGTAGGTGGGTAGATAGGTAGGTAGGTACGTAGGTAGATAGATAGATAGATACATACATACATAGATAGATAAGATAGATAGATTGATTAGATAGATTAGATAGCCAGGTGGGGTGGCTCACGCCTGTAATCCCAGTGCTTTGGGAGGCTGAGGTGGGTGGATCACCTGAGGTCAGGAGTTTGAGACCAGCCTGGCTAATGTGGCGAAACCCTGTCTACTAAAAATACAAAAATTAGCTGGATGTGGTGGCGCACGCCTGTAATCTCAGCTACTCGGGAGGCTGGGGTGGGAGAATCGCTTGAACCCAGGAGGTGGAGGTTGCAGTGAGCTGAGATCATGCCACTGCACTCCAGCCTGGGCCACAGAGGGAGACCTGGTCTCAAAAAAAAAAAAAAAAAAAAAAAAGATTTTTGTATTTGACTGTGCTCTCTCATCCAGGTGGTGACATGCTTGTATCTGTGGTTAAGAGGTAGCATCTGCCAGGCGCGGTGGCTCATGCCTGTAATCCCAGTACTTTGCGAGGCCGAGGCGGGTGGTTCACCTGAGGTCAGGAGTTTGAGACCAGCCTGACCAACATGGCGAAACCCCGTCTCTACTAAAAATATAAAAATTAGCCGAGGCTGGGCGCGGTGGCTCACGCCTGTAATCCCAGCACTTTGGGAGGCCGAGGCGGGTGGATCACGAGGTCAGGAGATCGAGACCATCCTGGCTAACAGGATGAAACCCCGTCTCTACTAAAAACACAAAATTAGCTGGGCATGGTGGCAGGTGCCTGTAGTCCCAGCTACTCGGGAGGCTGAGGCAGGAGAATGGCACAAACCCGGGAGGCGGAGCTTGAGGCAGGAGAATGGCGTGAACCCGGGAGGCAGAGCTTGCTATGAGCAGAGATCGCGCCACTGCACTCCAGCCTGGGTGACAGAGCGAGACTCCGTCTCAAAAAAAAAAAAAAGAGAGAGATACCATTCCAGTTGCAATGTGGCTGCAGCAGGGCTAGGTGGACATGAGGAGCCCAGTTCAGGGCTGTCACAGTAGCTCCAGCAGCAGATGATTGTGGCTGGGCCTCCCAAGTGTCACGTTGGAGAACCGGAGAAGGGGACTTCTTTGGGATGTACTCTGGACTTGTTGATAGATTAAGTGTAGGTGGGGTGAGGAAGAGAACTCAAAGATGACACCAGGTGTTGGAGCTGAGCCACGGGGAGAAGGGTGCAAAGGGAAAGCAGTGCGGGGGCTGGGAGGGGAGAGGGTCAGTCCTGTTTTGCTTGTGCTGCATCTGAGGAGCCCCTCACCTGTGGAAGGAGAGCAGTCCCAGAGGCAGTGGGGTGTGCAGTTCTGGAACTTAGAAGAATGATCAGGGGGCTGGGTGCAGTGGCTCACGCCTGTAATCCCAGCACTTTGGGAGGCCGAGGCGGGCGGATCAAGAGGTCAGGAGATTGAGACCATCCTGGCTAACATGGTGAAACCCCGTCTCTACTAAAAATATAAAAAATTAGCAGCGCATGGTGGCAGGCACCTGTAGTCCCAGCTATTCAGGAGGCTGAGGCAGGAGAGTGGCGTGAACCCGGGAGACGGAGCTTGCAGTGAGCTGAGATTGCGCCACTGCACTCCAGCCTGGGCGACAGAGCGAGACTCCGTCTCAAAAAAAAAAAAAACAAAAAATTATCAGGAATAAAGATACTGGGAATTCAACCACAAAAACCACAAAGTCACGAATGCAGAGTGAGAGTCTTCAGAGAGAGGGCAGAGGCCCAGGATGGCACAGAGGGAGAGAGAAGCCACCAAGATGGCAGGGAGCCATGGCCAGAGAGAAAAGCAAACCAGGCGCCTGTGGCACCATGGAAGCAGCAGGTGATGCTGGAGAAGCGTTTCCATGCAGTGACAGCTGCCAGAGCCAGATTATTATGGCCTGAGGGCTGGTGGTGCTGCAGTTGGGGGGGAATGGAGACCGCAGCGGGGGAATGGAGACCGCAGGGGCGGCAACTCCTCCCAGAGGTTCAGTTTGGAGGAAAAAGAGACAGAAGGAAGGGTAACCAAAGGATATTAGAGGTCAAGGAGGGGTTTATTATTTCTAGCTGGTCAAAGTAGAATGTGGTAAAACCCAATAAAGTAACAGCAAATAACAAAGAGGGGCTTTTAATGGAAAGCTGCAGTGCCTGCCCCTCACCTCCCTAGCCCCACTCCTCAGAAGCAGCCCCCTGGAGCGGTTTCTCTTTCTGCTGCTTTTGGAGGCTACTTCTGTCTCTGTAAAGGAACTTCTGTCTCTGTAAAGGAACAAGCAGAGGCCACAGTGTCTTGGCAAATGACCGTGGCATTGTTTATCCCAACCTGCTCTGAGAGATGGGGACTCTGCTGATTCACCCCTCGTCCCTGCCTCTTTAGTTCCTTCAGCAAAGAACTAATAATATGTCATTAAGGCAAAGGCAGTATTTGGCACACTTGGCTTCTGTGTTCCAAAAAATTCCCTTTTTCTCCAAGCGTAGATTTTAATATGGTATTTAAGTATCAAAGTGATTTGACACAAGTGACACAAGTGAGCAGTAGTAGCATTTGCAAAAGCTACAAATGATGAAGTCTTGCTCCAAAAGCATATTATTATTATTTTTTAAATTCCAGTTTCAAGCTCAATGGATAGGTTGCGTCAGTGGGTTTTAGTAGAGAAGGGGCCAGTACCTATGAAGACTCCCCTGTACTATTACACATGCTGCGTCCCAAGTAGGGAAACTCCAGTGGGTCATCACCCCCTCCCTCTAGCCCAAGTGGGCTGCTGGGTCAGGGCACTGTTTGGGTTGGGTTGAGATTCCTGGATCCCTAACTAGCACCTTCCAAAGAATCGGCCTTGCAGAGAACAAAGTTCATTGCCAAAGGTATTCCCAATGTCTGTCTCTCGCTCTGTGATAGGGCTTCTTTACTCCCCACTTTATAAGATGAGGATATCTGCTATACCCCATTCCTTCAACCTCTCCACCTCTTTCCTCTTTTGTCTGCCATGTGATTACTTTTCCATCACCAAGGTTGATGAGATCCTTACTGTGTACTTACTGTCTCCAAGCATCCCCAGGCTTCCAGCCAGCACGCAGCAGCCAACATTGGCTTCAGAAGGAAGGAGGTTTGCATTTCCTTCTCTTGGGTCCAGTGCCATGGTCTCAGGGTTATCTCCAATGTGGAAAGTTGCTAGACCAGGAGCAGTTTGACTCCACTGTTTTTCAGTCTAGCAAGTTTGAGTTTTTCCCAAGCTCTTGATGTGTGTTCAAATGAATGTTCTCCCTTTCCCAAGAGACCTCCCTATAAGGGAGGGTCTAGTTTCCCGGGGTGCCCTGAGAAGAAGGGGTCAGCAGGGGGGAGGAATGGTGGAGGCTGAGGCCTCAGGCAGGTGCCCTGTGAGGAGTGGCTGTGACAAGCGGCTGAGATCCCAGCAAAGGGTTGTTGCCCAGAATCTGGGGCCTAAGCGAGGTTGGAAATCACAAATGCACTTGGTTTCTCTAGCAGCTGGCACATAGTAGGATCAGCCCAGGAGTGGCACCTTCAAAGAGAAAGGAACGCATGAGGCTCCGAGAGCGGTCGGCTGGCAGCCAGGGCCTGGCTGGGGAGGGAGGGCAGGTGGTGCGCTGACCTGGGGATCTTTGAGAGTGTGCAGGAGTATGTGGCTGAAGCGGCCCAGCTGGTGAGCCACTGAAGATGGGGGTCATAGGTAGATGGAGGAATTGCCAGGTCAGAATCTCGGTAGGAGATGACTTGAGCTGATGCTGCCTGGCACATAGGGGTTTAGAAGATATTAGGAAGGAAGCCCCACAGCGTGCCCAAGTGCCATGCAGGCCCTGGAGACGGTCATTGGAGGGCGTCTGTGGATGGCGCAGTGGGGGATGGGAAGTCCCTAATCTGCTGGGGCTTTCCCAGCAAGCAGGGACTGAGGGGGATAGTCCCCAACACATGGGCCCCAGGGAGAAGGGCCTGTTTCATTGAGGTTTGGAGAGTGTTGAGGGTAAGCTAACCTGTCACCCCACGCCCCCGAGAATGGTTACTGATAGGGAGAGGCCTTTTCCTTGCAGGAGATGGCGTCTACCAGAAGGGGATGGACTTCATTTTGGAGAAGCTCAACCATGGGGACTGGGTGCATATCTTCCCAGAAGGTCAGCAGGGCTGACTGGGTCGAGCCCCCCCAGTATGAGCGGGATGGGCTCCCAAGCCTCGCCTCTGTGCTCTCTCACCAGGGAAAGTGAACATGAGTTCCGAATTCCTGCGTTTCAAGTGGGGTAAGGGCTGCTGGTCTCTGGCCACAGCCATCCTCCCGGCCCAGAGATGGCCCTGTGGGCCCCTGGCTCCCGCCCCCTCGGGCTGGCTTGTATGGGGGTAGATGGGCGTGTTTGTAGCGCCAGGAAGGGGACAGGTGCTGAGACTAGGCCTGCCTCTCGCAGGGGCTTGCCCAAGGGAGCTGAATTGAACTGGAGGATGTCGGGGGTGGCAGTGGCCAGAGGCTGGCACAGAAGCTTGGCTCAGGGCCCAGCTTATGCTAACATTTCTACCTCCCCCCTGGGCAGGAATCGGGCGCCTGATTGCTGAGTGTCATCTCAACCCCATCATCCTGCCCCTGTGGCATGTCGGTGAGCCTGGGGACGGGGACAGAGAGATGGCATCTGGGGTGGGGGGCCTGGGACTCCCTCTGGTCCCAGGCTGCCCTGCTCCACCCCACGTCTGGCCTTCTGTCCACTGTGCTGCAGGAATGAATGACGTCCTTCCTAACAGTCCGCCCTACTTCCCCCGCTTTGGACAGGTGGGTGGGGACTGCTGACCTTCGGCTGTCTGCCTGTCTGCTGTCTGCTCCGTGTCTCCCACTCAGCACTATGGAGGCCAGCTGCAGGAGGAGCTGAGCATGAGGCTACAGCAGGGGACAGAGTGGAACATAGACAGGGACTTCCTGGCACCGAGACATTAAAATGAGAGCAGAGGAAGTCAGGCTGGGGCAGAGGTGGGCTGTGGGGTCAGGACAGGACAGGTCATCTACAGCACAGGACCCAGGACCAGGACCTTGTTTTAGAGGAAGAGTGGCCCCTGGGGAGTGTGTGGCACAGCAGGGCCGGGGCTTAGCTTCTGGCTCCCGGGTTGCTTGGGCTGGGGCTGTGGGCACTCCTACTGCTCCTCATCACTCTTGGCGGCCACCCCACAGAAAATCACTGTGCTGATCGGGAAGCCCTTCAGTGCCCTGCCTGTACTCGAGCGGCTCCGGGCGGAGAACAAGTCGGCTGTGAGTTTCCTCCTGGGTCCCCCGTAGCTGTCCCCGGACCCCCTGCTGCTGGCTTCCAGCAGGGTGCCTCCACCCTCTCCATCCCGTCACCCTCCCAGGGCACCCTCCCAGGGCACCTTGGCCAAGCTTCCCGAGGGGTGCAGGCCATCCCTGGTCCTTTCCCTCAGGTGGAGATGCGGAAAGCCCTGACGGACTTCATTCAAGAGGAATTCCAGCATCTGAAGACTCAGGCAGAGCAGCTCCACAACCACCTCCAGCCTGGGAGATAGGCCTTGCTTGCTGCCTTCTGGATTCTTGGCCCGCACAGAGCTGGGGCTGAGGGATGGACTGATGCTTTTAGCTCAAACGTGGCTTTTAGACAGATTTGTTCATAGACCCTCTCAAGTGCCCTCTCCGAGCTGGTAGGCATTCCAGCTCCTCCGTGCTTCCTCAGTTACACAAAGGACCTCAGCTGCTTCTCCCACTTGGCCAAGCAGGGAGGAAGAAGCTTAGGCAGGGCTCTCTTTCCTTCTTGCCTTCAGATGTTCTCTCCCAGGGGCTGGCTTCAGGAGGGAGCATAGAAGGCAGGTGAGCAACCAGTTGGCTAGGGGAGCAGGGGGCCCACCAGAGCTGTGGAGAGGGGACCCTAAGACTCCTCGGCCTGGCTCCTACCCACCGCCCTTGCCGAACCAGGAGCTGCTCACTACCTCCTCAGGGATGGCCGTTGGCCACGTCTTCCTTCTGCCTGAGCTTCCCCCCCACCACAGGCCCTTTCCTCAGGCAAGGTCTGGCCTCAGGTGGGCCGCAGGCGGGAAAAGCAGCCCTTGGCCAGAAGTCAAGCCCAGCCACGTGGAGCCTAGAGTGAGGGCCTGAGGTCTGGCTGCTTGCCCCCATGCTGGCGCCAACAACTTCTCCATCCTTTCTGCCTCTCAACATCACTTGAATCCTAGGGCCTGGGTTTTCATGTTTTTGAAACAGAACCATAAAGCATATGTGTTGGCTTGTTGTAAAATGTCTCTGGCCTCTCTGTAGGGGTGAAAATGGGAAGTGACTGCTGGACAGAAAGGCTGAACCCTTAGTGCCCTGGGGACATGGAGCACACTTGAGCAGATGGGCATCAACCTCTTCTGCACCAGTCACTTAAGGCTTCAGTTATTGTCTGTAATCCCTGTAACAACATTGCAGAAATAGGGATTAATCTCATTTTGCCAAGGAGGTGGAGTGAGGCTAATGAACTTGCTTCAAAACCCAAAGCTAGCCAGGTAGATTGGGGCCACACTTCAGAGAGACCCAAGTGTGGAGAATCAATTGGATCCTACCTGGGCTGCATCATAGGTGGGAGAGGAGCTCTGAAGAGCCCGGCAAGTAGCCAGCCATGAGCAGTGCACGCTGTGATCAGGAGGTAGGATTGGGGTTGCCCAGATGGAGCTGGGGGTCCTGGGTGGGAGCAAAGGCAAATCCAGGGTGGTGGCGTAGACACAGTATTAAAAATACTATAACAGAAACGTGGAAAGAAAGAAAATATAGAACCACCAAAGATGAGCCAGCAACAAGAGAAGATTCAGACAACCAGGTCTTTCAGCAGTGTTGGTGCCTAATTATTTCAAAATAAAAGGTTTTTAAAAAAATGACCAAAAAGGGAAAAAAATTACCTGGGAAAAAACAAACACTTGTAATTAAATATAGATAGAAGCAGCTGGGCACCATGGCTCACGCCTGTAATCCCAACACTTTAGGAAGCCAAGGTGGGCGGATCATTTGAAGTCAGGAGTTCGAGACCAACCTGGCCAACATGGTGAAACCCCATCTCTACTAAAATACAAAAATTAGGCCAGTCGCAGTGGCTCACACCTGTAATCCCAACACTTTAGGAGGCCGAGGCAGGCAGATCACCTGAGGTCAGGAGTTTGAGACCAGCCTGACCAACATGGAGAAACCCCGTCTCTACTGAAAATACAAAATTAGCAGGGCATGGTAGCGCATGCCTGTAATCCCAGCTACTTGGGAAGGCTGAGGCAGAAGAATCGCTTGAACCTGGGAGGCGGAGGTTGCGGTGAGCCGAGATCGAGCCATTGCACTCCAGCCTGGGAAACAGCAGCGAAACTCCGTCTCAAAAAAAGAAAAAAAAAAGGCTGGGCCTGGTGGCTCACACCTGTAATCCAAGCACTTTGGGAGGCCGAGGCAGGCAGATCACGAGGTCAGGAGATCGAGACCATCCTGGCTAACATGGTGAAACCCCGTCTCTACTAAAAATACAAAAAAATTAGCCAGGCGTGGTGGCGGGTGCCTGTAGTCCCAGCTACTCTGGAGGCTGAGGCAGGAGAATGGCGTGAACCCGGGAGGCGGAGCTTGCAGTGAGCCAAGATCACACCACTGCACTCCAGCCTGGTCGACAGAGTGAGACTCCGTCTCAAAAACAAACAAAAAACCCCCAAAAAATTAGCTGGCGTGATGGCGCACGCCTGTAATCCCAGCTACTCAGGAGGCTGAGGCAGGAGAATCACTTGAACCCAAGAGGCAGAGGTTGCAATGAGCTGAGATCGTGCCACTGGACTCCAGCCTGGGCGATAGAGGGAGACTTCATCTCAAAAAACAAACAAACAAATAAACAAACAAAAAAACACACCAGACACAGTGGCTCATGCCTGTAATCCAGCACTTTGGGAGGCCGAGGCAGGCAGATCACAAGGTCAGGAGATCGAGACCATCCTGGCTAACATGGTGAAACCCCATCTCTACTAAAAATACAAAAAAAAAAAAAAAAAAAATTAGCCAGGCGTGGTGGCAGGTGCCTGTAGTCCCAGCTGGAGGCTGAGGCAGGATAATGGCGTAAACCCAGGAGGTGGAGCTTACAGTGAGCCGAGATCGTGCCACTGCACTCCAGCCTGGGCAACAGAGCGAGACTCCGTCTCAAAAAAAAAAAAAAATTAAAAATAAAAGAAAGAAAAAGGAATATTTTGATACATGCTATCAAATGGATACTCTCAAAGGATTTTCAAGAAACATTATGTTAACTGCAATAAGCCGGAAACAAAAGGCTGCATATTATATGATTCCACTTATATGATGTACTTACCGGCTTCAGATCCAGAGTCAAAAAGTAGAAGGTTGGTTTCCAGGGCCTGGGAGGATGGGGGAATGAGAAATTGTATAATGGGGACAGAGCTTTAGTTTGGGAAGATGAAAAGAGTTCTGAAGATGGATGGTGGTGATGACTGTACAACAGTGTGAACGTACTTAATGCCACTGAACTGTACAGTTAAAAGTGGTTAAGGCCGGGCGTGGTGGCTCACACCTGTAATCCCAGCACTTTGGGAGGCCGAGGTGAGCGGATCACCTGAGGCCAGGAGTTTGAGACCAGCCTGGACAACATGGTGAAACCCCCATCTCTACAAAAAAAAAAAAAAAAATTAGCTGGGCATGTTGGTGGGTGCCTGTAATCCCAGCTACTCAGGAGGCTGAGGCGGGAGAATCACTGAAACCCGGGAAGCAGAGGCTTCAGTGAGCCAAGATTGTGCCATTGCACTCCAGCCTGGACAACAAGAGCGAAATTCCGTCTCAAAAAAAAAAAAAAAAAAGGCATTTCACAGAAGAGGAAACACAAAAGGCAGAGTGTGCATGGTATGGGTTTCCTGTGGCTGCAGTAACAAAGTGCCAGAGACTGGGAAGTTTAAAGCAACAGAAATTTATTCTCTCCCAGTTCTGAAGGCCAGAAGTCCGAAATCAAGGTGGCACCAGGGTGGGTTCCTTCTGGGGCTGTGAGGGAAAGCCAGCTCCAGGCCTGTCTTCTGGCTTCTTCCGGTGGTTCCCAGCAATGCTCCGTGTTCCTTGGCTTGCAGAGGTGTCATTCCAATCTCTGCCTTCAGCTGCGTGCAGTGCTCTCCTCCCTGTGTCTGTCTCTTTTTCTCCTCCTTTAAAAACACCATGCATTGATTGAACTAGGGGTCACCCTTATGCAGTATAACCTCACCTTAACTTGATTCTGTCTGCAATGACTTTTATGGGGACACTACTCAACCCAGTGCATATACTCTATGACCTAGCAATTCCCCACCTAGTTATATACCTATTGAAATGAACATCTATGTTTAACAAAAGACACATACATCGGCTGGGCGCAGTGGCTCACGCCCATAATCCAAGCACTCAGGCCGAGGCGGGCAGATCTTGAGGTCAGGAGATAGAGACCATCCTGGCTAACACAGTGAAACCCCGTCTCTACTAAAAATACAAAAAATTAGCTGGGCATGGGGGTGGGCACCTGTAGTCCCAGCTACTCAGGGGGCTGAGGCAGGAGACTGGCGTGAACCCGGAAGGCGGAGCTTGCAGTGAGCTGAGATCACGCCACTGCACTCCAGCCTAGGTGACAGAGCGAGACTCCGTCTCAAAAAAAAAAAAAAAAAGAAGAAAAAGAAAGACGTATACATAATTGTTCACAGCAGCATTAGCCATAACAGCCCAAATGGGAAACCAACCAAATGTCAACAGTTGAAGGACACAATCAATGGTGACGTATTCATCCAGGGGAATACTATGCAGCAACATTGTTACATGCAGCCACTTGAATTAATCTGCCAATGTTGAGCAAAGAATCTAGACACAAAATAATACTTCCCTTCAGAGTGGAGGAGAAGGCTGAGTGCGGTGACTCACACCTGTAATCTCAGCACTTTGGGAGGCCAAGGTGGGTGGGTCACCTGAGGTTAGGAGTTCAAGACCAGCCTGACCAACATGGTGAAATCCCGTCTCTACTAAATACAAAAAATTAGCCGGGCGTGGTGGCACATGCCTGTAATCCCAGCTACTCGGGAGGCTGAGGCAGGAGAATTGCTTGAATCCGAAGGTTGCAGTGACCCGAGATGGCGCTATTGCACTCCAGCCTGGGCAACAAGAGCCAAACTCTGTCTCCAAAAAAAAAAAAAAAAAAAAGAGTGGAGGAGGGAAAAATATTATACTGAATAATTTCCTTTATTTAAAGCCTCAAAACAGCCAAAACAACACATCCCATCATTTTTAGGAATGCATGCTTAACTGGTCAAACTATAAAGACCAAAGTGATTAGCAAAAGAATCAAGTTCATGGTCACATTGGGAAGTGATAGTAAGGGTATGAGAGGGGCTTTCAGGGCAATGATATTCAAATTCTTGACCTGGGTGATGCCATGGAACTGTCTGCTTTGATAAGCATTACACTGTACATCTTTATTTTGTGGGTTTTTTTTTTTTTTTTTTTTTTTGAGACAGAGTTTCGCTCTGTCACCCAGGCTGGATGGAGTACAATGGCATGATCTCTGGTCACTGCAACCTCTGCCTCCTGGGTTCAAGCGATTCTCCTGCCTCAGCCTCCCGAGTAGCTGGGATTACAGGCGCATGCCACCATGCCCGGCTAATTATCTTGTATTTTTAATAGAGACGGGGTTTCACCATGTTGGCCAGGCTGGTCTCGAACTCCTGCCCTCAGGTGATCCGCCCGCCTTGGCCTCCCAAAGTGCTGGGATTACAGGCGTGAGCCAATGCGCCTGGCCTACTTCTTTTCTTTTTTGGGTTACGTTTCACCATAGAAGTGCTTTTTTTTTTTTTTTTTGAGACAGAGTCTTGCTCTGTCGCCCAGGCTGGAGTGCAGTGGCACGATCTCGGCTCACTGCAAGCCCCATCTCCCGGGTTCACGCCATTCTCCTGCCTCAGCCTCCCGAGTAGCTGGGACTACAGGCGCCCGCCACCACGCCTGGCTAATTTTTCATATTTTTAGTAGAGATGGGGTTTCACCGTGTTAGCCAGGATGGTCTTGATCTCCTGACCTCGTGATCCGCCCGCCTCGGCCTCCCAAAGTGCTGGGATTACAGGCATGAGCCAAAGTGCCCGGCCCTTTTTTTTTTTCTTTTTTTTGAGATGGAGTTTCGCTCTTGTTGCTCAGGCTGGAGTGCAATGGCACGATCTCGGCTCACTGCAACCTCCGCCTCCCAGGTTCAAGCAATTGTCCTGTCTCAGCCTCCTGAGTAGCTGGGACTACAGGTGCCCGCCACCACGCCCAGCTAATTTTTGTATTTTTAGTAGAGACGGGGTTTTGCCATGTTTGCTAGGCTGGTCTCAAACTCTTGACCTCAGGTTATCTGCCCGCCTCAGCCTCCCAGTGTTGGGATTACAGGCGTGAGCCACCACGCCCAGCCAGGATTTCAATGAACAAAATGCTTTTACCCTAAAGATGAAGTCCCCAGACAGAAGGTGCTCATTGGTGCTGTCAACATTTGGTGATTGGTTCAGTTTAGATATCACCTCCTGGTGGGAGCAGCTTCATCGGTGCCCCTCTCCTTACATCCCTCCCAGTCCCATGTCTCAACCTTTGGAATATTCATGACCCTGTATCATGACCTGCTGTCCTGCATGTCCTCTAGACCAAACTGTCAACTTCCGGGGCAGAGTCCAGGTGCCTGGCCCATAGCAGGTGCTTCAGGAAGCCTCCAGGGCCATCACTCCAGGGACCCCTAGCAATGCAGGGAAGAATAAAAGCAGCCACAGGTGGGTTTCTTCCCTAAGCATGGAAGCAGCTCAGCAACAGAGTCCTGGCGGAGGCAAGATTGCCTTCCGCATTCCAGAGGAAGTATTTGCCTTGAAACTATGTAACAAAAGTAACAGAAACATAATAGACATGCTTTCCTTTTTAAGTTTGCTGGATTCTCCTGGGATACAGTGAAGCTCCAGTGAAAACCTCTCTCCTCAGCTAGTTAAGGCCTGGAAATGGCCACTTGGGGGTTTCCCTAAGCACCCGAAACTCAGTGAGCCCCCAAGTGACCTCGTCTCCCAGTCCCCAACTCAGAGAGACCCAAAAGCTACAATCTTCTTTGACTGTATTGTCAGACCCACTTCCTCTCTCCAGCTCAACTGCCACTATCCTAGTCCTAGTCTGAATCACATGTGACAATCATGACTACAATCTTTTTTTTTTTTTTTTTTTGAGATGGACTCTCACTCTGTCGCCCAGGATGGAGTGCAGTGGCGCGATCTCGGCCCACTGCAACCTCCGCCTCGCGGGTTCAAGTGATTCTCCTGCCTCAGCCTCCCGTGTAACTGGGACTACAGGTGTGCACCACCATGCCCAGCTAATTTTTGTATTTTCAGTAGAGATGGGGTTTCACCATGTTGTGCAGGATGGTCTCGATCTCTTGACCTCATGATTCGCCCGCCTCGGGCTCCCAAAGTGCTGGGATTACAGGCGTGAGCCACAGCGCCCGGCCCGTTAGGGTGTCTTTGATGCCACGCTTCGCTCTGGGTTTTCTCCTTCCTCTTTGATTGCTCCTTGTCCGATCTCTTTTCTGGACCCTTCTCCTCCTGCCCAATGTAAGTGCTGGGTGTTCCCCTAGATGCTATCCTGAGCCCGCTTCACTCCTCGTTCTAAGGGATTACAGTCTCCTCTCACCTGTATCAGGGAGGGTCCATCTGCAGGAAAAAGACACCACTTTTGCAATTTTAAGGAAAAGGATTAAAACAGGGATTGGCCGGGTGCGGCGATGCGCGCCTGTAGTCCCACTTTTCCGGAGGCTGAGGCGGGAGGATCGCTTGAGCCCGGGGACTCGAGACCAGCCTGGCCAACATAGCTAGACCCCGTCTCTAAAGAAAAAAAAAAGACAAAAGAAGAGAACAACAACAAAAAAACCAAAATAAAAATAAAAATAAAAACGGACGGGCGAACGCGTCGGGTGGGCGTAGGGTTCCGCGAAGCCTCCCTGTCCCTCTTGTCTCGTCCTAGTCGGTCTAGCTGGGCCCCATCCCCTTTCCCACTCGGAGCGTGAGCGCCTGGAGACACGTACAGCCAACCAGTGAGAAGGAGTGGCCGCGAGTGGCATGCACTTGGTCCAATTACCTGCGGCCCTGCCGGTCGGCCCGCGCTGGGGCCAATGGAGGTGCGAGGCGGGGCTCGGGCGGGGGCAACGGTCACCTGATCTGCGGCTGTCGAGGCCGCTGAGGCAGTGGAGGCTGAGGCTATGATGGCGGCCATGGCGACGGCTCGAGTGCGGATGGGGCCGCGGTGCGCCCAGGCGCTCTGGCGCATGCCGTGGCTGCCGGTGTTTTTGTCGTTGGCGGCGGCGGCGGCGGCGGCAGCGGCGGAGCAGCAGGTCCCGCTGGTGCTGTGGTCGAGTGACCGGTGAGCGGGCCGGGGTGGGATGCGCTGTGGCGGCTGAGGCGCCCTCGCCCGACTCCGGCGCTGTCCTAGGCGAGGGGTGGTGAGGCCCGGAGGTGGACTGTTCCTTGCTCGGGGGCTCGCAGCGAATCTGCCGGCGACAGAGCTCCAGTCCACATGCGCCCCCGTCTGACAGCACCTCTTCTGTGCCCTGCCAGGGACTTGTGGGCTCCTGCGGCCGACACTCATGAAGGCCACATCACCAGCGACTTGCAGCTCTCTACCTACTTAGATCCCGCCCTGGAGCTGGGTCCCAGGAATGTGCTGCTGTTCCTGCAGGACAAGGTGCGCCCGCCCCAGCCCACTCTCCCCCGGTCATCGGGAGGCAGCCAGGCCCCCTCCCCCCATGACACTGACGCCCATTCCCCAAGGGAAGCTTCAGTGACCTTGTCCCAACTGTAGGGAGGTGTGGGTCGTCTCATGGGAAGGCCTGTAGTAAACGCTTCAGTGGGCATGGCGACAGCCTCGGAAATGGCACCAACTTGATTGGAGGAAGCGACGGACCAGAGGCCAGGTACCTACTGAGTACCAAGCACTTTGGATATCTGACTTAGTCCAATATGGTGGGTGGGGATTATCGTCCCTGTTTGTTTATAGATGAGAAGACTGAGGCTGGAGGTTAAGTGACTTGTCCAAGCTCATACAGCTAATGGGTGGCAGAGTTGTAATTCTAGCTGTGATGATCATAATAATGATAATTGGAAAATGCTCACCTGTTTAGTGCTTTGTAGGCACTTGCTACACTGATGTCATTATCTTGGTTTCACTGCCAAGGAAAGTAAGGTTTGTCGAGATACAATGTTTCACTACAGTTGATAGATACCACTTTGGTTCCAGCCTGAGTCTGCCAATCCTCCCTCCCAATTGGAGCTCATAACCCGCATGCTGTTTTCCTTCCCATCCAGGATCTTTGCCCCAAAAGCAGGCGTGGAGACCATGAGATGACTCTAAGATAGCAAGTCTCTGCTAGGCCCTCCCTTGTTGGTGGCCTGTATGGCTCATTGCCCTTGTAGTCTCCCTTGGTTGCTGTGTGGGCAGATGGTGGTGGCCTGAAGTCTTTTCAGGAGGTGGTAAATAATATAGTCAAATAGGAACTGAGTCCTAGTTCTACCATGTAACCAGCCATTGGAGGCATGAAATAATCTTTGTGAATGACAGTTTCTACATCTGTAAAATGAAGACACCACCTATATCAGAGGGCTGTGAGTGGGAAATCTTTTTTTTTTTTTTTTTTGAGACGGAGTCTCGCTCTGTTGCCCAGGCTGGAATGCAGTGGTGCAATGTCAGCTCAGCTCACTGCACCCTCCGCCTCCCGGGTTCAAGCAGTTCTCTGCCTCAGCCTCCCGAGTAGCTAGGATTACAGGGCGCCCGCCACTACACCCAGCTAATTTTTGTATTTTTTTGTATTTTTAGTAGAGATGGGGTTTCACCATGTTGGCCAGGCTGGTCTTGAACTCCTGACCTCGTGATCCACCCACCTCAGCCTCCCAAACTGCTGGGATTACAGGCGTGAGCCACCGCGCCCGGCCTGTGAGGGGGAATTCTTATAATCCACATAAAACATCTAGCCAGGATCCCCCAGTCTTAGGGCATTCACCCATTCATTCATTTGCCCAATATGGAAAGCCTACTATGTGCCAGGTATTGTGAAGTGTTGGGGATATGGCAGTGAGCAGAAGAACCCAAGCCCCCACCCTCAGGAAGCTGACATTCTTGTGAGGGTGGCCAGTAAATACTAAGTCGGTATAGGATATGATGTCAGTGTTACGGCCTTTAGGGAAGGAAGCAGGCTAAGGGGACAGAGTGACTGGGATGCTATTTTAGATAAGGGTGGTCAGGCCAGGCCTCATTGAGGAGGTGATATATGAGCAGCGATCTTAATGGAGGGAGGGAGCCGTTTGGGGAAGGACATTCCTGGAACAGCAAATGCGAGGGTCCTGGGCGAGGTGTGCTCTTGGCCAGCTCAAGGAAGAGCTGGTGTGGCTGGAGCACAGTGAGTGAGAGAAAGGGGTAGGAGATGTAGGAGATGGTTTGCAGGTGGCTAGGCGATGAAGTAGGACCTTGTAGGCCATGAGGGGGAAGGTCAGTTGCAGTTCGAAATGTGTGAGAAAGCCTTGGGTAACGTGGAGCAGGGAGTGGTGTGATTTCTCAATTAAAGAAAGCCCACAGGACCCACCAGCAGTTCCTGGGCTTTCCGACTGAGAACCCCGGTGGCCAAACAGCAGCAAGGTCCTGCCCACAAGGGAGGGGAGGCTGGGCGAGTGTGTATACCAAACAGGTTAGGGAAGCTGATTAAAATCTCCTCAGGGCCTAACTGGGAAGGGCCAGAGGAAGCTGGGGATGGGAGTGGAGGGTAGGAGCAAAAGGACAAAGGACATCTGTAGGTTGTGGAGAAAAAGGGATGGGGTCGGGGCCACTGTGGTCCTAAGAGCTCAAAAGACTTCAATGCTCGATGCTTCCTCCAGCATGTTCTGAGATCCTCACCTCTCCCCTTCCGCCAAAAGCAGGTGGGGGGAGGGTCCCGTCCAGACTGGACATAGCCGACTCTCCTTTTCTCTGGCTGGGAGGCCTGCCACAAATGCTCTTGGCTGCCCCACCCCCTCCCCGCAGCTTCCCTGTTCCCTCCCCAGTTCCTCTTGTCTGTAGGGTGGGCAAGGCGGCTGACTCCTACTCCTGAGTTACCACAAGTCAGCTGCCTGCAGATCTCCCCACCCCATGACTGCCTTCCATGTCTTCTCACCCTGCCCTGAGAGTGCTGGAGGGAAGAGGTGAGTCTCCCACCCCACCCCCACCAACACACAGTTGTGCTCCACCATACTGAACCTGACTCTCAGTGAGACTTTGCTGGCCCTGAGAATGCACGGGGAAGGTGGCTGTCCCCTGCCTTGGCCCCCATCACTTGCCAAACCTCCTCAGATGTCTCCCCTATTTCCCTAATAGCTGAGCATTGAGGATTTCACAGCATATGGCGGTGTGTTTGGAAACAAGCAGGACAGCGCCTTTTCTAACCTAGAGGTGAGAGTCCTCTCCCAGCCAGGGGCCATGGGGGACATTCTGTGCTCCTTCTCCCAGCATAAGAACTGTACTCTGACCTCATATCAGGGTTACTTGGGTCTGAGTCTCTTCTGGGTCAACCATCCCCCCCAAAAACAACAACAACAACAAAAGCCACCTCATACTCTTAGGGAGCAGAGACGCTGGCTTTGGGGTAGAAAGGCCTGGGGCCTGAATGTCAGGGGCTGGGGTGTGGGCCATTTTCTTGGTGAGCCTTTATGGGTATGGCTTGCCAGAGGAGAGCTGCCAGAGAGGTGTGGGGGGCTGGGCCAGGCCCACTGGCCCCTGGCTAACTCACCTTTTGCCTCTCCCCTGTCCCCAGAATGCCCTGGACCTGGCCCCCTCCTCACTGGTGCTTCCTGCCGTCGACTGGTATGCAGTCAGCACTCTGACCACTTACCTGCAGGAGAAGCTCGGGGCCAGCCCCTTGCATGTGGACCTGGCCACCCTGCGGGAGCTGAAGCTCAATGCCAGCCTCCCTGCTCTGCTGCTCATTCGCCTGCCCTACACAGCCAGGTACTGCCCGCATGGCCCAGCCACCAGCCTCGGGGCCCAGAGAGCAGCAAGGCCCTGGGCTATGGCATGTGGTGGCACCGTTTGGCTAAAGATGCCAGTACTCCCCACCCCCTCACAGCCCTTCCAGAAGGTGCCCTGTGTGGCCAGAAGAGGAGGGGAGGGCCTCTTCTGTGACTCAGGAGTTGGTGCCTAGCACTGAGCTGGGCCTCCAGAGATGAGGCAGATGTGAGCCCTGCGGGTGGGGAGCCTTCTCACCTAGCCAGGCCCTTGTCACAGAGCAGGTGGCCAGGACTTGAGTGTGACTGAGAAGCCTCGGGGTGGGATGGGCTTCCAGGAGGGGGCACTGAGGTAAGAGTGTGCAGGCTTGGTGCGTGGGGCTAGTGGGGAGGAGAAGCTGGGGTCGGGGAAGGGTAGTGGGCAGTGCAGGTCCAGGCCGCCTGAGGACTCTGGCGCTCTGTTTGTCTTCCATAGCTCTGGTCTGATGGCACCCAGGGAAGTCCTCACAGGCAACGGTGAGTAGAATCAGGGAGGATGCACGTCCTCATCTAGCCCTTGGGTGGGGGCCACAGAGAGAGCTGGCCTGCAGTTCCTCGGCCTCCTCACTCCCAGGGTGGCCCGCCTGCTTCTCGGGGCAGCTGGCAGTGGAGCAGGGAAATGCTGGCTCCCAGGACCAGCCAGGGACCACCTGACAGAAGACCCTGTCCAGCCAGACCCCACTTGGCAGAGGGGGGCGGCTCTCTGTGCTGGAGGCTGTGGAGCCAGTTTCTGTGCAGGCAGCGTGAATCCTAGAGTTATGGGTTTAATAAGACTGCAGACATTTGGAAAAACAATTCTGGGGACTCATCTATTTGCAATAAAGGACAGTCACTCCCCATGGAAAGGCAGTCGTGAACCTTTCATGGGTGGATGTGGAGTTTTCTGTATTGATATGTATTTTCTTATGTCACATAGGTAGGGCTTGGCATTAGGGAATCGATGACTGAAGCCACAGTTGTCTCTGGGGGAGGCTGGGAATGGGGGTGGGATGAGAAGTAGCTGCTCCTAAGGATCCTCAGTGGAAAGTAAACACACCACTTTCAGATGGTCTAGAAGGTTTCTAAAGCAGACAGTGGGGAGTGTTTCTTTATGCAGGGTGCCTGGTGACCTGAGTCTCTGCTCTCCTTGTTGACCCTCAGATGAGGTCATCGGGCAGGTCCTGAGCACACTCAAGTCCGAAGATGTCCCATACACAGCGGCCCTCACAGCGGTCCGCCCTTCCAGGGTATGTGCCCTTCCAGCAGGGGCTCTGGGGCGTGCAGGGAGAGGCAGTGTGGTGAGTCTGCTTGGAGGTGGGGAGTGTATGCCACAGGTAGGCTGCCCAGGAGGCCCAGCATAGGGGAAGCATGAGGCACAGAACCCCTGTGGTGTGACTATTTGGAGTGGCTGACTCTGGGGGCAGGGCTAGGATGAGCACTCAAGTCCTGCCTCCCCATTCCAGGGGCAGCTTTCCATCTCGTCCTGTGAGGCTTGTGGGTGGCAGACTTGGACACTAAGTCTAAATGACCCTAAGTTTGAGGGACTAGGAATGTCATCAGGGTTTAGGGGGCATCAGGGAAGGCTTCCTGGAGGAAAGGTCTCCTCTGGCTGATGGGACTTTGAGATAGTGGACAGGGTGTCCTGTTGGGAGGGGAAGGAGGGCACGACAATTGGGTTCAAGTGTGACACTCTCCCAGGGCTGCTGAAAGAAGGCTGGTTGGGTGTTTCTGCAGGTGGCCCGTGATGTAGCCGTGGTGGCCGGAGGGCTAGGTCGCCAGCTGCTACAAAAACAGCCAGTATCACCTGTGATCCATCCTCCTGTGAGTTACAATGACACCGCTCCCCGGATCCTGTTCTGGGCCCAAAACTTCTCTGTGGCGTACAAGGACCAGTGGGAGGACCTGACTCCCCTCACCTTTGGGGTGCAGGAACTCAACCTGACTGGCTCCTTCTGGAATGACTCCTTTGCCAGGCAAGGGCACTAGGCTGGGGAGGACTGTGCCACCACAGGTGACCTTCCCATCACTGTGGGTCGCAGGTGGGGCAGGGAGCCAGGGTCAGGTCTGTGTTTTGGGGTGGGGATGGCCATGGTCTGGTTGGGGTCTGGGCAGCGTGAGGATGTAGGAGGTGTCATGGCATGGGGTGCTGTTGGAGGGGGAGTTGCTCAGACTTCTGCCTCCCCATGCTTGCGAGTCTTTGGTTGGGACCTTGGTTGTTAACACCTCAAGGTTACCTGGGAACCTGTCACCTCCCCCTTGAGCAAAACCTCTGGGACTTTGTGTGGGCAAATACCAGGCCAGCTATCTGAGCCATTTATGGGGCAACCATGCCCTTCTGTTTGCTCTCGCCCCCAAAGCCCAGCCCAGGCACCTTAGTGACCCTAAGAGGGAGTAAAAGGAGGGGCAGTGAGCTCAGGGGAACCAGAGGAAGGACCCCCATGCTGGTGGCAAGGGGGACCTGGGTCCTGGCTTCCAGCTCTGTTCCGACCTTGCAATGTGACTGGATCCTCAGTTTTCCTATCTGTCAAGTGGGGACACTGCTTCTTCAGGTGGCTGCAAGGACCCAAGGCAGCTTAGGTAGGAGCAGAGCTGAGGAACTTGTTCCTCTAAGATGCCAAAGGCCCTCCCAGAGCCTCACAGTGCGCCTCTTTCTCTGGCCCCACAGGCTCTCACTGACCTATGAACGACTCTTTGGTACCACAGTGACATTCAAGTGAGTCCTGGGGGTGGTTGAGGTATGGGTGGGCTGGTGTGGCCCCAGCCTCCCCAGCTCACCTGACATCCCTGCCACCTTCCCCAGGTTCATTCTGGCCAACCGCCTCTACCCAGTGTCTGCCCGGCACTGGTTTACCATGGAGCGCCTCGAAGTCCACAGCAATGGCTCCGTCGCCTACTTCAATGCTTCCCAGGTCACAGGGCCCAGCATCTACTCCTTCCACTGCGAGTATGTCAGCAGCCTGAGCAAGAAGGGTAGTCTCCTCGTGGCCCGCACGCAGCCCTCTCCCTGGCAGATGATGCTTCAGGACTTCCAGGTATGGAGCGGGCGTGGCCCAGCTTCAGGTGGGGGAGCCCAGGCTAGTGGTTGAGAGACGAAGAGAGGCTTGGGCTTGGGCATGTAGTTGAGAGTCCTGTCCCTGCGCTGCCCCTGTCCCAGTTCTTGCTGGGCCTCCCAACGGTCCTTTCTGACCCGTGTCTGTGTGTCTGCCAGATCCAGGCTTTCAACGTAATGGGGGAGCAGTTCTCCTACGCCAGCGACTGTGCCAGCTTCTTCTCCCCCGGCATCTGGATGGGGCTGCTCACCTCCCTGTTCATGCTCTTCATCTTCACCTATGGCCTGCACATGATCCTCAGCCTCAAGACCATGGATCGCTTTGATGACCACAAGGGCCCCACTATTTCTTTGACCCAGATTGTGTGACCCTGTGCCAGTGGGGGGGTTGAGGGTGGGACGGTGTCCGTGTTGTTGCTTTCCCACCCTGCAGCGCACTGGACTGAAGAGCTTCCCTCTTCCTACTGCAGCATGAACTGCAAGCTCCCCTCAGCCCATCTTGCTCCCTCTTCAGCCCGCTGAGGAGCTTTCTTGGGCTGCCCCCATCTCTCCCAACAAGGTGTACATATTCTGCGTAGATGCTAGACCAACCAGCTTCCCAGGGTTCGTCGCTGTGAGGCGTAAGGGACATGAATTCTAGGGTCTCCTTTCTCCTTATTTATTCTTGTGGCTACATCATCCCTGGCTGTGGATAGTGCTTTTGTGTAGCAAATGCTCCCTCCTTAAGGTTATAGGGCTCCCTGAGTTTGGGAGTGTGGAAGTACTACTTAACTGTCTGTCCTGCTTGGCTGTCGTTATCGTTTTCTGGTGATGTTGTGCTAACAATAAGAAGTACACGGGTTTATTTCTGTGGCCTGAGAAGGAAGGGACCTCCACGACAGGTGGGCTGGGTGCGATCGCCGGCTGTTTGGCATGTTCCCACCGGGAGTGCCGGGCAGGAGCATGGGGTGCTTGGTTGTTTCCTTCCTAATAAAATAAACGCGGGTCGCCATGCGTTGGGCCTCTTGTCGCTCATTTCTGCGCTGGGCTTTAGGCGCGTGCTCGCCGGAGGGATGCGGGAGGATGGAGCCTGGCGAGGGGGAGGCGAAGAGGCATCCGCGGAGACCGGGAGGGGCTTTAGCAAGCTGGGCCCTAACCGCTCAGGGTAGGGAGGGGCGGTCGGGCCGAGTCCCGGTGCGCTTCGGCGTCTCAGGAGGCCGTCGTGACAATGGCAGCCTTCGCGTCGTGAGGGGGCCGCCCCAGGCTGCCGCAGCGGCGCGCGCCCGGCCGCGGGGCCGCGCCGAGACTCCCGGGGGGGTGGGCGGGGGTGGGGAGGTGGGCGGGCGCGCGCGGGGCGGGGCGGGGCGGGGCGCGGCGGGTGGGGCGGGGCGCGCGCGGCTCCCGCGCACGGATTCTTCCTGGGCCGCAGCACCGGCCGCCGGCCCGCCCCGCCCGCCCCGCCCCGCGCCTCTCTAGACTCTCGGCGAGCAGCGTCGCCCGCGGAGCCGCGCTGGTGCTGTGGCCCGGGCCCTGGCAGCCCTCCCGGGAGGCGAGCCGGGGAGGCGGTGGCCCCTGCCGGTTGCGGCGGGGCGCGGGAAGAGGCGGGACTCTTTGACGCGGCGGAGGGGTCGGGCGACGGCCGACGCGCCGCCATCTTTGGTCCAGTGCGGTGGCGGCGGCGGCGGTGGCGGCGGCGACTGCTGCGGTGAAGGAGGAGGAGGAGCCGAGCGGGCGCTGGCACCGAGGCCTGACCATGGACGAGGAATACGATGTGATCGTGCTGGGGACCGGTCTCACCGTAAGTGCGGCCCCGGCGCCCCTGGCCCTGCGTCGTGCCCTCGCCATCCCCCGCGATGATGCGGCCGCCGGCCCATCCTCTGGTCACTGCCATCTTCTGCGCTCCGCTCCCCGAAAAGCCGGCGCCGTGCCCACCCCGCTGCTCCCCCAGCGACGTCGCCTCTGCTCGTTGCCATGACCCCATCTCCCCGAAGAGGCCCCCTTCCTGGCCGCCTCCTGGGCTACCCGGGTCCGACCCCCGGCGCCCTCCCATCTTCCCTACCCCTGCCCGCTGGACCGGAAAACGCACCCCCACTCGGCCCGATGCCCACGACCCCGCCCACCCATCGCCCCCACCCATCACGGCATCCACCCGTCGCCCGCACCCATTGCCCGCCTAGCGTTGCCTCTCAGCGTCCGTTCCCATCTTGCGCTAATCCCGGTGGGGATGAAGTAGAAGGACCTGGGGTCAGGGGGCCTCGCCAGAGTGGGCCCTCAGCCCGCCTCCTCATCGTCTTCTGGGGCCAGGGGATCCAGGGAATGTTCCAGAAGGAACAGCAGTGGGGGCAGTAAGCACATTCCCGCAACCCCACCTCGGTTGCCCATGGAGACCTCAGGCTGGGTAGCATCTGCAGCCTTTGTCCTTGGGCTAGTGACAGTGACTGGTGAGGGTGTTTATCTTCCCCCTTTCCCCGAAAACCCCGTTGGCCTACTCCCCTCAGAGACTCTTCTTCCTCGGTCCAGGCCCAGATGCCCCTCCTCAGCGGCAGGGGCTCCTGCTATTTGAAGAAAGAGCAGTCCAGGGTGGGGCCTACAATTTCAAGGACTGTGCTAAGCCTTTCTTTTCCTCCCTTTCGAGTGTCCTTTGCAGTCCAGCTGGGTCTTCTCTGTGCCTTATTGTGTTTTATCCGCCTTTTTGTGCGGCTCTGCGTAGGTAGATGCCTCTCGGCGTGTTGGTACTGGAAGGCCATCCTGTGTCTGCTGGATGCCCTGCCTCCCTCAAAGCCTCCGTTATTTCACTCTCCGCCTTGTGAGGGGGACGGGACTCCTTTGCCCAGCAAGGTTGCAATGGAGAGTGTGGTCGGATGAAGCCATCACCCCAATTTTAGGCGAGGCAACTAGCCAGTGGGGATGGTGGGTGGAAGGAGCTGTCCACTGAGGCAGGTTTGGGTGGGGAACAAATCAGGTCTGCTGGTAGGAGCGGAGGCAGGTGGGAGTGCAGCGGATGGTGTCACCCTCCCCCAGGAATGCATCCTGTCGGGCATCATGTCTGTGAACGGGAAGAAGGTGCTGCACATGGACCGGAACCCCTACTACGGGGGCGAGAGCTCCTCCATCACACCCCTGGAGGAGGTGAGGCTGCCCAGGCCCAAGCCTATCCCTGTTAACCTCCCACATAGCGGCACAGGGTGGAAGTAGCTCCCCAGGTGCCTGGAGCAGGAGGAGGTGGTCCCTGAGGTGTCTCTCTCTCTCCCTTCTGCTTACAGCTGTATAAGCGTTTTCAGTTGCTGGAGGGGCCCCCTGAGTCGATGGGCCGAGGCCGAGACTGGAATGTTGACCTGATTCCCAAATTCCTCATGGCTAACGGTGAGGGACAGGAAGGAGGTATTGCAGGTCGGGGGTGATAGGGAAGACCCGAGGACGGTCAGGCTCCAGAGGAGGCACGGCCAGACCAGCTAGAGCCTCTGGAGAGAGCCGTGCTGATGTTGCCCTTGTGCACCCCCACAGGGCAGCTGGTAAAGATGCTACTGTATACAGAGGTGACTCGCTACCTGGACTTCAAGGTGGTGGAGGGCAGCTTTGTCTACAAGGGGGGCAAGATCTACAAAGTGCCGTCCACTGAGACTGAGGCCTTGGCTTCCAGTGAGTGTGGGCCCCCTGAGCCAGAGAAATCATGGGGTGGCAGGGAAGCCAACTGTCTTTGGGATGGGTGGCTGTCCAGAATAAGGCACCCCCTTGTCCAAAGTCACATTTCCCGTGAAGGACCAGAGAGGCCCTTCACTCTGTATTCCCTCTGCCCCATGTCATGCTGCACGGCTGGCTGCCAGGAGGGAGGTCCTCACACAGCAGGGATGTGATGTGGAGGGGAACGGGGCTCCTTTTGAAAGACTTGAGCCTGGCCAGGTGCGGTGGCTCACGCCTGTAATCCCAGCACTTTGGGAGGCCTAGGCGGGTGGATCACGAGGTCAGGAGTTCAAGACCAGCCTGGCCAACATGGTGAAACACCGTCTCATCTCAAAATACGAAAAATTAGCTGGGTGTGGTGGCATGCACCTGTAATCCCAGCTACTCGGGAGGCTGAGGCAAGAGAATGGTTTGCGCCCGGGAGGCGGAGGTTGTGGTGAGCCGAGATCACACCACTGCACTCCAGCCTGGGCGATAGAGGGAGACTCCATCTCAAAAAAAAAAACAAAAACTTGAGCCTTTGGCAGGGCCTCCACTGAATCCCCGAGACATCGCCAAGTGTCTGAGCCAGGAAGGCCCTTAGAGCCCATCCAGGCCAATCCCCTCTTCATCCAGGTGGGGAAACTGAGGCTAAAAAGGGTGGAGAGGTTAACCTAAGATCACAGGACAGCTGGGCTGTGAGTGGGGGTGCCTGCCCTGCTGGGATGGAGAGTTTTGTGCTGCATTGATGCAGAACCTCCTCCCGCCGCGTTCCTTAGATCTGATGGGCATGTTTGAGAAACGGCGCTTCCGCAAGTTCCTGGTGTTTGTGGCAAACTTCGATGAGAATGACCCCAAGACCTTTGAGGGCGTTGACCCCCAGACTACCAGCATGCGTGACGTCTACCGGAAGTTTGATCTGGGCCAGGATGTCATCGATTTCACTGGCCATGCCCTGGCGCTCTACCGCACTGATGAGTGAGGGGAAGCTGGGTGGTGGCAGCCCCCTCGCCCGGCCCGCCCCCACCCTTCCCACACCTGCCTGCTGTCCCCCTGCCCCGCATGTCTCTTGTACTCAGCCACAGGCTCACCTATCACCCTTTCCATTTCCCCCTTGCATTTGATCCTCATCTTCCCCAGGCCATTCAGGGTGGTGGGAAGACTGGCCTGGTACCTGGGTGGGGGTAAATCAGGGGTGCTGCTATTCCCCCAGCTACCTGGACCAGCCCTGCCTTGAGACCGTCAACCGCATCAAGTTGTACAGTGAGTCCCTGGCCCGGTATGGCAAGAGCCCATATTTATACCCGCTCTACGGCTTGGGCGAGCTGCCCCAGGGTTTTGCAAGGTGAGGACATGGGTTTTTTCAGTTGGCATAGCTGAGTAGGACTAGGGCCAGGAGTGGAGATGGCCGCCTTGAGCATTTTCTTGGTAGTATTTCCTCCTTTCCAATTCGTGCTCTTCATTTACTTCACTCCATCCTTGGGTGATGAGGGCACAACCCCAGTGCACTGAAGTACAGAAGTCTCCACACTTGAAAAAACGAGTCTCCACAAATGTGACTTGCTCAGTTCCCGGCAGCACCAGGACTGGGCCCAGGGTCCCAGAACCTTGAGTCAGGGCTTAGCTGGGAGCTGACCTATCTCCAGAGAGTCCATTCTGGTCCCTCAGGCTGTCTTGGTGCGGAGCACTGATCCCTCATGCCCCCTCCCGCTGGCCCTTGGCAGTGTATTCTGAGCAGAAGCTCCAGAGAGGAAAGAGCCCGCGGAGATGGGGCCAGCGTTCACGGCAGTGACAGAGCTGGGATGAATCCCGGCGTCTCCTACCTGCTGCCTGCCTGGGGCAGCCTTCTTTGCACTTTGGTGGAGGAAGGGTGCAGTGGAATTGGTCCCCGTTTCTCCTGGGAGGGGCCTTCACCGGAGCTGCTCTCACCACAGATTGAGTGCCATCTATGGGGGGACATATATGCTGAACAAACCTGTGGATGACATCATCATGGAGAACGGCAAGGTGGTGGGCGTGAAGTCTGAGGGAGAGGTGAGCCCTTCCCGTGCATGCAGTGCAGTCCCATGGTTGAGGCGGGGCTTGGTCACTTTCTCTGTGCTGTCGAGTCTCCTGCTGCACAGCCCCAAGGGTCTTGGAGCTGGGAACTGGGGGTCCAGAAGTCTTCAGAGTCATGACTGTGGGTGAGAGGTCTCTTTCAGAGGCCACATGCCATGTCTGTGGTGCAGAAAGTGTTCTTGATCACAGTGCCTCTGGGGGGCGGGGGGGCGGGCACCCAGCCCGTGCGTCAAGGCCCACCTATCTGAGCGGCAGGGTAGGGCCATGCATTCAGGAGGGGCAGTAGTGATGGCTCCGAGGAACGTCTTGTCTGCCAGAGCTGCCTGCCCTTGCTGTGAGCGCAGCCCCACGTCTACCTAAGGG
Source organism: Homo sapiens (assembly GCF_000001405.40). Classification (NCBI taxonomy): domain Eukaryota; kingdom Metazoa; phylum Chordata; class Mammalia; order Primates; family Hominidae; genus Homo; species Homo sapiens. The sequence goes on from NC_000023.11 coordinate 154,441,583, forward strand.
AGGGATGTGACAGGGGCGAGGACTTCTGGTGCCTTCTCAGGTGGCCCGCTGCAAGCAGCTGATCTGTGACCCCAGCTACATCCCGGACCGTGTGCGGAAGGCTGGCCAGGTTATCCGCATCATCTGTATCCTTAGCCACCCCATCAAGAACACCAACGACGCCAACTCCTGCCAAATAATCATCCCCCAGAACCAGGTCAACAGGAAGTCAGGTAGGCCGGGCGCTGGTACAGCTTCCTCTAGGGTGTTCTCTTTGGGGTTACTCTTTTTCTCCCCATCAGTGTGGGAGCTCCCTGCCTTACCTCTCTGGAAAAAAATTTGAGCCACATTGTAGCCACCACAACTTGGAGCCCTAGGGTTTGGGTGGCCTGGACTCTTTCCCTCTGGGAGGGTGGCGGCTTGGATGCTACCTGCTCTGCGGGGCTGGGGAGGGGCAGTCGGGCCAGACTTGTGTCCAGCCACTGGAACCCCTCTCTGCGTATGGCCAGCGCCTCTGGCCTGAGTTGACGGAGCTCTTCCTGTGGCCAGACATCTACGTGTGCATGATCTCCTATGCACACAACGTGGCGGCCCAGGGCAAGTACATAGCTATTGCCAGCACTACTGTGGAGACCACGGACCCTGAAAAGGAGGTGGAGCCGGCTCTGGAGCTGTTGGAGCCCATTGACCAGAAGTGAGGGACTGGGCTGAGCCCAAGGGGGAGAGGGAGGGAGCCCAGCAGCTGGGCTTAGGGACCAGGAAGGGCATGGCCCATTGTGAGGCCTGTCCCCTCCCCTCTGTCTGCCCCTCAGGTTTGTGGCTATCAGTGACTTGTATGAGCCCATTGATGATGGTTGTGAGAGCCAGGTAAGCAGCTCGTCCCAGCCCTGGGCTCCTGGCTGCCCGCCCAGGATACCTGTCTGACTCACCCTGGGCGCTGGGCTCTGGCTGTTTCCAGGTGTTCTGTTCCTGCTCCTACGATGCCACCACACACTTTGAGACAACCTGCAACGACATCAAAGACATCTACAAACGCATGGCTGGCACGGCCTTTGACTTTGAGAACATGAAGCGCAAACAGAACGACGTCTTTGGAGAAGCTGAGCAGTGATTGTGGCCGCCCCCAGCCCCTGCTGCCCCAGCCTGTGTCTGTTCTCCTCGAGGGCTCCAGCATCCTCTGCTTCCCCCACCACGTTCCCATCACCCACCTCATTGATCCACTGACCAAATCCTTAACCCTAGCGATGGCTTGGGAGATGGGGGGTTGGATAGCATCCTCTTTCTTGGCCCTTCCTTATCCTAGGAAAAGAGGGTTCCTCTCCTTGTGTGTGTCTCTTCCCCCCACCCCTAATTCTTCTGCTCTGTTTGGGAAGACGTGGAGGAAAAGGTGACTTCTGCCCCCACCGCTCTTACCCCCACTGTAGTGGCCTTTGGAGATGCCCCCACCTCCCCCCCACCAACTCTCGCGTGTTGGAGAGAAGGGGCCCTCCCAGCACAAAGTTGCATTCCTCCCCCCTAATTTATTCTAATTTATTAACTTTGACCCACCCTTTCTGAGCCTGCAGCCTTCCCGTGTGGCCTGAGGGCTGTCGAGTGAGCTGCCCCAGCCCCTCCCAGCCCTTGCCCAGCCTGGGGGAGTGGGGAAGGCTTGGGCATGGCCCCGTTGGAGGTTGATTTGCTGTTTTGTTTCTTGTCTTTGTGTTCTGTGGTACTTGCTGAGAGAAAAGAAAAGTGAGCCAAGCAGAAGGAGGTGGGAAAACGGACCCAAACCCCAGTGTGCCCTGCCCCATGCCTTTCCTTTAGTGGTGGGAAACCCTTATCTTGCAAAGTGAATGTGTCCCCTTCCCCACCCTCTAGTGTATTTCACAGAAAACAAAACCTCCCAATAAAACGGTTGAAACCTGAATCTCTGGATCTTGATGGTTATCTCCCAAAAGCTGGGTACCTGGCAGGGCTTTGGCTGCCTGGGTTGGGGCTCTGGCTTAGCTTCACTCTGGACTGTAAAAGGTGGCATTCTTCACCAGGGAATTCCTCACCCAGAGCACGCTGGGGCCAAATTGACTTAAAGCTTAAGGCTACCCAGTGAGTCGATGCTGGCACCAGGACTGCAGCCCTCAGTGCTCAATGCAGGGGGAGTGTGGTGGAGGGCGGGTGTCAACGTGGAGGAAGCAGAGGGAGCGGGGGTCCTGGCCTCTGGCTTGAAAGGAGAGGGCAGAGGGGACCAGGGGCCAGCCTCGGATGGGATTCTAAGTGAAGCAGGGAGACGGGTGCCAGTTTTCGGCTTAATGCGGGGGAACTAGGGCAGCCAGGGGACCAGCGTTGGGGTCACCAGGAGGAATTAGAGGGACCGGGGCCCAGCCTTGGCTCGGGTTAACGTCGAGGCAGCGCGAGGGGCTGGGGAATTCAGCCTCCGGGGTCCACAGGAGCCGGCGGCGGGGGCTGGGGCGGGAGTCCACGCAGGACCAGGGGCGGTCTCCGGCGGGGCGGGGCGGGCGGTGGTCACGCTCCGGGCCAGCTGGCGCGCGGCGGGGCGGGGCATCCGTGCGTCTCCTGGTGGCTGACGTCACGGCGCGGGCGTCAGCTGACTGTTCGGCCGCCACCGCCGCTGCCGCTGCCGCTGTCGCTGTCGCCGCCGCCGCCGCCCGCCGCCGCCGCCGCCGCCGCCGCCGCTGCCATGGCTCAATACAAGGGCGCCGCGAGCGAGGCCGGCCGCGCCATGCACCTGATGAAGAAGCGGGAGAAGCAGCGCGAGCAGATGGAGCAGATGAAGCAGCGCATCGCGGAGGTGCGAGCCGGGGAGCCTCGGAGCATGCGCGCTGCCCAGGTCCCCGGCGGCCCCGCGCCACGCTCCGGCCCTGGAAGCCCTGGGGCGGTGGCCACGGAGCGCGGGCGGCGCGCCGGGGCAGGCCCCTGGCTCGCTGACTTCCAGCAGGGCACACAGAAGCAAGCCAGCGACAGTCTCATCTGTGAAATGGGCCTGGAGCCGGGCGTTCTCCGAGGCTGAGGCCACTAGCTGATGACCGGCCTCCGGCAGGAGGGAGCCGAGCCAGTGTTTCTGTTGGGAGGCACGGCGGGGACGGGCCTCTCGTCGCCTCGCCTGGGCACCCAGCGTCCTGGCTCTGGCCCCTCGGCCCTCAGAGCCAGGCCTCTGCCCCCTCGGCCCTCAGAGCCAGGCCTCTGCCCTGGTCCTATGGACACCGGGCAGGGCGGTTCGTCTCCCCCTGGAGAGGCGGGGAGGCCTGAGCCAGACCTGGCAAGTCCACTGGCCAGGAGGCTCCTTCCAGAACCCCTTGCACCTGTGAGGCAGGCACGACCCTCCCGGGTGCCAGCGGTTCACCCACTGCTTCCGTGAGTGGCCTGTGATGGTGGTGGTCAGGGAAGGAGCGTGGAGGAGCTTGATCCTTTTGGGGAGACTCACTCATCAGGACTCGGGGCTCCAGGGGAGAGCAGGCTCCTGCCTGGGGAACTGGGGAAGCCTGGCCAGAGGAGCCTTGAAACACCAAGTCCTCATGCCCTGGCCGCACTGTCTGAGCCGGGGTGCCCAGCAAGCAGAAGGTGTATTTCTCTGCCAGCCACCTTCTTGGGAGACCACTGGTCAGCGAGGGCTTGACATGGTACCAAGTGGGTTGGGGCTGGGGCCAAAGAGAGGCCTCCTGGGAAGCTGTTGATGACATTCTGGGGCCTGGAGGGAGGAAAATCACTCAGGGAGGGGCCAGGCCCCTCAACCACTCTGTTCTTGTTTGCCCTCTCCTCATAACCCTTGGCTTGGGTCTCGGAAGCTTCAGCTTAAAGGCTGGAGATGAAAAAGGCCAAAGGTCAGTAGGGTCGGTGGCTTCAGGCTACTGAGGGACCTGTGATCCCCAGCAGGAGACCTGAAGAGCCAGAGCAGCTCAGGGATGGAAACAGCCCCATTTGGCACTCTTAGCATTTGAAGAGCCCTGCCCAGCCTCATGGAACCTTCCATCGACAAGGGCACAGGGGCAGATTTGGACTATAACGCAGGTCCTTGATGGCCAGCCTGCCATTTCCACAGTGAGGGGTGGTTCTCATGGTGGCTGTCACTCCCCGCAGGAGAACATCATGAAATCCAACATTGACAAGAAGTTCTCTGCGCACTACGACGCGGTGGAGGCAGAGCTCAAGTCCAGCACCGTGGGTGAGCAGGGTGCGGGTGCCCCTCACCCGGGCCCCGGGCCACTCTTCCGCTGGCCCTGCGACTACCTTGCCCCTTGTGCCTCCTTGCTTCAAAGGTCTCGTGACCCTGAATGACATGAAGGCCAAGCAGGAGGCTCTGGTGAAGGAGCGGGAGAAGCAGCTGGCCAAGAAGGAGCAGTCCAAGGAGCTGCAGATGTGGGTCCTCTCGCCGCAGCCCTCAACATGGAGCTAGTGCTTACGGGGTCCCGTGGCTGGTCGGGCTCTTTTTGCACCCTGGGGGGGACCCTGTCTCCAGCTTTGGGACAGGGGTAGCATCTAGCTTGCGATTTGCATTTCTCTCTCCCGCCTCCTCGGGTCCACGCTCACGTCTTTTCACCATGGCGGCTTGTCTTCTTTCTGACCCTCTAAATGCAGTGGGCCCTTTCCCAGCATCCGGTGCCTGAGCAGCCTGCGTTCTCCCCATTGCCAGCCTGTGCTTGGCTCTCCCCTGTGGCCCTCTGTGCTTGCTGTTTGTAACAGAGCCCTCGCCCATGAGCTCAAAGTGATCCAGGACAGCAGGACCCGTCTGGGGCAATGGGGACCCAGCCTGGGCTGGGCAGGCCCCACATAGGGCACACAGGTGGCTCTGGGTCAAGGAAGGGGCTGGGTCAGGGTCGGGAAGGACATGATGTGTGATGGGGCCACCTGCACCTCACTAGGAAGCTGGAGAAGCTTCGAGAGAAGGAGCGTAAGAAGGAAGCCAAGCGGAAGATCTCCAGCCTGTCCTTCACCCTGGAGGAGGAAGAAGAGGGAGGCGAGGAGGAAGAGGAGGCGGCCATGTATGAGGAGGAGATGGAAAGGGAAGGTGAGGGCTGGCTTGAGTCGGAGCCCCGCCCGCAGCCCCTGGGGAGGGGTCCCCAATGTGAGAGGCTGTCAGCAAAGCTGATGCCCTGTCAAGATGGCTCCAAAAGCTGCCCTCTTGAGGCACCGCGCACAGTAGACCGGGGAGGGAAGAGGCTGGTCTAGACCAGGCTGGCTGGGCACATTTTCTGTGATGATGGAAATGTTAGAGTCTGTGCCACCCAATATGGTAGCCACTTGCCCCAGGTGCCTCGTATGACTGGGGCACTAAATGGTGAATTCTGTTTGATTTGTTTCAGCGTAAATGTATACAGCCACAGAAATTCCGAGGCTACTAGTCAGACACTGCAGGTCTCAGCTGTGAGAACAAGGGGCTGTCAGGGAAAGCTCAGGATGGCTGGGGAGTGAGGGTAAAGCCAGCCTGGCCTCCACGTGTGCCACACACCTGTGCTGTGCCTGGCCAGGGCACATAGGGTGCTGTCCCTCTCCTGGTGGAAGTCACGGGTCACCATGCACTGAAGACACTACTCAGGGTTACTGCTCTGCTTGGGGCCCACCGGGCTAACCCAGGGGTCAAGGAAGGAGGGGAGGGTTGAGTTAGGCCCTAAGGATGAGGGGAGTTGCATTCGCCAGAGAGGCAGGAGGGGCGACGAGAAAGTACATGCCAGAAGCCCAGCAGGAAAGAGCTTTTCAAAACGTTTGAAGATTGGGAGCAAGTTGTGTCACGGGCCCCTGGAGGGTGTGGTGGCAGTTCTGGAAATTGTGTCACCCAGGGAATGGCAGAGGGAGAGAAGCGAGGCAGGGGATGGTGCTGTGTGGCTGTGGTAACAGGCTGGGTGCCATGGCTTTGAGGGGAGTGCAGGATTGTAGGGAGGAAGAACCTGCCAGCCACCTGCCATTTGGGTTCCATGTTCCAGCAGCCACAGTAAAACATAGAAAAAGAAACAAGCAGGATTTTAGTATGACATTGTATTTAACCCAGCGTATCCAAAATATCACCATTGCGGCAGGCGCACTAGCTGCAATGCTGGGGTGCTGTGTGCAGCGGGAGCTACTGGTTTGTGTTTGTGTTTTTGTTTTGGTTGTTGTTGTTTTTGAGACAGTGTCTCCCTGTGGCCCAGGCTGGAGTGCAGAGGGGCGATCACAGCTTACTTCAGCCTTGACCTCCTGGACTCAAGGGACCCTCCCACCTCAGCCACTTGAGTAGCTGGGACTACAGGCGCTTTGTATTTTTGTATTTTTTGTAGAGACGGAATCTCGCCATGTTGCCCAAGCTGGTCTCGAACTTGGGAGCTACTGGCGTGGACAGTGCAGGCCTGGGGGAAAGGTTGTCACCCTCACTGTGTGTCACTGGGGCTTTTACAAAACACTGCTTGGTGGGCTCTTCCCTCCCTCCACAGGTTCCGTTTAGGGGGCCCAGCCACAAGACCCCAGGCTCTAGAATCTCTGCCCTTGAGCATCAGGCTAAAGAGTTTAGATTTGTCTTTTTTTGTTGTTCTTTTCTTTTTTTTCTTTCTTTTTTTTTTTTTTGAGATGAGGTCTCACTCTGTTGCCCAGGCTAGAGTGCAGTGGTTTGATCACGGCTCACTGCAGCCCCGACCTCGCAGGCTCAAGCGATCCTCCCACCTCAGCCTTCTGAGTAGCTGGTACTACAGGTGCGCCACCACACCCGGCTGATTTTTTTGAGTTTTAGTAGAGACGAGGTCTTGCTATGTTGCCCATGCTGGTCTCCACCTCCTGGGCTCAAGTGATCCTTCTGCCTCATCCTCCCCAAGTGTTGGGTTGACAAGCGTGAGCCTCTGTGCCCGCCCTAGGCTTGTCTTCTAGATCGACTGTTCTCAAGGTATGCTTGGGGGACCCTGGGCGTCGGCCATATCAAAATCATTTTTATAATAATGCTATGATATTCGGCTTCCTTTTGTTCCAGAGATCACCACGAAGAAGAGAAAACTGGGGAAGAACCCAGACGTTGACACAAGCTTCTTGCCTGATCGAGACCGTGAGGTAAAGGCTGCCTGGCCCTGACCCCGGCCTCGACTCCAGCCCTGGTGGAGACCCTTGCTTAGGGAGCCAGGCTCTGCGTGCACCCTGAGCAGCCCTGGGCCTCACCTGTCTGCCTGCTCCCTCTCCCAGGAGGAGGAGAATCGGCTTCGGGAAGAGCTGCGGCAGGAGTGGGAAGCCAAGCAGGAGAAGATCAAGAGTGAGTGTTTGCGGAGTCAGACGCGAGGGGCCTGGGCCCAAGCCAGCTTCCCTGTCCACAGTCTCCTGGGTGGTGCGCTGAGCCCCAAGGCTGCTCTCAGTGGGGCTGGAGACCAAGAGGCAGCTCTGCCTTGTAGGTGAGGAGATCGAGATCACCTTCAGCTACTGGGATGGCTCTGGGCACCGGCGGACAGTCAAGGTAGGCAGCGTGCAGCCTGCTTCCTGCTCACCATGGGCCCAGCCTCCCTCAGGTTCCGTGGGAAGGAACTGACCTTCCTGACTTGGGAAGCCCCAGGGATCCTGAGGATAACTGGCTCCAGGGCCTGGCCCCCTGTCTGGGGAGTGAGGCCCAGGCCTGGCTGAGGCTCTGCAGCGTCTGGCAGGGCCCTCTGGGCCTCTGCCTTGTTGAGAGCCCTTCTGCAGGCTTCCGCCTTCCCTTCCCAACTCCTGGATTCCCGGATACAGATGAGAAAGGGCAACACCATGCAGCAGTTCCTGCAGAAGGCGCTCGAGATCCTTCGGAAAGACTTCAGTGAGCTGAGGTGTGAGGTGTGCGTGTGTGCACGGTGGTGTGTGTGGCACCTGTGGCTCCAGCCTGGGTGCCAGACACCCAGTGTGATGTGGGCGCTGTCTGGGCAAGCAAGCAGCGTGCTGGGCACTCTCCTCCCAAAAGAGGGGGTCAGGCTCCTCTTCCCTTCCCTCCCACCAGAGAGCTTTGCTGAGAGCGGCCTGCCTTGGTTCCTTAGCCCAAAGGTGGAGGGTGCTGGGCGCCAGTCCTGTGCTCACTAAACCATGGAGCTTCCCTCACAGCCAACTGGCCGCTGCTTCCCAGCCCCAGCATGGGCTCTCCTGGGCTGGCTGTCTCCTCCCTCCCTGGGCAGGGGTGCTGTCCTCTTGCCCACGCCCTCCTGCCTTCCTCCCTCAGGTCCGCAGGGGTGGAGCAGCTCATGTACATCAAGGAGGACTTGATCATCCCTCACGTGAGTCCCTTCAGCCCCAGTACCCGCAGTGGGTGCAGCACCCTGGGCTTTGGCTCAGGCTGGTGGGGGCAGTGTGCGCAGGCGGGGGGTGTGGGGAGGGGCCGAGATGGACCATCAAGACGCCGCTTTCCTGCCCTTGGCTCCCAGCATCACAGCTTCTACGACTTCATCGTCACCAAGGCACGGGGGAAGAGTGGTGAGTGCCGCCGACCCAGCCGCCCCCATAGCACCTTGCCGCCGATGTTGTCACTGGGGCAGCAGCGGGACATTGGGCTGTCACTTCTCCCCTGCAGGACCACTCTTCAACTTTGATGTTCATGACGATGTGCGGTTGCTCAGTGACGCCACTGTGGAGAAGGATGAGGTACAGCGTAGGGGGCCGTGTGAGGGGGAACGGGTGTCCCTGGGCTATGGAGGAGAAGCCAAGGGAAGGGGAGGTCAGCAGGCGGCCCTGTGCCCTCTTCCTCCCTTAGTCCCATGCAGGCAAGGTGGTGCTGAGGAGCTGGTACGAGAAGAACAAGCACATCTTTCCCGCCAGCCGCTGGGAACCCTACGACCCTGAAAAGAAGTGGGACAAGTACACGGTGAGGAGGGGCTGGCAGGGACCCCTCCAAGTTGGGGACGGCAGCCAGCCCCTGCTCACCCCTCGCCTTCCTTGTCTCCTCTGCCCACCTTGTCCTCACACTAGATCCGCTGAGCATCCAGGAGGCTGCGCGGCCCCGGCTCCTCAGCTCCCTCAGTGTGCCCCGTGGTGTCACCGGGACTCCAGGCACCCGCTCCCCTGCGACCATGCCAGGCACGCTGGGAGGAGGACGGCAGCTGCTCGTGTCCTGCCCCTGCCACATCAGTGACTGCTTTATTCTTTTCCAATAAAGAAGTGCACGTGTCAGAGCTGGAGCGCCTGCATTGTGAGAAACCATTTGTGTTCGGACCAAATTCATTTGTCATTTTGACCATTTAAAACTGTACAATTTGGTGGCATTTAGCACATTTGCCATGTTGTGTAGTCATCACCCTGGTCTGCTTCCAGGACATTCTCATCCCTCCAAAGGCCCTGTGGCCATAGGCAGGCTCCTCCCCTCACATCCCCCCACCAGGCTCTCATGTGCTTTCTGTCTCCATGGATTGACCTGTTCTGGACGTGTCATACGTGCCTGGGGAGTCTGTCACCGTGGCAGCCCCACCATCCCTGAGGTGTCTTTGTGGCACTGTGCTTCTTGACCGTGGGCACCTGTCCTTGGGCGGTGGTGGCTCTGGTGGGTGGGAAGGGGGTTCCTCCCCAGGCCTCTCTCCCAGGCCCTTGGGCTCCTGTTGAGTTTCCCGTAGGGGACGTGGCCGTCCTGTGGCCACGAAAACCCATCCTGCCTTCCTTGCTGTGGGCCGTCCCAGCACAGTCGTTCTGCTGTGGTGCCCTGTGCTCGACACTTGCCTGCCCTGCCCTAGCTAGCCCTGCTCAGACAGCCCTTGGGGCAGGATCCAGATCGGGGGTAGGTCCAGGACCCCTACTCTGCCACCTCAGCAGCTGATTCCCCAAGTTCCACTTGGCTAAGCTGAGGCAGGCAGGCCTGGCTCCAGGAGGCTGAGGAAGGCCAGCTGACAGCTCCCTGTTTCCTCCCCTGGCCTGAAGCCAAGAAGAAAGGGCAGGGGATAGCCCCTCACTGGCCAGGATCACCCCAGCCCTGGGTCTGGCCTCCCCTTCCTGGCAAATGTGGAGATCTGATGGTGCCCGATAGTGCAGAGGCCCAGTGTCTCATTCAGCGTGGCCGGGAAGTAGCCACCTGGCGTCACTAGGAATAGAGATGAGAGTAGACTAATGTTTTCTTTCTTTTCTTTTCCTTCCCTCCTTCCTTCCTTCTTCCTTCCTTCCTTCCTTCTTTCTTCCCTCCCCTCCCCTCCCCTCTCCTTCCTTTCCTCTTTCTTTTTTTTTTTTGAGACTGGGTCTTGCTCTGTCTCCCAGGCTGGAGTGCAGTGGTGCAATCTCAGCTCGCTGCAGCCCCCACCTCCTGGGCTCAAGTGATCCTCCCGCCTCAGCCTCCTGAGTAGCTGGGACTACAGGTGTGCACCACAATGCCCAGCTATTTTTATTTTTATGTACATGAAAATTGGAACAGAATTAAAAAAAAATTTTTTTTGTAGAGATGGGATATTGCTCTGTTGCCCAGGCTGGTCTCGAACTGCTGGGCTCAAGTGATCCTGCCACCTCAGCCTCCCAAATTGCTGGGATTGCAGGTGTGAGCCACTGTGTTTGGCTGAGTAGGCTATTTGATGCTCTGGAACCAGATAAGGTCACCAAGGATCAGTGTGTGCCAGGGGTGGTCACCCACTTTGCTCACCCGGGCCTCGTTCCTGGGGGCTGTGTGTGTAGAAAACAGAGAGGGAAACAAACAAAACAAAATGTAGAACAAGATGAGCTGGCCTTTGTGGCGTGGAGACATTTAAGCTGACATCCAAATGACAAGAAGTCAGCCATTCCGATGCGGGAGGGAGTGTTCCAGGCAGAGGGAACACCAAGTCTGGGTCAAAAGTGAGCTGGAGGCCGGGTGCAGTGGCTCATGCCTGTAATCCCAGCACTTTGGGAGGCTGAGGCGGGTGGATCACTTGAGGTCGGGAGTTCGAGACCAGCCTGACCAACATGGTGAAACCCCGTCTCTACTAAAAATACAAAAATTAGCTGGGCGTGGTGGCAGGTGCCTGTTATCTCAGCTACTCAGGAGGCTGAAGCAGGAGAATCGCTTGAACCCGGGAGGCGGATGTTGCAGTGAGCCGAAATCACGGCACCGCATTCCAGCCTGGATGACAAGAGAGAAACGCCGTCTCAAAAAAAAAAAAAAAAAGAAAGAAAAAAGGTGAGCTGGGCTGGAACAAGGGGAAGCTACCTTTTTCCCTCATCTTCACTGTCCAGCAGAAGCCATGTATTCAGGCGGTTCCCATGTCAGCATGGAAGCCAGTTCCTGCAATGTCCCCAACAGAGATGTGCTTTTCTTCACTGCCTGCTTACCTGTTCTCTTTCTCTAGACAAAGACAAGCTCCTACGGCTGCTCCTCCTGGCCCTCACCTTTCTCGCATGAAAGGTATTGCGCTTGCATGCTGTTCGACACCGTGTGATATAGTGTCCATTAGCGATATATCCCAATACTCGGCATCTTTCCACATGGGTGCATAGAGACCCTCATTCTCTCTTCAGCTGCAGAGTCAGCATGGCAGATATTGGCCAACTCCACTCCTTAGGGCCTGCCCACTTGGCAGCCTCATGGGCAGGATGAGGGCCGGCTCCCCCAGCCTTGCCCACACAGTGCCCTCACTCGCCGCCAGGAGACGCGTGCCAAGCTGAGATGGAGACATGGTTTCTCAGCATGGGGTTTTGTTTCTTCTTTGTGTTTTTAATTTTTTCAACTGAGGAAAAATTCACATAACAGAAAAGTAGCCATTAACCATTTTAAAGTTTACAATTTGGTGGCATTTGGTACATTCACATTGTTGTGTGACCATTGCCTCTCTCTACTGGAACATTTTCATCCCCAAAAGGAGACCCCGTGGTTGGTTATTCAGCAGTCTCTCCCCATTCCCCCACTCCCCAGGCCCTGGCAGCTGCTAATCTACCGTTTCAATGGATTGGACTGTTCTGGAAGCTTCACATCAATGGAATCATACAATACATGACCTTTTGTGTCTGGCTTGTTTTTCTTAGCATCATGTTTTTGAGGTTCATGGCTTACTTTTTATAACTAACTGAGTCGTAGTCCATTATCTGTGTACACCACATCTTGTTTATCTATTCATCCATGGATGGGCATTTCAGGTGTTCCTACCTTTCGGCTATTATTGTAAATAATGCTGCTATGAACATTCACGTACAAGTTTTTGTTTGACCTTAGTGTGGTTTTTAATTTGTATTTCTCTTTTCACATGTTTAAAAACTATGTGCATTTTATTTCTCCTGCAAACTGTCTATTCCTGGCATTTGCCCATTAATTGTATTGTTGGTCTTCTTTGTTTTTTTTTTTTTTTTTTTTTTAATAGAGACAGGATCTCACTATGTTGCCCAGGCTGGTTTTGAAATCTTGGGCTCAAGCAATCCTCCTGCCTTGGCCTCTTGTTGGTCTTTTTTTATCTAGAAATCGGTCAGGTGCAGTGGCTCCCGCCTGTAATCCCAGCACTTTGGGAGGCCGAGGTGGGCAGATCACCTGAGGTCAGGAGTTCGAGACCAGCCTGGCCAACATGGTGAAGCCCCGTCTCTACTAAAAATACAAAAATTAGCCGGGCGTGGTGGTGGGCACCTGTAATCTCAGCTGCTCAGGAAGCTGAGGCAGGAGAATAGCGTGAACTCAGGAGGCGGAGGTTGCGGTGAGCCGAGATCGTACCACTGTACTCCAGCCTGGGTGACAGAGCGAAACTCTGTCTCAAATAAATAAATAAATAATATGTAGAATCCTAGGTACCTTCCATGTATGAGAGAGAGTACCCCTTTGTGTTATACAGTGCAAATACTTTTCCTCGTTTTTCATTGATTTGATGGTGTTTTTTAGACACGAGAAGTTTATTTTTAGCTAGCTGGACTCTTTTGTCTTCTATGCCTTCTGGGTTTGAGGTCATAGTTAGAAGGTCTTCTGGAAGTCAGTGTTATAAAGGAAGTGATTGGAGGCTTTTACCAGGAGCAAGACATAATCTTGACTTAAGTTTTCCAGTCACTCTTGTAGCAGTGTGGCAAAGGGACTGGGGGAGGGCAAGCATGGGAGGCCAGTGAGGAGGCCACCACAGCTATCCTGATGAGAGGCTGGTGGCTTGGACCAGGGTGGGGACAGAATATCAGCTTCTGGATAGATTTTGGGGGGAAAGCCAACAAGATTTGCTGACGAATAGGACATGGAGTTTGAGAGAAAGAGAGGAGTCAAGAACTCCACTTTGGCCTGAGCAAGAGGAATAAACTTTACTAAGATGCGGGGCATGGGAAGAGAAGCAAGTCTGGGGTGAACAATGAAGGCTTTGCTTGTGGAAATGGTATGTTGAGATGCCTGTTAGATCCAAGCAGAGATTTGGATCTATGAACCTGGAGCCTGGAGTTCACAGGAGAGCTTGAGAGGATGGAGTGAGAAATTGCAGAGCTGTCAAGACAGACATGGCTGATGCTCTGGAACTAGAAAGATCGCCAAGGGAATCAAAGGGTAACACCTGCTCGTCTGGTCAAGCCAATGGATGAGATGACAAAGATGGGACTAAGGCCAGGCACAGTGGCTCACGCCTGTAATCCCAGCACTTTGGGAGGCCTAGGCAGGTGGATTGTTTGAGCCCAGGAGTTCGAGACCAGCTGGGCAACATAGTGAGACTCTGTGTGTATAGCAAATACAAAGATTAGCTGGGTGTGGTGGCACACGCCTGTAGTCCCAGCTACTTGGGAGGCTTAGGTGGGCGGATCACTTGAGCCCAGGAGGTGGAGACCAGCCTGGGCAACACGGTGAAACCCTGTCTCTACAAAAAATTCAAAAATTAGCCTGGCGTGGTGGCATGCACCTGTAGTCCTAGCTACTTGGGAGGCTGAGGTGGGAAGATTGCTTGAGCCTGGGAAGACGAGGCTGCAGTGAGTGGTGTTCATACCACTGCACTCCAGCCTGGGTGACAAAGTGAGACATTGTCTCCAAAAAGATCATTATACAAAAATCAATTTTTAAAAGTTTTTTGAGATAGAGTCTTGCTCTCTGTTGCCTAGGCTGGAGTGCAATGGCATGATCTTGGCTCACTGCAACCTCTGCCTCTTGGGTTCAAGCGATTGCCCCCCTCCTCAGCCTCCCAAGTAACTGGGATTACAGGTGCCCGCCACCATGCCTGGCCAATTTTCGTATTTTTAGTAGAGACGGGGTTTTGTCATCTTGGCCAGGCTGGTCTCGAATTCCTGATCTCAAGTGATCCGCCCACCTCTGCCTCCCAAAGTGCTTGAATTGCAGGCATGAGCCACCACACCTGGCCAATCAATTGTATTTCTATACACAATCCAAAATGAAATTAAGAAAATAATTCCATTTATAACAGTGTCAAAAAAGAATAAAATACTTATTAATAGATTTTTTTAAAAGAAGCATGAGATTTGTACACTGAAAAGTACAAAACATCATTGAAAGAAATTCAAGAAGACCTAAATAAATGGAAAGACATCTGTATTAGTCATGGTTCTCCAGAGAAACAGAACCAACAGGACACACACACACACAGTTTATTTTAAGGATTTGGTTCACCCAATTGTCGGGGCTGACAAGTTGGTGTGAAATTTGTAGGACAGACTGACGGGCTGGAAACTCGGAGAATTTCTGTGTTACAGTCTTGTTGTTGTTGTTGTTGAGATGGAGTCTCACTCTTGTCGCCCAGGCTGGAGTGCAGTGGCATGATATCAGCTCACTGCAACCACTGCCTCCTGGGTTCAAGCGATTCTCCTGCCTCAGCTTCCCGAGTAGCTGGGATTACAGATGCCCGCCACCATGCCCAACTAATTTTTGTATTTTTAGTAGAGACGGGGTTTCATCACGTTGGTCAGGCTGGTCTCGAACTCCTGACCTCAGGCGATCCGCCTGCCTTGGCCTCCCAAAGTGCTGGGATGACAGACATGAGCCACCGCGCCTGGCCTGTGTTACAGTCTTGAGGCAGAATTTCTGCTTCTCCAGGAAACCTCGGGTTTTGCTCTTAAAGCCATCCAACTAAATGGATGAGGCCCACACACATTATCAAGGGTGATCTCTTTTACTTAAAGTCAGTTGAGGGCCAGGCATGGTGGCTCATGCCTATAATCTCAGTGCTTTTTTTTTTTTAGACAGAGTCTTGCTCTATCTCCCAGGCTGGAGTGCAATGGCACGATCTTGGCTCACTGCAACCTCCCCCTCCCAGGTTCAAGAGATTCTCGGCCGGGCGCGGTGGCTCACGCCTGTAATCCCAGCACTTTGGGAGGCCGAGATGGGCGGATCACAAGGTCAGGAGATCGAGACCATCCTGGCTAACACGGTGAAACCTCGTCTCTACCAAAAATACAAAAAAATTAGCCGGGCGTGGTGGCGAGTGCCTGTAGTCCCAGCTACTTGGGAGGCTGAGACAGGAGAATGGCGTGAACCCGGGAGGCGGAGCTTGCAGTGAGCCGAGGTCACACCACTGCACTCCAGCCTTGGCGACAGAGCAAGACTTTGTCTAAAAAAAAAAAAAAAAAAAAAAAAAATTCTCCTGCTTCAGCCTCCTGAGTAGCTGGGACTACAGGCATATGACACCATGTCCGGCTAATTTTTGTATTTTTTGTAGAGATGGGGTTTTGCCATGTTGGCCAGGCTGGTCTCGAACTCCTGACCTCAGGTGATCCGCTCACTTCAGCCTTCCAAAATGCTGGGATTACAGGCTTGAGTCACTGCACCCAGCATATGCCAGTACTTTGGAAGGCTGAGGCAGGAGGATTACTTAAGCCCAGGAGTTCAAGACTAGCCTGGGCAGTGTAGCAAGACCCTGTCTCTCTCTACAAGAATAGGAAAAGTTAGCCAGGCGTGGTGGCACTTGCCTGTGGTCCCAGCTACCTGGGAGGCTGAGGCAGGAGGATCCCTTGAGCCCAGGAAGTCGAGGCTGCAGTGAGCCATGATCCAATGCCGCTACACTGCAGCCTGGGTGATAGAGCGCGACCTCAACTTGGGGGGAAAAATCTGTCTATCTATCTATCTCTCCATATATGTGTTTAATAAAAATGGGCAAATGACTTGAATAGACATTTCTTCAGAGATCATATACAAAAGGCCAGCAAGCACATGAAAAGATGCTGAACACCATTAGTCATCAGGGAAATGAAAAAGAAAACCTTAACGGGGCGCGGTGGCTCACACCTGTAGTCCCAGCACTTTGGGAGGCTGAGGCGGGAGCATCGTTTGAGCCTGGGGCGGTCGAGGCTGCAGTGAGCTATGATCTCACCACTGCACTCCAGCCCGGGTGACAGAGCGAGACCCTGTGTCAAAAGAAAACAAAAAAAGAAAAGGAAAAAGAAAGCAAGGGAAGGAAGAAAGCCCTCGGTTCAGGGTCGCCGGGGAAGGGGCTGGTTTGGACGGCTGTCCCGCAGGCCCTCCGGGTTAGAGACCGTCGGGGGCGTGTCTTGAGCTGGGGACGCGACTCCTCGGCGGGGGTGCACCTGAGAGGCCGGGACCAGCGAGGCCGCGCCCCGGTGGCAGGTGACCCCGGGCGCGTCTCCGAGCGCCAGGGTGGGGCGAGGCGGACGCGCGCCCCAGGCCCGAGGGGGTGTGGCGCGGGCGCGCGCGGGTTCCGGGGTCGCCCGAGGCGGCGGGCGGGGAGCCGGGGCGCGGGGGAGGCGCGCGCCGCGGACGCGGCCATCGAGCGAAGGGGGTCGGCTGGCCGGGCGGGTCCCCCTTCAGGTCGCGGGGGTCAGGGCTGCGCGCGAGGTCCCTGGCCCCGGGGAGCAGCGGCCCCGCCTGCGTCCCCTGCCGCCGCGTCCCCCTCGGCCGGGCGTCCCCGGACGCCCCCGCCCCGCGCGGTGGTACGGTCCGGGTTTAAAAGGCTCCGGCGGCCCCCGGGCCAGCCCAGTGTGTGGGCGGCGGCGGCGGCGGCTGCGCGCTTGGGGCCCGGGGCGCGGGGCGAGGCCGTGGGGACGTGCGAGCGGGGCCGCGGTGGGGCTCGGGGGCGCGTCCACGTGGCCAGAGGGCGGCCACCCGGAGCCAGCGGAGGGACAGGTAGGTGGCCGTCATCGTCGCCGTCCGTGCGGGGCCAAACAGCTCGGGGCCCGGGGCTCCGGCAGCCCGGGGGTCCGGCTCGGCCTGTGGGGGTCAGGCCCTATCCCTGCCCGTCGGCGCCGGCCTGCCCGACTCCTTGTGCCCCGCATGGTGGGGACGCCAACCCAAGACCAACACCCTGCCCAAAGAGGACCCTTTGTCGCAGGGGAGCGGCCCCTCGGAGGATCAACGCTGTACTTCCCTCCCGCTAAGGGCTCCGCGAGTCCGCCGAGGGGTGCCCTGATGGGGCCCGGGCAAACCGGACCAGCAGCACGGTGGGGGGTGTGGGGGGCGGCCGCTGGACCCCCGTCTCTGCGTGGGGCTGCCCCTTCCTCAGGCTCTCTGCTGGCCCAGCTGTACCTGTGATGCCCGAGGTTGCCACTTACAGGTGGGGGCTGGGCCTGAAACTGCCTCCCCAGGTCTCCCTCCCGACCTGTCCCCAGCCTGTTCCTAGGCTTGTGTTCCCGGGGTGTAGAGGAGGTGAAGACAGGATGTGGCCTCTCTTTTCTTTGGCCTTCCTTTCTTCTCCGGCTGTTGCATGAGGGGTCCAGCTGACAAAAGAGCCCTGGAGAGGTGATCAATCTGAGCTGAAACTTTGCAGTTTCAAGCTGGGCCCGCTGCTTGTTCCTGGCAAATGCCTTATTTTTCCTTTCTCTCTCCTGTGCCTCCTTGGTTTGGTTCCCTGCACCACCCCCCGCTCCCCCCCCGCCTCCCGCCCTCAAGCTGGGTACCTCCTATCTCCCCCGGGAGCTCTGGCACTGAGAGGGTAGCGCTGAGCCCTGCCCTGTTGGCTGCCACGACACTGCTCTGCTGTCTTAGCAGCCTGGGGCTGACTGGGTGTGGCCTGGGGACTAAGTGCCAGTCCCAGCACTGTCCCTGTGGCTCCTGCCCTGTCTCTCCAAGGCCTTGACTGTATTTGGGGACATTGCTCCTCCTCTTGTAAGGCTCCTGGGACTCCAAAGGGCAGGTAGGGCCCCCTGTACATTCCCTTCTCCAGTGAACCCCTGGGTCTGGAGGGGGAGCCATGCAGGCTGTGGCTGAGCAGAGCTTGACTGATGTGTGTCTGGGTGCGTGGCTGAGGGGCAGGCGCGACTTGGCTTTGTGTTGCATCGGGGAGGCCAGACAGCGGGCTCCTGGATGGCCAGCTGAGGCCCTTGTCGGGGAGGCAGCTGGGGCCCCTGCAGGGGACATGGTGGTGCTGGATCCTGCATCAGGCCTCCATTCCCCAGACCTCTGTCCCAGGGCTCCTGGTGGCAGTGCCACTCCAGGTGGTGTTCCTGGCCCTGCCCCTCTCCCCCAGCTTGCGATTATTCTGTGCCTGCCTCCCTCTCCCCTCAGCTCAGGCGTTGGGGGCAGCCCAGAGGCCTGGGGCTTGCTGTTCTTTGCTGTTGGTTGCCCCGGGCTCTGAGATGTGGCATCTGGGGTCCCAGTTCCAGCATCTGCTCTGCTACCCCCTTGGGTGTGGCCCAGCTGAGGCGAGGCCTCCTGGCTCCTTTCCAGCATGGGGGCTGAGGGACGATTGATGGCCCCCAAGCCTGCCCTCGCTGGCTGCTCACTCATGCGCCCTGGCGGAGGCCCCTCCTCTCTCCCTGTCACGGTGGCCATCTGGGGCTTTGGCGGGGTGGTGGGTGAATGGCCCAGCCCTCTGTGGCTCGAGGCCTCTGACTCCCACACACCGTCTCTCCCTAGGCCTGTCCCCAGGCGCGGCTGCCGGCCATGCCCTCTGTCTGCCTCCTCCTGCTGCTCTTCCTTGCCGTGGGGGGGGCCCTGGGCAACAGGCCCTTCCGTGCCTTCGTGGTGACAGACACCACGCTTACCCACCTGGCTGTGCACCGGGTGACTGGGGAGGTGTTCGTGGGCGCAGTGAACCGAGTCTTTAAGCTGGCCCCCAACCTGACTGAGCTGCGGGCCCATGTCACGGGGCCCGTCGAGGACAACGCTCGCTGCTACCCGCCCCCCAGCATGCGCGTGTGTGCCCACCGCCTGGCCCCCGTGGACAACATCAACAAGCTGCTGCTCATAGACTATGCGGCCCGCCGCCTGGTGGCCTGCGGCAGCATCTGGCAGGGCATCTGCCAGTTCCTGCGTCTGGACGACCTCTTCAAGCTGGGTGAGCCGCACCACCGCAAGGAGCACTACCTGTCGGGGGCCCAGGAGCCCGACTCCATGGCTGGTGTCATTGTGGAGCAGGGCCAGGGGCCCAGCAAGCTGTTTGTGGGCACTGCTGTCGACGGCAAGTCGGAGTACTTCCCCACCTTGAGCTCCCGCAAGCTCATCAGTGATGAAGACAGCGCGGACATGTTCAGTCTCGTGCGTGAGCCTTCCTTCTCTTCTTCCTCCACCCAGTCCTGGCTCTGCCTCCCAGAAGAGCCCTGTTCTTTCTGAGAGGGGACTTTCGGCTCCTCAGTGTCTGGGATGCAGACAGGTTGCGGAGGGTGGGATGACAGCCTGAACCCAGGTTGCGGGGGTCCCCTGTGTGCAGGGAGGCTGGTCACCCTGCCCTCTGCAGCCTTTCTGGCCTGGGCCTCTGTGATCATCCAGGCGGGAGGGGGATGCAGAGGGAAGCTGGCGGTGGCCCGTGATGTTGGCACAGGGCCTCACCGGATGCTGTCTCCTCCCCCTGCTCCCCAGGTGTACCAGGATGAGTTTGTGTCCTCCCAGATCAAGATCCCCTCAGACACGCTGTCCTTGTACCCTGCCTTTGACATCTACTACATCTACGGCTTCGTCAGCGCCTCCTTCGTGTACTTCCTGACGCTGCAGCTGGACACCCAGCAGACGCTGTTGGACACAGCGGGCGAGAAATTTTTCACGTCCAAGATCGTGCGCATGTGCGCGGGAGACTCAGAGTTCTACTCATACGTGGAATTCCCCATCGGCTGCTCCTGGCGCGGCGTGGAGTACCGCTTGGTGCAGAGCGCCCACCTGGCCAAGCCTGGCCTGCTGCTGGCCCAGGCCCTGGGCGTGCCGGCTGATGAGGACGTCCTCTTCACCATCTTCTCTCAGGGCCAGAAGAACCGGGCCAGCCCACCCCGGCAGACCATCCTCTGCCTCTTCACCCTCAGCAACATCAATGCCCACATCCGGCGCCGCATCCAGTCCTGCTATCGTGGGGAGGGCACTCTGGCTCTGCCCTGGCTGCTGAACAAGGAGCTGCCCTGCATCAACACCGTGAGCCCCTCATCACCCCACACTGGTCCTCTGCCCTGTCCCAGGTCTACCATGCCCAGCGTGGGCTCACGGCCAGTCATCCTGTCCCAGGCTTTGCCATGGCCCTGGGAGTGGCACCTTTGCCCTCCCACCTGTTTCTCCCTCCCAGGGGTCCCTGCCCTCTCCTTGCCTCTCTCTGGGCTGCCCAGTGCCCCACTTCTGCTTCCTTCCGTTCCCAGCTCGTTCCTCCTTGCTCCGTCTCCCGGTTGCCCCTTGTCTTGAGCCAACAAGAGTCTTGTGGGCCCAGGCTTCGCTCCTCGCTCCCTGCTGTCCCTCCTCTGTCTCCCTCCGCAGCCACCAATTTCCTGGAGCACCCTAGGGCGAGCAGTCAGTCCTGGCTGGAGGGGACCGGGTTCTAGATCCCGCTCTCTTCTGGGACACAGGAACTGCCGGCCTCCATCTTGCGCCTGGGAGCTTTGACTCTCACGGGTTCCTCCTCTGTTTCACCAGCCCATGCAGATCAACGGCAACTTCTGTGGGCTGGTGTTGAACCAGCCTCTGGGAGGCCTGCATGTGATCGAGGGGCTGCCCCTGCTGGCCGACAGCACCGACGGCATGGCCAGCGTGGCCGCCTACACCTACCGCCAGCACTCTGTGGTCTTCATTGGCACGCGCAGCGGCAGCTTGAAGAAGGTGGCCCCCAGAGCCCTGGGCATGTGGGGGTGGGGACAGTCTCAGATATGGGACAAGGCTGGTGGGAACACACGGGAGAGCTCTGAGGACAGGACAGGAGAGGACACGGCTGGTGCAGGGAGGGAGATTTCCCTGGCTGGGTCCCAGGCGCCTGGCCCTGCTCCTCGGGTCGCCCCTTGGCCGCCCACCCTCACCATTGCCAGTTCCCACTGTGGACTGAATTGCCAGCTTCGTATGGCTCTGGGGACAGAGAACAGACCTATTGTGGAGTCTCCCTGCCACGAGAGCAGGCCTGGGGCTGAGCCAGCATTGCTGGGTCCTCTGTTGAATGAACAAGGGAGCAAATGCCTTGCCCCTCAAGCCTCCCTATGCCTGGGACAGACCCACTTGCCCCTGCCCTCTCCTTGGCTCACTACTTCCCATCCTTCCCCTCCTACCCATGGGCCCGGGGGCTGAAGCTGCTTCCATTGGGGATCTGGGGGTAGCTTGGCATGAAGGGGGAGATGAACTTCTGGGCACTCAGGTACGTGTTGAATAGGTAGGAGTCGGGGGACTGCAGTGCTCTCATCCTGCTTGCCTCGTAGATGCAGTGCCATCCCCCAGGAGGGCAAGTGTTGGTCTGGGGGCGCAGGGAAGGGTTTGTGGAGAAGGATGATGAACTCTCCTGGCCCACCTGCTCTGTTCCTGGGACCCTCTTTTCCTTTGTAGCAGCTTTGTTGAACGCGTACTATCCAATTCACCCATTTTAAAGTGCACAGTTCAGTGGGTTTCTGTGGATCTGCAGAGTGGCACAACCATCGCCACTACCTCATTCTCCTAATCAATGCCATCTTCTAGCTCTTCCCCTCCCCTGCATCCCCTGACCTTGGGCAACACGAATCACTCCGTCCTTCTGTTTGCTGAGGGCATTTTCTGGCGTCTGCACCCTCCTTTTTTTGGCCTCCGGGCTGTGGGTGTGAGTGCTGAACCCCACCAGGTCCTGACGTCAGCTCAGCCACAACCTCCAAAGTCTTTGGCTGGAGAAGACAGTGTCCCAGGTGCAGGAGGCTGTGGTGGCATCAGGCTGGTCTTGTGGCTCAGGTGCGGGTCGATGGCTTCCAGGATGCCCACCTGTATGAGACAGTCCCCGTGGTGGATGGCAGCCCCATCCTCCGAGACCTGCTCTTCAGCCCGGACCACCGGCACATCTATCTCCTGAGTGAGAAGCAGGTGGGCCTGTGGTGGGTGGCGGTGGGTGGTGGGGCGGGGGTGGGCTGGGTGCTGATGTGGCTGTCCCCAGGTGAGCCAGCTCCCGGTGGAGACCTGTGAGCAGTACCAGAGCTGCGCAGCCTGCCTGGGCTCCGGGGACCCGCACTGTGGTTGGTGTGTGCTGCGACACAGGTGAGGGCGGGGACCCCTGCTCGGGGAGTTGGAGGGCCCCACTGGCCAGGGGGAGCCAGCCACACCCAGCCGTGCCCTTGCGGCCTCCCCCCGCCCTCCTCCACTTTCTCCAGCTAATGAGTGGAACCTCCACCCCGAGTGACGTCCCTCGGGCCCCAGGGGACGCGGCCAAGGCTCGCTGTTGCCTGGCACTGTGAGCTGGACAGGCCTGGGCCCTCCCGGGGCAGTGGCGGGACCGGCTCTGGCCCGACCCCGTGCAGGTGCTGCCGCGAAGGGGCCTGTCTGGGCGCCTCTGCCCCACACGGCTTTGCTGAGGAGCTGAGCAAGTGTGTCCAGGTGCGGGTCCGGCCCAACAATGTGTCAGTGACGTCACCTGGGGTGCAGGTGAGCAGCTTGGGGGTGCCCGGCTGGGTGTGCACATGTGTGCTGGGAGTCCGCCCTGCCCTGAGCCCTCTGCTTCCCCCAGCTGACCGTCACCCTGCACAACGTGCCAGACCTCAGTGCGGGCGTGAGCTGCGCCTTCGAGGCGGCGGCGGAGAACGAGGCGGTCCTGCTGCCCTCCGGTGAACTGCTCTGCCCCTCACCCTCCCTCCAGGAGCTCCGAGCTCTTACCAGGGGGCATGGTCAGTGGGTTGGGGCTGCCCAGGATGGGGCAGAGTGGGGCCTCTCCCTACCCCCAGCGAGTTCACGGCCACCCCGGGACTGCTGCAGGGGCCACCCGCACTGTGCGGCTGCAGCTTCTCTCCAAGGAGACAGGCGTGAGGTTTGCCGGTGCTGACTTTGTCTTCTACAACTGCAGCGTCCTCCAGTCGTGAGTACCTGGCCAGCACCCGTCCCTACCCCTGGGGATAGAGGGGACCTCTGGGACAGGCGACACCTTCAGGGCAGCTGTTTCTGGGGCATCAGGGGCTAACTGTCAGGCCCTGATAGCCCCTGACATCCCCACATCTCTCTGTCCCCTGATATGGCTGCCTTCTTCCTTCAGTTCCCGATGTGTCCTATTGGGGAGCAGTGAGGGGCAGTGCAGCCTCCTCTGTTATTTCTGAAGCCACTTCCCCCCCAGGTGCATGTCCTGTGTTGGCAGCCCTTACCCCTGCCACTGGTGTAAGTACCGCCACACGTGTACCAGCCGCCCCCACGAGTGCTCCTTCCAGGAGGGCAGGGTCCACAGCCCTGAGGTGAGGCGGGCGCCGCATGTGAGGGGCTGGGCTCTGTGGTGCGGGCGGGGCCACCGGCTTCTATGCGTTCTCGGTTTCTTTGAGCCTTCTCCAGGTTGGGCCTGGAGAAGGGTGGCCCTGTGTGCAGCTGACAGGTGCTTTCCCCGCAGGGCTGCCCTGAGATCCTGCCCAGTGGGGACCTCCTGATCCCCGTTGGGGTCATGCAGCCTCTTACCTTGCGGGCTAAGAACCTACCTCAGCCGCAGTCGGGCCAGAAGAACTATGAGTGCGTGGTGCGGGTGCAGGGGCGGCAGCAGCGGGTGCCTGCCGTGCGCTTCAACAGCAGCAGTGTGCAGTGCCAGAACGCCTCGGTGAGGTCCCACCCGCTGCCTCCCTTCGGGGTCTGGGCTGTGGCGTGGTGTGGATCGTTCTTGTCTATGCCCAGCTCTCTGGCAGGGAACTGTCTGAGTCTCCTGCTAGGGATTCCTGTACCTGGAGGAGGGGGGCAGCTGGCAAAAATCTTGGGTAGGGGTTCTGCACATCTTATCTGGGGTCCCATGGGTTCCTTTCCTCCAGTACTCCTATGAAGGTGATGAGCATGGTGACACCGAGCTGGACTTTTCCGTGGTCTGGGATGGAGACTTCCCCATAGACAAGCCTCCCAGCTTCCGAGGTGAAGGCATGGGCCAGGGAGCTTCCCTCCTAAGGCAATTGGCACTGCTGGGGTCGGGTCTGGGGGCCCTAGTGCTCCCCACTTTCCACTTTTCTGCCACTGCCTGCTCCGTCAGCAGTGCCTTCTGTGCCTGCAGCCCTCCTGTACAAGTGCTGGGCGCAGCGGCCCAGCTGTGGCCTCTGCCTCAAGGCTGATCCCCGCTTCAACTGTGGCTGGTGCATCTCAGAGCACAGGTGCCAGCTGCGGACCCACTGCCCGGCCCCGAAGACCAACTGGATGCACCTGAGCCAGAAGGGCACCCGGTGCAGCCACCCCCGCATCACGCAGGTCAGCCTCCCTCACCGCCCCTGCCCACTGCCAACAGGGCCCCTGGGAGTCTGAGCCAACTCTCTCACTGCCCATCCTGCTCCACAGATCCACCCTCTCGTGGGGCCCAAGGAAGGAGGCACCCGGGTCACCATCGTGGGTGAGAACCTGGGCCTCTTGTCCCGAGAGGTGGGCCTGCGGGTGGCTGGCGTGCGTTGCAACTCCATTCCGGCCGAGTACATCAGTGCTGAGAGGTGAGTGCGGCTCTGTGGGTGCCCGGGCCGTATGTGGCCTGGCCGGCCCTGACGCTCTCTGAGCCCTAGGATCGTGTGTGAGATGGAGGAGTCGCTGGTGCCCAGCCCGCCGCCGGGGCCCGTGGAGCTGTGTGTGGGTGACTGTTCAGCCGACTTCCGCACGCAGTCGGAGCAGGTCTACAGCTTTGTGGTGCGTGGCTGCCGGCCCTACCCCTTCCTGTCCCTTCTCTCTCCCGCAAGGGGCGTGTGGAGCAGCCCGGCCCGGCTCCTCCCCTCAGGGCAGCTTCTCCCGCAGACCCCAACGTTTGACCAAGTGAGTCCCAGCCGTGGCCCGGCGTCCGGGGGCACACGGCTTACCATCTCAGGCAGCTCTCTGGATGCTGGCAGCAGGGTCACAGTGACTGTGAGGGACAGCGAGTGCCAGTTTGTAAGGTGGGCCGGGGCCCTGCCAGCTTTGGGTTGGGCATCGTGTGGGGGGCCGTGGGGACGGGTGGCTGAGGGCCCTGGGCCACCCGCTCCAAGCACCCTGCTTGCCAATGTAGGAGAGATGCCAAGGCGATCGTGTGCATCTCACCTCTCTCCACCCTGGGCCCCAGCCAGGCCCCCATCACACTTGCCATTGACCGGGCTAACATCTCCAGCCCCGGGCTCATCTACACCTACACTCAGGACCCCACCGTCACCCGCCTTGAGCCCACCTGGAGCATCATCAAGTAAGACCCTGGGGGACTGGGGAGCCTGGCAGTGTCCAGAGGGCTCAGGGACTGGGTGGTCTCTGAGCTCCGGTGGGGCCCCTCCTGGAGCCTAGGCCCTCATTGGTGGAGGGGGTGGAGCTGTCCTGGCTGCACAGTACCCGGCACCCACTAGGCGATCCAGGGTCAGGGAAGGCCTGGGCTGCCATGGCAGCCTTGATCGCTCTCCAGGGCTGGGTGGGTGCACTGGAGGAGGGAGCCTGAGGCCCCTGCCCTGTCCCTAGTGGAAGCACTGCCATCACTGTGAGTGGGACCCACCTGCTGACGGTCCAGGAGCCCCGGGTCCGTGCCAAGTACCGCGGCATTGAGACCACCAATGTGAGTACCAGCTGCCCCGCCCCACCCCGACCCTGCAGCCCATGGCTTCACGTGCCTGGCTGTCCACCTTTGTCCCCACAGACATGCCAAGTGATCAACGACACTGCCATGCTGTGTAAGGCCCCCGGCATCTTTCTTGGGCGGCCCCAGCCTCGGGCGCAAGGCGAGCACCCTGATGAGTTTGGCTTCCTGCTGGACCACGTGCAAACGGCCCGCTCCCTCAACCGCTCCTCCTTTACCTACTACCCTGATCCCAGCTTTGAGCCGCTGGGGCCCTCTGGCGTGCTGGACGTCAAACCGGGCTCCCACGTGGTGCTGAAGGTGCGGGCGGGGTGGGGGCGGGGAGGGGCGGGAAAGTGGAGAGTCCTGGGCTGAAGTTGTCCTCCACCCCCAGGGCAAGAACCTGATTCCCGCTGCAGCCGGCAGCTCCCGCCTCAACTACACTGTGCTGATAGGAGGCCAGCCGTGTTCGCTCACTGTCTCGGACACACAACTCCTGTGCGACTCACCCAGCCAGACTGGCCGGCAGCCTGTCATGGTAGGTGGGGATGGGGAGACCCCCTGGGCAGCCCAGGGTGGGCGTGGTGGTCAGCTCACCTCAGGCCTGTCCCCACAGGTGCTGGTGGGTGGCCTGGAGTTCTGGCTGGGCACCCTGCACATCTCGGCAGAGCGGGCGCTGACCCTACCGGCCATGATGGGGCTGGCGGCGGGGGGTGGGCTCCTGCTGCTGGCCATCACAGCCGTGCTGGTGGCCTACAAGCGCAAGACTCAGGACGCGGACCGTACCCTCAAGCGTCTGCAGCTGCAGATGGACAACCTGGAGTCCCGTGTGGCCCTGGAGTGCAAGGAAGGTGCCTGAGGCGGGGCGGGATGTGGTGTGGAAGCTGGGGACCTCCCTCCTGCCCACTCATTCCCTCTCTCCACCCCCCAGCTTTTGCAGAGCTGCAGACGGACATCAATGAGCTGACTAACCACATGGACGAGGTGCAGATCCCCTTCCTGGACTACCGGACTTACGCCGTGCGCGTGCTCTTCCCGGGCATCGAGGCCCACCCGGTGCTCAAGGAGCTGGATGTGAGCCTCTGCCTGGCCTGCCCCCCACCATTCCCTTCAGGGCCGCCCCCACCCTCTGAGACCTCCTGCTCCCCACAGACGCCACCCAACGTGGAGAAGGCCCTGCGCCTCTTCGGGCAGCTGCTGCACAGCCGCGCGTTCGTGCTTACCTTCATCCACACGCTGGAGGCCCAGAGCAGCTTCTCCATGCGCGACCGCGGCACCGTGGCCTCGCTCACCATGGTGGCCCTGCAGAGCCGGCTCGACTATGCCACGGGGCTGCTCAAGCAACTGCTGGCCGACCTCATCGAGAAGAACCTCGAGAGCAAGAACCACCCCAAGCTGCTGCTACGCAGGTACCTGCCTTGCTCTATCCAGGCCACACCTTTGTCCTGCCTGGGCCTGCCCCCTGTCCAAGCCCCACCCCTGCCAGGCCCGAGCCCCCTTCTCTTGCCCTAGGACAGAGTCAGTGGCTGAGAAGATGCTTACCAACTGGTTCACGTTCCTGCTGCATAAGTTTCTGAAGGTGCGCCAGGTGGGTGGGCGGCAGGGAGGTGGTGGCAGAGGACCGGCCAGTGGTCAGGCAGGCAGCCAGCTGTGCACCTGTCCCTGGCTGCAGGAGTGTGCTGGGGAGCCTCTCTTCCTGCTTTACTGTGCCATCAAGCAGCAGATGGAGAAGGGCCCCATTGATGCCATCACGGGCGAGGCACGATACTCCCTGAGCGAGGACAAGCTCATCCGTCAGCAGATCGACTACAAGACACTGGTGAGCGCAGGGCCAGGCGGGCCAGAGGTAGGGGTGCAGAGAGAGGCCTCGCCCCAGACTGACACTGGAGTCCGCTTTCCCCTCAGACCCTTCACTGCGTGTGTCCGGAGAACGAGGGCAGCGCCCAGGTCCCAGTGAAGGTTCTCAACTGTGACAGCATCACCCAGGCCAAAGATAAGCTGCTGGACACTGTGTACAAGGGCATTCCGTACTCCCAGCGTCCCAAAGCTGAGGACATGGACCTGGGTGAGGTCCCCACCCTCTCCTCCTGGCTCCCACTCATACCCTCCTGTGCCGTGTGACCTCCGTGGGCTCTCCCGCTCCCCACCTGAACCCTGTTTCCAAAGAGGAGTGGGCCAGGCACTTGGGGGCTGCCAGCATAATCTTAAGGGCTGTCTGTGGCCCACAGAGTGGCGCCAGGGCCGCATGACTCGCATCATCCTCCAGGATGAGGATGTCACCACCAAGATCGAGTGTGACTGGAAGAGGCTCAACTCACTGGCCCACTACCAGGTGAGGGGTTGGGGCCCATTCCTCCCCAGGGCCACCTGGGAGCCAGGACCCTGCCTTGAGCTGCAGCAGGACACGGGAGCAGTGGCCCTGGCTCCCCTCGCCCTTCTCCCTGGGCTCGTGGGCTCCCCTCCTGGGTGTGGGTGGGTGGGGGCGCCTTGGCTTCTCAGCTTCCTGCACTGCCCCCCTCTGTCTCTGGGGCCTCCAGGTGACAGACGGTTCCTTGGTGGCATTGGTGCCCAAACAAGTGTCTGCCTATAACATGGCCAACTCCTTCACCTTCACCCGCTCCCTCAGCCGCTACGGTAGGTGTCCTCAGTGTGGTGGCCATGTGCCCTTCGAGGGAACCCCCACTTCCAAGTGCCATCGATTCTGTAGAGTGTAGACGGAGGGTCGGCCAGCGAGGGCAGATGGGTCCCCACATGCTGCTGAGCTCCCGGGAGAGTGGGGCAGGGGCCAGGTGGTGGCCTAAGGGTCACATGCATTCTCTGCTCCAGAGAGCTTGCTCCGCACGGCCAGCAGCCCTGATAGCCTCCGCTCACGGGCACCCATGATTACGCCTGACCAGGAGACAGGCACCAAATTGTGGCACCTGGTGAAAAACCACGACCATGCCGACCATCGCGAGGGGGACCGTGGCAGCAAGATGGTCTCCGAGATCTACCTGACACGGCTGCTGGCCACCAAGGTATGGGCCTGCCTCTCGCCACCTTGGCCTCCGCCCAGAGGTTGTCCCGGCCTTACAGGGGAGGGGCCATGGATCATTTGCTTCCAGTGGGCCTTTCTTCGGGTCTTTGCTGTGGGAACTCTGAGCCTTAGATAAAGGCCATGTCTGTCTGAGAGACCACTGGCCCTGTAGGGAAGCCCCTCTCTTTGCCAAGCCTTTCTGCCTCCATCTGTCCTGCTCTGGGGACATCCCAACCTGGCTCCCTCATAGCCTGTGACCTCTCTGCCCCACACAGGGCACACTGCAGAAGTTCGTGGATGACCTCTTTGAGACAGTGTTCAGCACAGCCCACCGGGGCTCGGCCCTGCCCCTGGCCATCAAGTACATGTTCGACTTCCTGGATGAGCAGGCGGACCAGCGCCAGATCAGCGACCCCGATGTGCGCCACACCTGGAAGAGCAACTGGTATCACCCCGTGCTGGGCTGCCAGCAGCCTGTCTGGAGACTGGTGGGCGGAAGACGCTGGTGGCTCTGCTGAGACCCAGGGCCTGGAGTAGCATCCAGGCAGGAGGGAATGAGGCCTGGCCTGGGGTTGACACTGACGGTGCCATCAAGCCAAGGGGCCTGTTGCGTCCAGTTCTGGAGCTGGACTGCCTGGGTGGGTGGGATGGTGGTGGTGAGGCCTTTGCCCTCTGGGGTCTTGCACCAGGTAGAGATGCTGGTGGTCGGTCGCAGGTGGTGAGAGCGGTGACAGGAGAAGCTGCGGAGGGGGTTGAGCCCTATTGAGAACAGAAGTTCAGCAGAGACTTAGAGGAAAGGCCGTTCACCCTAAATGTGTTGCTCTCACCACCTCTGGACAAGATGTGAGCCGGCCCGACAGGAAAGAGATGTGCACATGGGAGGGGCCCCTTGGGGCTAACTAGGGAGCCTCAGGCGCACGTCCCTCTGTTGTCCACAGCCTGCCGCTGCGCTTCTGGGTGAATGTGATCAAGAACCCGCAGTTCGTGTTCGACATCCACAAGAACAGCATCACGGATGCCTGCCTGTCGGTGGTAGCCCAGACCTTCATGGACTCCTGCTCTACATCCGAGCACCGCCTGGGGAAGGACTCGCCCTCCAACAAACTGCTCTACGCCAAGGACATCCCCAACTACAAGAGCTGGGTGGAGAGGTGGGCTCCGCCCTGCTGTGGGTGGCAGAGGGCAGGACCTGCCCCTCCCTGGGCTGCCTGTGCGAGGCAGGCCAGCTACAGGCAGGAAGCCCGGGGGCTGGCTGGGCAGTGAGGGCAGGGGTTCTAGTTTTTGTGATGTCGCCTGAGTGACATACTCAGGGTCCCAACAGGTATTATCGAGACATTGCAAAGATGGCATCCATCAGCGACCAGGACATGGATGCCTACCTGGTGGAGCAGTCCCGCCTCCACGCCAGCGACTTCAGCGTCCTGAGTGCGCTCAACGAGCTGTATTTCTATGTCACCAAGTACCGCCAGGAGGTGTGTGTCATCCCCACAGACTCCCAGTTACTTGGTCCTGAAGGTGCAGCCAGTGACAAAGGCAGGAGGGTTGGTGGGGGTTGGGGATTGTTCACGGTCTCTCCCCTGACCAGGGCCTGGGGCCGGCACAGGTGATGCTCTCTGGGATCACAGGTAGATGCTGGAATTTGAGGGACCCAGGAGATAAGCCACTGGCTGGGTACAAAGTGGCCACTGGGCAAAAGTTAAAGGGCCTGAGCACTGGAAGGGATGGGTCAGGCTTTGTGATGAGAAATAGCCAGAGGCAGGAGGACATAGAGGTGTGGACTTTAGGATGGAGTCTGGGCTGGACACATTTGCAAGCCTGTGGATGGCATTTAAAGCCCTGAGCCTGGATGAGCTCACAGGGAAGCCACAAGTGGGTGTGGAGGGAGAAGCGGCCCAAACACTGAGCCCAGGGCCCCAGGACACAAAGAGGGGAGGGGAGGGGAGGTGCAGCAGCCAGCGGGGAGGATGCCTGAGAGCGCCTGGTGGGGTCTGGCAACCTGAGCCAGTGAGGACCCCTCACAGGTCAGGGAGTGGCAGTGGCCGGCTCCATCTTCCAGTGCTGCTGCTGGTGAAGGATGGTGACCTGCAGAACACTCACTGGGTCTGGCGAGGGTCACGGGGTCCTGGCGCGAGGGAGGCTTGGGCTAGGAGGTAATGGGAGGGGGAATCCAGCACGGCGAGTCCAGAGTCCAGGTCACTCTAGGGACAGGCCGCACCCTAGCTGTGGAGAGGAGGAGGAGAAAGTGCTGTCGTCGGAGGGGCATTTGGGGCTGGGGAGAGCTGGTGGGTTTGTACAGGGGCTGCGGGGGAGGACGGAGGGATGAGGCGTGTGGGAGGGAGGAGCCCAGCTGGGAAGTGGGGACTTTGCATGGCAGGAGCTGCGCCCCCTACAGAGCCCAGCTCCAGGGGACTCCTCTCCCCCAGATTCTCACGGCTCTGGACCGAGATGCCTCTTGTCGGAAGCATAAGTTGCGGCAGAAACTGGAACAGATCATCAGCCTCGTGTCCAGCGACAGCTAAGGTGGTGGAATCGGTGAGGAGGGGGCTTCTCAGTCCTGTGCCGTCCTCCCATCCAGGGGAGTGGCTGGCTCAAGCCTGGGTCCCCGGGCTGAGCCCTGGATTGGGTATCGTGGGGCAGGTCACCCTGGCCACGATGCCCCCGGCACACCCAGGCCCCCTTCATTAGTGCCTTGCTTTGGGCCCTGCAGGGGGAGGGGTGACAGGGCGAGCCCCCACCCCAGCAGCAGCAATACCCCCACCCTCCTGCCCTGTGCCCAGGTGTTGGGACAGTCCCACCCTCCCTGCTATTTATATCCCTCTGCCTATTTATTGAATCGAACTTCGCCTCTGTCTCCATCTGTAAATATGTGTCCCCCCACCGGATGTCGCCACCCTCACTCACCTGCCTCTTCTTGAGCTGTCCTGGGCCCTGCCACCCGTCTGGGCTCCTTTGTGTAGCATTATCAGCCTCGGTCTGGCCTCTGGCACCTCACCCTTGCCATGGCTGACCCCACCCATTCCAAGGCGGGGTCACGGTACCAGCAGCACTTGGGGTGAGGCCTCCAAAGCTTCCTCAGAATTGTGGCTGTGCCACGCTGGACCACAGGGTCCCCCTCAAGCATCTCGGGGCCCTATTCTCTCTGAGCACCTGGAGGGCTGGACTCAGGCTTGTGCCAGGGCCTGACTTGGGCCTGGGGGCCCTAGAACGCTCCTCCTCCTGAGCCTACTGCCAAACGTCCTCAGTGTTGTCTGCACCTGCTCCGACTCCTTCAGCCGCCCCATTCAGCGCCCGCTCCGTCCAGTGCCCGCCCTGTGGGGCCAAGGCGGCCGTGCCTTACTACTCTGTGTCTTCTGCCTCCTCTGAGGAATCTGGCCCTGTCTGACAGTCCCAGACCCCCCGTTCTCTCCTCTTTAGTTGCATGAGTTTTTCTTTGTTCATGGAATGTTTTTTCCTGATTAAATGTTGGGGAAATGCCATCCATGTGGGGCTCTGTCCTTGGGGCAGGTCAGTAGACCTGTGGATGCTGCATGAGCTGGAGCCCCATTGTGGGAGAAAGGACCACTCCTTGCAGGGTCCCAGAGGGTTTGGGGAGGTTCAGGGCCATACCCGACCCATCAGCAAACCCCGGTGGCTCTACCTTCAAGACAGATTCAAGGTAGATAGATTCTCCTCCCTTCCACCACCCCCACCCAGCTCTCCTGTGCCATCGTCTATCTCTGCCTGGATGCCAGTCTCCCTGCTTCTGCCCTGGCTCTCTTCAGCCTGTTCTCAGCGTGGGAGGCAGAGAGATCCTGTTATGATATAAGGTGGATCATGTTGCCTCACTGTTTAGAACCCTCCGGCGGTTTCAGCTGCAGCCAGCTCCTTCAAAACCTGACAATTGCATACTGTCGAGGTTGTGGCACCCATCATGGTGCACCTACCAAAGTCTTACTCCCAGGCCTGTTAAGTAATGCAGGTGGGGAGAAGGTGACATGCAATTTATTTATTTATTTATTTTGAGACAGAGTGTAGCTGTGTTGCCCAGGCTGGAGTGCAGTGGCAAGATCACAGCTCAGTGCAGTCTCAAACTCCTGGGCTCAAGTGATCCTCCCACCTCAGCCTCCTGAATAGCTGGGTGTATTAGTGCACTCTACTATGCCAGGCTTTTTTTTTTTTTTTTTTTGAGATAGGTTGCCGCTATGTTGTTCAGGCTGGTCTTGAATTCCTGGTCTCAAGTGATCCTCACCCCTCAGCCTCCCAAAGTATTGGGATTACAGGCATGAGCCACTGTGCCCGGCCAGGTGAGATGGAATCTTATTTTTACTTTTTATGTTTTTTTTTTTTTCTTTGACGGAGTGTCGCTCTGTCGCCCAGGCTGGAGTGCAGTGGCATGATCTCGGCTCACTGCAAGCTCCGCCTCCCAGGTTCACGCCATTCTCCTGCCTCAGCCTCCCGAATAGCTGGAACTACAGGTGCCCACCACCACGCCCGGCTAATTTTTTGTATTTTTAGTAGAGACGGGGTTTTACTGTGTTAGCCAGGATGGTCTCGATCTCCTGACCTCGTGATCCACCTGCCTCAGCCTCCCAAAGTGCTGGGATTACAGGCGTGAGCCACCATGCCTGACCTTTTTTTTTTTTTTTTTTTTTTTTTTTTTTGGAGACGGGATCTTGCCCTGTTGCCCACGCTGGAGTGCAGTGGCAAAATCAACTCACTGCAGCCTTGATGTCCTGGGCTCAAGTGATCTTCCTGCCTCAGCCTTCTGAGTAGCTAGGATTACAAGTGCTTGCCACCATACCCAGCTGTTTTTTGTTTTTTTTTTTTTTCTTTAGTAGAGATGGAGTCTTGCTGGTTTTGAACCTCCTGGGCTCAAGTGATCCTCCTGTTTTGGCCTCCCAAAATTCTGGGATTACAGTTGTGAGCCACTGTGCCCAGCCAAGTGAGATGCAATTTTTTTTTTTTTTTTTTTTGAGACAGAGTTTCACTCTTGTTGCCCAGGCTGGAGTGCAATGGTATGATCTTGGCTCACCGCAACCTCCGCCTCCCGGGTTCAAGTGATTCTCCTGCCTCAGCCTCCTGAGTAGCTGAGATTACAGGCATGTGCCACCACGCCCAGCTAATTTTGTATTTTTAGTAGACACAGGGTTTCTCCATGTTGGTCAGGCTGGTCTCGAGCTCCCGACCTCAGGTGATCCGCCCGCCTCAGCCTCCCAAAGTGCTGGGATTACAGGCATGAGCCACTGTTCCTGGCCTTTCTTCTTTTTTTGTTTTTGTTTTTTTTTGAGATGCAATTTTAAATAGGGTGGCTTGGACAGCCACCTGAGTTGGGTTTAAAAGCTGCCAGCTCCAGCCGTCCAGCTGTGGGGCCACGGTGCCAGACAGTGGTGGTGGTTATAGGACCGTAGGTGTTTACCAAAACTAGACAAGTCCACATAACAACCAACTGCACAAATAAGGA